>NC_000002.12:13384315-13691071 GCF_000001405.40 Homo sapiens
CAGGCTGTTGGCCACGCCCTATGACAACATGGCTGCTTACTCAAAACCAGCAGAAGCATCTCTCTCCAGTGGGCTAGGAAGAAGTCTTATGTAGCTTTATATACTCATGAGAGTAACTATCCCTCATAGTCACAGATCTGCCCATCCTTGATGTTGGAATTACAAGGGACATACACACCAGGGGGTGAAACTCTTAGATGTCATCTTAGAATTCTGCATACACAAATTACAAAATGGAGAGAAATGACAAGAAAAGCAATGTGTACTATAAATTTGATGTTTCTGAAGAAAATAGCAAAACAAATAAAATATGAATTTTTGGCTTTAAGATGGTAGAGAACTTTTGACTTCTTTCTCCTTCAAAAAACACACAGAACAAGAAGGAGACACAGTTAAGAATTAGCTGAAGTCTCATTCTCTAACTTGTGAGTGAAAAAGCCTCAAACAATTGCAGAAACTAGTAAGAAGCAATCCAACTTTGCAGAACAAATGAATTTAGGAATGAAGACTAGTACTACTGTAGTTGGTGGTGGCTGGGGTGAAAGTTCACAGAAGAAACAGAAAGGACTTCCATTTCCCAATTACATCCCACAGAGTCCAGTACCTATTCTTTCTAGAATGAGGCATAAGACTAGATATTTATTCTCTGGAGAAATATGTCAAGAGAAGGGCCAGGTGTAGGGACACAATTCACAGAACAAGAGAATAAGGTCTACCAAACAGAAGGGTAAAATCTCATTGTACTAACGTTAATTGTAAGTCACTCTCATAACTTCTTCTGTTCAGATCCATACACTGGTAGTAATAAGTATAGAGAAATTCACAAACAGACATGTAACATCACCCAAATACCATCTCCAATAAGTGTTATGGTTCCTCTATCTTAAAAATGAATAAATAGCCAAGATTTGACAATAACCTCAAACATGAAAGGCAGGGATCAAGGTAAAAATAATAATAATAATAATAATAATAATAATAATAATAATAATAATAATTGCAAGTAAATCTATAATAAAAGATACAATACAGGCACAGGAAAAAACTTTTAAAAATGATATGCAGTTATGTTCAGGGAGAGAAAATGTATAACACCTATACATCTCGAAGGTAGAGGAAGCTGTAATAAGTAAAAAATTCAAAAAATAAAATACACAAAAGCTTTTGAAAATTCAGAAATACAATTGCTAAAGGAAAATAAGTCAGTAAGAAGAATTGGAAGTCCAGTATATTTTTGGAATAAATACCCAAAACTGATCAAAATGGAGGCCTCTGGGGTGGAAGACTTTCCACAGAAATGCTCCATGCTGGATGGAAGGCAATGAGGCAGTGACTGCAAAATTCTGACAGAAAGGAAGGTGACCCTGGAATTCTGAAGCCAGTCATGTGTTCTTGCAAGTGTAACGGAAGAAAACACCCAGGAGCTTTACTTCTCACTCTTGACTTGAAAACACGTCAAGCCAGACAGAAATTAAAATAACAGACTCAAGAATGTGAAGATTCAGTAAAATGAATGATGCCGAAAATTACCCTCTATTTAAATATGGAAATTAAATTAGAATGAAACAAAATCTTTGTCAATCTTGGTTAAAGGAGAATAACTTTTTAAAGCATTGGCAATGTAAACTTAACAATGTAACAAAATAAATCAATCCATATGGAGAATAGAGGTACAAATATTATATCCTCTTCTATTAAATATGAATATGAAGTCACTATTTCAAGTTGAATTATAGAAAAAGTGACACAATAACAATACTTTTATCTTTATCTTCTGTTTTTCTTGCTTTTGCTGTTTTTAATTTAGAACTACATTTTAGAATTAAATTTTTTGTGCTGGAATAGTTTATTTTTGCTATAATTTTACTTCTGCTTTATTTTATTTCACTAAATTAAGTATTATAAAAGTAAACATAATGTAGTGTACAGAATCTAATTTGTGGGATTGTATAAATTGATCCTATTTATTTACATGTCTATTCATATGTCTGTCTCCACAGAGAAATATGTAGAATGCTCTTCACTAAATAATAACCATGTTTGTATTTTGGTTTCATTTCTGAGTAGTAGGATTTTGAAAATTTTTTTTAGTGGCCTTTTATTACTCTTCTATAGAAAGCTTGCCCTAATGTTGTAACAACAAACATGAAGGTTTTTTTTTTTTTTTTTTGAGGCAAGTATTGCTCTTGTCCCCCAGGCTGGAGTGCGTTGGTGCTATCTTGGCTCACTGCAACCTGCGCCTCCCGGGTTCAAGTGATTCTCCTGCCTCAGCCTGAGATTACAGGCACGTGCCACCATGCCTAGCTAATTTTTGTATTCTTAGTGGAGATGGGGTTTCACCATGTTGGCCAGGCTGGTCTCGAACTCCTGACCTCAGGTGATCAGCCTGCCTCAGCCTCCCAAAGTGCTGGGATTACAGGCGTGAGCCACCACACCAGGGCAAACGTGAAGTTTTTACTTTTATTTTTTAAAAAGACATGTTGCTTGAACTCCTTTACAATCAGTCTTAGCAATTGCAAGAGCTAGCTGATTCAAGGGTAATGAAACAATCAGATTATTTAAATAGGGTGGTAGCATGATGCCCTGGAATATGATCATTTGCTAATCCTGCCACACTAGTGTTTATCCCAGGTAATCTCTAGAAAGACACTTGTCTATCCTTATGCCCTAAAAATGTTATAAATAGAGAACATATAAAAACTTTGTAGATGTCAAATTTTTAGCGATAATACCATTTTTACAGCCTAACTCATTATATGGTAGGTGTGCTGGCCCACTTAGGTAGCCTCTGCTTCTCTTTTGACAGTAATACACCTGAAGTTGGAAGTCATCAGTCTACAGCACTGCAGAGCTGAGTAGAGGAGACTAATTATTTTACCTCCTCTTGGGCCATGTTGGACTCTTATCTAGGAATGTATGTATTGATAAGCTTTTCCACTTCTACCAATGTATTCTTTTCTTTAGATGACCTTCATCTTTGTTTTGGTATAAAGTCTACTCACACCATGCAAGCAACCACTTTCTGCTGAATACTCCCGCCTTACTCAGTCAACTGCCCCCTCACTCCCAGCTTGTGTTAGATAGTGCCTTCTCTCATTACAACCTGTGTTTAACGGACTACTTCTTATATGAAAATATACATCAGCTGCCTTTTTCATGTCTTTCTCCTCAATTAGATTCTGAAATCCCAGAGAAAAATAGGTCATATTCTCAACTTTCACCTGTGTTTATTGCCCTAGTCTATACATCTGACTGCTTCAATGTGTGCCCAACACACAATCCAAACTAACCTAATAATAGATGTGGAATTCTACTATACAACCAGTGAGTTTAATGAGCTGCAAAGAAAAGGATCATGTTGCTTCTTCCACCCCTTAAATTTCATCCTTTATAGCTGTTTTGGCTATCACTGATTTTCATGGGTTCAAATTCAGATGTTTGCATAGTAAAATGAAAATGTTCCACAAAAGGATTACTTTATTCTTAAGTGGTTGTTTCCATTTTAGTCAGAGATGAGTGAAGAGGCAATGCCCACTAAACTTTCTCTGTTACTGAAGAAGACAACTAGGCTGAGGTGGCAGGATTGTTGGGTCCATAAGTTTGAGGCTGCAGTGAGCCAGTTTACACTACTGCACTCCAGCCTAGGAGACAAAGCAAGACCTTGTCTCAAAAAAAAAAAAAAAAGTATTTTTCTATATCAACATGTATGTTAATATTTGCAAAAGCTTTATTAAACCACATTATTCTTATTTTATGGATAAGAAAACTGATAGAGAGTTTAGATAAATATAAAAAGTAGACAAAATGGCAGATTTAATTTCACCTTCAGTAATTTTTGAAAAGATTATGGAAGTGTCATGGTTACCTGTGTGTTTAATGGCTTAAAATTAGAATCTAGAGAATCAAGTGCAGAACATAATTTATCACATTATTTTAAAGAATGACTTCTCTTAAGTACTGAGATGAAAACTTGTTTCAGGGGATTGCTGAAGTCTAGTTTGCTGATCACTGTTTTCATACTGTTTTTTTTTTTTTTCCCCTGATGGCATGCTCCTGAAGGTTCTTATGCAGATATGTGGTAGTCTCATTTTCAATAAATACCTAGAAAGTGTGGTTGTGGTCACACTAGAACACATATCTTAGGCATTCAGATTCAAGAATTAGGCCTTCTCTGATTACATGGCCTTATAAGATATTAACAAATGATGGATGTTCACTTAGAAACACTCAACTGAGTGAATTATCATATATACGAAGAAAAATGTAAACCAAAAAGCGTTAAACCTGTCTGCTGATCACACACAAATAGGTACATCAGTGAGCAATGCACTTTAGATTTAAAACTATAGAATTTAATAGCTTTTCAAAATGTAAATACACCTATAAGTATCAAGTTTTTGTTTTTGCTATTATTGTTATTGATCTCATATTTTTTACACAATTGCCCTCAGTGGATAATGGAGTTAGTGGCTCATTTCAAACAATACTTTTGGAATCTGTAATTATATCTAAAACCCATCCATTTTTTTGTTATATTCTATAAAATATTCATGATCAATTTACTATAAATCTATCTTAATGTCTTAAAATTATACAGCTGTTGCTTCATGAAGATGATGTTGATTTATACTCTTGCTATAAGCAACTAGCACACTTCTCCTCTGAAGATACATGTACTCATTTATCAAAAAACAAAGAAGCAGTACATATATTAGCATCCAGAAAAATCCAGAATACTGTCATGACCAAATGCTGGAGTGGAGCTCTCATTTGTTGCTGGTGGAAATGCAAAATGTTATAGCCTCTTTAGAAGACAGTTTGGCAGTTTCTTACAAAACTAAACATACTCTTACCATACTAACCAGTAATCACATTCCTTGGTATTTACCCAAAGAAATGAAAAATATTTGTTCACACAAAAGCCTGCACGTGAGTGCTTAAAGCACCTTTATTGCTAATTGCCCGAACTTGGAAAGCAACCAAGATATCCATCCTTCAGAAGGTGAAAGGATAAATAGCCTGCATTACATCCAAATGATAGAATGTTATTCAGCACTAAAAAGAAATGAGCTATCAAGCTACGGAAAAACATGTCAGAATCTTAAGTGCATGTTCCTTAGTGACAGAAGCCGATCTGTAAATTTCCAATGATACAACATTCCGGAAAAGGCAAAATTATGAAAACAGTAAAAAGATCAGTAGTTGCCAGGAGTTGGGGGTGAAGAGGTTGAATACACCAAGCAGAGACAATTTTTAGAGCAGGGAAAATACTCTGCATGGTACCTTAATGGTGGGCACATATCATAAATTTTTCCAACTTATGTAATGTACAGCAACCAGGGTAAACCCTAATGTAAACTATGGAGTTTGGTGATTATGATATGTCAATGTAGGTTCATCATTTGTAATAACTGTCCCACGCTGGTAGGGGATATTGATAATGAAAGGCTCTGCATGTGAGGGGGCAGAGGACTTATGGGAAATCCCTGTTACATCCTTTCAATTTTGCTATGAACCAAAAACTGCTCTACAATAATTAAGTCCTTAAAAATAAACAAACAAGTGAGGGATTCGACCAATGATGGTCATGGCAGAGATAATGCAGATATGCCAATCTTAAAATATCAGAAAGCTGCAGTGCCCACAACCTCTCCTGACTTTAATCAATTAAGTAGATACCCAGGGATTTTCAGTGGAGAGTGGAAGATAAAGCTACAGGAAAAAAAAAGACAAAGACGCAGTGGTTAAATGCTGAACCTTGGCCAAATGCTCTGGTGTGAAAAATAAGACTTTGAAAGACTCTAGAATAAGAGCTAGATATCCCAAGTGACAGAGCATGAGAGAGGTCATAGGAACCACAGACAGAACACAGAAAAACAATCTCACCCAGCACAGAGCTATATCTACAGCCACTATGGGTAACAATCATTGTTTATTTCTTAACATGGAGGAACCGGGAATTGTGATCAGAACTCATTTTGATCACCTAAATCATTCAATTTATGGAAAGAATATGTATGTATTAAACTATGTATCTCTAATTCCAGAGAGCGAATTCAGTTATTCCCCCAAAATCCTTTTGTTGTTTTAATGAAATCCTGAATCAAAGAGCCCCTGCTGCTCTTTAATAGACAGATAACTCAGGTTTATGAAGTCTACCTGTGTGGTACCCACAGTAGGCAAATGAGAAAAGTAGCCCAATTCAGAAAACCATATTAACTGGGGCTTAACTCCGGCTGAGTGTTACATATATCTCATTATTGCAAGATATTTTCCTTTTAGATGACTTTTTCATTTCTTTTGAAAAGAAAGAATGGATCCGTATGTGGTCAATTCACTTTTCAACAATTGTTTCTCTACTGACAGGCTGAAGTGATTTCACATTAAGAGAAAATGAGTTTTGCTGCTCTTCATAAATTGGTAATGAGCTTTTTGAGCAATCATAGCCATAACCTGATTCACAAAAGAACCTTCTCAGATTTGCCATTAACATGTCTGTAACAATAAGCTGAGAAAAAAATACCAAATAAGCTGATGCCACTTGCTGAGAACTATTTTCCTCTCTTCATTTCAGCCCATTAGATTATTTCTCCCTGTGACACTATCAAGCAGCCTGGGTTCAGTTTGACAGTTAAGCATTGAGATATCTCTACCACTACCCTGTCTCACTTTGCAAAAGGAAGAGAACTTCAATGCTGTGCAGCAGGAAGGATGCCAGGAAAACTAGATTTTATTTTCAGCTCTGCTTCTCACCAGCTTGTGTGATATTGGGAGATTTATTCTTCTGCTCTGGATCAGTTTCCAATATTTCAAATATGCATGGAACTGTTTCCAAAGAGCTGAAAGACCTCCAGAGGTCCTCTCATTAAGATACGATGATGCTAATAAAGGCATAACATCTGAAATGCTACCTATTACTTTTGTGGAATGATTTCTCCCTGGATGCCTTCTTGTTGCTTACTTTCATTTCCTTCAGAGAAACCAACAACCCATAGAATGTTGCCTTTACACTACTAGAATGGATTGAGGCCATATCGAGAAAAAAAATTCCCGCAATTCCTCTTTTAGCTCATCTCACTTCTCACATTCTTTATTGGAGGCAATTAAAGGAACCAGTTGGTACATTCACCACTCTGCCTGGAAATTTTCTTTGCCAGATTTGCAAGTTTATTAGCCACATTTGCTATCTTCCACATAAGAAGGTGGCAGCTTTCCTAATTTTTGTGCCAGTATCATTAAGGTCCGTTTGTTTTTAGCTCTTTCTAACAGTTTCCTCAAGGTTTTTAGGTCCATAACTTCCACCTGATCATAAAGCCATTGCTACATATTTTGATATTTTGTTGCTGAAGCACCTCTGTTCTGGTGTCATTCCATCTTTTGTTAGGCTTCTTCCATGGAACAAACTACCTTTAAAATATTGTGGCTTAAAACAGCAATCACTTGTTATTTCTCATGATTCTGAGGGTCAGGATTTTACAGAGGCAGTGGGCTTATCTACGCTCCCTTCAATGCCTGCTGTTACTGGAAAGGCTGCAACAGCTTCTTTAGCCCTTTGGTGCCTCATCAAGGGAGATATGGGCAGTGGAGGTCTGGCTAGAAGAGCTAGATTAGAGGAATGTCTGGATTCTTCAGTTCTCAAGGTTCTCTCTCTCCACATGACCTCTTCATATTTTCTCTTTACACAGTTTCATCTAGAATTCTCATGTAAAACTTTAGGACTTCTAAGAGTTCATAAGTGGAAGTTTTATACTTTTTTAAAGCTTAGGCTAGGATTGCACAGCAATATTTTTGCTATATTCTATTCTAAAGTGTTTGAGTTATAAGCTAAGCTTGGATTCAAGAGGAAGTAACTACAAAAGGGCATAAACACTGAAGCATAACCCATGGGGTCCTATTAGTGTTAACTAACTACCACAATGACAGAGGAAAAAGTAAAACAGGAAAAGAATTATTTTTTAAAAAATTAGGAAAATTGACAAATACCCTGGAAGTTGAATTTATGTACTTTTTAATGTATTTATTTATTTTTATTTATTTTTTTTTGAGATGGAGTCTCACTCTGTCACCCAGGCTGGGGTGCAGTGGCACAATCTTGGCTCACTGCAACCTCTACCTCCAGGTTCAAGCAATTGTCCTGAGTAGCTGGGATTACAGGCATGTGCCACCACTCCCGGAATCCCAGCTTCTTGGGAGGCTGAGGCAGGAGAATTGCTTGAACCTGGGAGGTGGAGGTTCCAGTGAGCTGAGATCATACCACTGTACTCTAGCTACAGCTTGGGCGACAGAGTGAGTGAGATTCTGTCAAAAAAAAAAAAACAAAAAAAAAAAAAACAAAAACACAAACATATGTATAAATGAAATCATAAGATTCATGGGATTTAATTCAAAATAATATGGGTAATGCAGTTTCAAAATGGGTGAGAGTATAGTTAAAATAACAAGATTGATCATGACTTGATAATTGTTATAGTAGATTTCTGGGTATATACAAAATTACCACTTTTTTGTTTGAAATTTTTTTAAAGAAAAAGTAAAATCAAATAACAAAGAAATATATTCTAATATCACTAATGAAAACTGGATAATTACTATAGATCTTTCTTACAAATTAAAGATATAACAAGATTAAAAATATTTCAGGCCAATATATTTGATACTTTATATGACATATGCATATATCACAAAAGAAAAACTTGTTGAAACAGACTCAAGAAGAAATAGAAAGCCTAAGTAGTCCTATATCTATGTAAAACAATGAATTCATTAATACCCTCAACACAATTTGAGGTACACAGGATGTGCCCTATGAATTATTTCTAATTTTTAGAAAATAAATAGCACTGGTATTACAAAAAGTATTTTAGAGAACATAAAAAGCGTGAGAACACTTCACAAGTCCTGTTATAAAGCTATGATATTCTTTATAGTAAACTTTGGCAACAACATTAGTAGAAAAAAATCACAGAATAATGTATTATCAACACTGATGAAATCATTTTACAACTGACCCTTGAACAATGTCAAGGTTAGGGATGCTGACCCATCCATGCAATTGAAAATTTGTGCATAACTTTTGACTCCCCTAAAACTTAACTACTAATAGCATACTGTTGACTAGAAGCCTTACTGATAATATGAAGAGTTGATTAACACATATTTTGTACGTTATATGTATTATATACTGTATTCTTACAATAAATCAAGCTACAGAAAAGAAAATTTTATTAAAAAAATCATAAGGAACATAAAATATATTTATTATTCATTAAGTGGAAGTGGAGTCATTTAAAAGGCCTTTATCCTCATTGTCTTCATGTTGACTAGGCTGAAGAAAAGGCAGAGGAGGGTTTGGTTTTGCTGTCTCAGGTGTGGCAGTGGCAGAAGAAAATCTGTATATAAGTGGACCTATGCAGCTCAAACCTATGTTGTTAAAGGCTCGACTGTATTCATATATTTGTGAAAACTGATAATATATCACAAAGCCAATTAAGGTTTATTACAGGAATGTGAGAGCAGCTTAATATTCTTCAATCAATCAATAGAATTTATTACATATTAACAAAAAAGAAAATGACACCTTATTATTGATATATTTAGGAATAATATTTGATAAAATTAACCACCTGTCAACAATAAATTTTCATGATAATGTGTAAGTAGATGGAAATTTATACAATATGACAAAGAATATTAACCAAAAACATACTGTAAATTTTATAGTTATGAGTGAATTATTGAATGTATTTCCTTTGACGTGAGAAATGCCATAAGTGTCCCCAAACTTACAAATTCTATTAATGATATTACAAGTTAGTTCTACATAGTGTAGTAATAGAAGAAAAAGAAAGACCACAAGATTAAAAAGGAGGAAATACCTCTCATTATTCAGAGATCATACAATTACATATATAGAAAATCCAAAAGCATCCATTGGCAAACTATAGGAATCAATAAATAAATTTAGCATGTTGGTTGTATAAAAGTCAATATATAGATTAATTTTTCTTATATACAATAAAAGCAATTAGAAAATAAAAGTTTAAAATATAATAAAATTAAGAATATCAAATAACTGAGAATAATTATAATAAAATATATTTAAATTGACACCAAATGCTGCAAAACTGTTCTGTAAGAAATAGCAGAATATATTTTTGTGTATATACATACATGACATACATATATACAACAAACCTGTACACGTACAGATATACAATGTGATTTTATGAAAATACATAGTATAAAAATCACAATTCTTTCTAAATATTTAGATCAAATGTAATATCAATCAAAACTAGGTATAATTTTCTGTTGTTTTGTTGAGGTTGGCAAATTCTTTCCAATATTAGTTTAGAAATATGAAGGATCTTACATAGTCAAACTATGTTCAAGAAGAAAAAGAAAGCTAAATAACTCATTCCAATTTATATCAAGATTTATTGCAATGCTCTAGTAATTAGCACAGTGTAAAATTGGTAAAAGTATAGGCAAGCTGATCACAAAAATGTAAAAGTGTATTTAAAAGCAGTTGCACATACATACAGTTTCCTGATATATAAAAGTGAAACACTAGAGTGCAATAGGAGAAAAATGGCCTTTTCAATAATTGCTGCTGGGCCACTTGTATGTTTATTGATATTTTCAAAAAAGAGTCTATTAATAGATTCCTATATTATACTATATACAAAATAAATATAAATTGAATGGAAATATAAATGTACAAATTAACACTACTAGAAGACAGTACAGAAAAATATCTTTATGAATTTGGGCTAGCAAAAAAATTTAACACAGAAAAGGATTAATCACAATGAAAAGAGATTAAAAATTCTACTGTAATACAACTAAGAATTTCAAAAGTCACCATTAAGAGAATAAGAAATAAAGCCACAAAAGACTCTTATCCAATATATATAAACAAATTAGCATTTCACATTTGGAAAGTGAGACAAATGCTAGAACATGCACTTTATAAAATAGGACATCCAAATGTCCAATAAACATGAAAGGGTACTGATCTTCACAGTAAAGATAATTGTACATTTAAATACAAATTATAACCAAAGTATAAAACCCTTACATAACAGAAAAATAGAAACACAGAAAACACTACATCTTTATGAGAATGTGGAATAATTGAAACACTCATAATTACTGCTGGCTTCAACAAATGGTGCTACAATAACTGAATTTCCACATGCAGAAAAAAAAAGTTAAGCTATATTAAAAAATGAACTCAAAATGGGTCAAGGACTTCAATATAAGAGACAAAATCATAAAATTCTTAAAGGAAATCATGCAGATAAATATTCTTCACCTTAGATTTGTCAAGGAAATCTTAGATATGACACCAAAAGTACAAGAAACAAAAGAAAAAAAATTAACAAATTATTTAACGAAATTAGAATCTTTTGTGCAACAAAGGACACTATCAAGAAAGTGAAAAGACTACCTACAAGATGGGAGAAAATATTTGAAAATCATATATCTGATAAACATTCAATATCCAGAATATATAAAGAATTACAATTCAACAACAAAGGAACAATCCAATAAAATTTTTGTAATTGGCTTAAGTTTACATTTCTTCAAATAATATTTATAAATGCCCAATAAGCATATGAAAAGATGCTCAACATCATTAATCATTAGGGAAATGGAAATCAAAATCACAATGAGATATTACTTCATGCATACTAATATGGTTATAATAAAAATATTTAATTAAGAAACAGAAACTAACAAATGTCCAGAATGTGCAGAAATTAGAATACTCATAAATTGCTGATGGAAGTGTAAATAGTGCAGTTGCTGTGAAAAGTAGCTTGATGGTGTCTCAAAAAGCTAAATACCTCTACACAATTACCATAGAACTTGATAATTCCACTTTCAGATATATATCCAGGGACTCAAACAGATACTTTTATACCAATGTTCATTGCAGCATTATTTACAATAGCCAAAAGATTGAAATAACCCAAATGTCCATCAACAGAAGAATGTATAAAGAAAATGTGGTATATGAATACAATGGAATATTATTCAGTCCAAGAAAGAAATGATGTTCTGATACATGCTACAGCATGAATGAACCTTGAAAATACTGTGCTAAGTGATGTAAGTTGCCTGGGAAAATATTATGTGATACCACTTGTATGAATTATCCAGACAAGGCAAATTCATTGAAAAAGAATGTACAAGAGATTACCAGGGGAAAGGCAGAAATGGAAAGATATTGCTTAATGGGTACAGTGTTTCTGTTTAGGTGAGGAAATTTTTGGAAAAAGATAGTAGTAATGGTCGCACAACATTGTGTTATAATTAATGCCAACAAATTGTACACATAAAAATAGTTGAATATAACAAATTTTACATTAAGTATATTTTACCACAATTAAAAAAAATTAAATCTGCCGAGAGTTTCACTGAAAAAAAAAACCACATTGGAACACTTTGTGATAGTATCTATTGAACGTATTTATACCCTGTGTCTCATATTTGCAATCATACCAAACATAAATGTGTACATACCTTCAACAAAGGACATTTTCTAGAATTATCACTTATGCTCTGTATACAATAAAATGAGCTTATGAATTGTGGTATATTTGTATTCTATGGAAGTGAAAACAAACAAAATACAACTATGCACATAAATTTGTATAAAATTCACAAAGATTTTTGTGAAATAAGCCAGAGGCAAAAAACATGCATATCTTATAATTCCAGTAATATAATATCAAGGACAAGCAAAATCTGTGATTTCAGGTAAGAATGTGGTTGTCATTGGAGTTAATTGCCTAAAAGGATCATGGGTCAGGGGCAGATTGTGATTTACTGTGATTCTATGTTCTGATGTTTGAGAATTTTTCCAAATTCTTGTTATGCTTCAATAAAAAAAGTTACAAAGATAAAGAACTAAAAACTAAAAGTACATTGTAAGTGACCAAAACTATTTGTCTCATTCTTTTAAATGTTACACTAGAGAGGCAAATGTGATTACATTGGTAAGTAGCAGCTATATAAATTACTGACAGATTCCTTGGTAATATTATAGTCAACTAATTGCAAACCTAATATAAAGTTTATTTTTTAAAATGCTGACAAGAGAGAAATGTGATTATGGAGTAACTAGTAAATAGCTGGAGCTTATGGGGAGGCTGAAAGGCATGAATGTCTTTGGCTAATAACCCATTCATGGGCACCAGGTATGTGATGAAGCTGCTACCTCCTCAGCTACAAAATAATGCACATTTCACAAAACCCTCTCTTGGAGTTTAATCCCCAAGTCATGGACAGTATAGTATCCTATTCACTGGATAATCATTTACAAAAGATTTTTCTATCTAATAATATCCAGAAGTGCTCTGGGTCTTTAGGAAGGCCCCATCACAATGTCAAAATTTTAATTCTTCCCATAATAATAAAACTCATTAATATTAGGGCAGTAAGAATGCCAACTAGAAATTGTACATCTTTCTGAGCACAGCGGCTCATGCCTGTAATCCCAGCACTTTGCGGGGCCAAGGTGAGCAGATTACTTGAATTCAAGAGTTCAAGACCAGCCCGTACAACATAGCAAGACCCCATCTCTACTAAAAGTACAAAAATTTGCTGGGCATGGTACATGTGCCTGTAGCTGCAGCTACTTGGCAGGCTGAGGATCGCTTGAGCCTGACAGGTTGAGGCTGCTGTGAGCCGTGATTGTGCCACTGCACTCAGCCTGGGTGACAGAGTAAGATCCTGTCTAAAAAAAAAAAAAAAAAAAAAAAAAAAATCTTGTTATCATGATGCTAGCTGGTTATTTTGCAGATTTGTTTATGTGGTTTCTTCATAGAGTCACTGGTCTGTGTATTTCAGTGTGTTTTTGTAGTGACTGGTAACAGTTTTTCCTGTCCGTATTTAGTGCTTCCTTCAGGAGCTCTGATAAGGCAGGTCTGGTGGTAATAAATTCCTTCAGCATTTGCTTGTCTGAAAAGGATCTTACTTCTCCTTTGCTTATGAAGCTTAGTTTGGCCATATGTGAAATTCTAGGTTGAAAATTCTCTCTTTAAGAATGTTGAATATTGCCCCCTCTATCTCTTCTAGTTTATAGGGTTCCCCCGAGAGGTCCTCTGTAGTCTGATGGGTTTCCCTTTGTAAATGACCTGGCTTTTCTCTCTGGCTCCCATTTTTTCTTTCATGTCGACCTTGGAGACTCTGATGATTATATATTTTGGGGATGATCTTCTCATGGAGCATCTTACTGGGGTTTGTTGCATTTTCTGAAGTTGAATGTTGGCTTGTCTTGCTAGGTGGGGAAGATCTCCTTGATGGTATCCTGAAGTATATTTTCCAAATCACTTCCATTCTCCCCATCTCTTTCGAGTATCCCAGTTAGTTGTAGATTACATCTCTTTACATAATCCCATATTTTCCAAACGTTTTGTTCATTCTGTTTTATTCTTATCTATCTCTCTATTCTTGTCTGCCTGTCTTATTTCAGACAGAGAGTCTTCAACCTCTAATGTTCTTGGTCTAGTCTGCTATTAATACTGTGATTGCACTGTGAAGTTCTTGTAGTGTGTCTTTCAGCTCTATCAGGTTGGTCATGTTCCTCTGTATTGCACCTATTTTGGCTTTCAGCTCCTGCATTGTTTTATCATGACTCTTAGCTTTTGTGCATTGGGTTACAATAGATACCTGTAGCTCAGCAAAGTTTGTTTTTATCCACATTCTGAAGCCTGCTTCTGTCATTTCAGCCATCTCAGCCTCAGTCCAGTTCTGAGCCCTTGCTGGAAAGGTGTTGTGGTCATTTGGAGGAAAGGGGCCACTCTGGCTTTAAAGTTCAACATCGCTAATCATTAGAGAAATGCATATCAAAACCATAATAAAATACCATCTCATACCAGTCACAATGGCAATTATTGAAAAGTCAAGAAACAACATATGCTGCCATGGTCTGAAGAAAAAGGAATGCTTTTACACTGTTGATGGGAATGTAAATTAGTTCAACCATTGTGGAAGACAATATAGTGATTCTTCAAAGACCGAGAAGCAGAAATACCGTTCAATCAAGCAATCTCATTACTGGGTATATACCCAAAAGTATATGTTATTCTTACATTCTTATTCAAATGCCCATCAATAATAGACTGGATAAAGAAAATATGGTACATATACACCACGGAATACTATGCAGCAATGAAAAAGAATGAGATTGTGTCCTTTGCAGAAACATAGATGGAGCTGGAGGCCATTATCCTTAGCAAACTAATTCAGGAACAGAAAACAAAATAAGTGTTCTCACTTATAAGTGGGAGCTGAATGATGAGAACACATGGACACATGACAAGAAAAAACACAAACTAGGGCTTGTCAGAGGATGGGGCTGGGAGGAGGAGGAGCATCAGGAGGAATAGCTAATTCATGCTGGGCTTAATACCTGGTTGATGGGATGATCTGTGCAGCAAACCACCGTGGCACAGATTTACCTGTGTAATAAACGTGCACATCCTGCACATGTATCCCTGAACTTAAAATAAACATTGGAAAGAAAAAAGAAAAAAAAAAGAGAAATTATACATCTTTATAATTAAGATAGTAAATTATCGTTAATCAAGGCACCTTAATACAAAATACTGAATTATAAATACAAATATGCTTACAAAAAAATTTTATAATAATATAGAAAATGTCTACTTATTTACAGTATTCACTGTAAATAAAGCTGGAGTTTCTTTCAGATTCAGTACTTAAGCTCCTTGATAACTACTTCATCTGCACCTGCAATTTACTGTAACTAACTTGCCTTGTGATATAAAATATGTTCGCTCTTATTTTATCATATATACATATTTTTTGAGTTGGAGTCTCGCTTTGCTGCCCAGGCTGGAGTGCAGTGGTGCGATCTCGGCTCACTGCAACCTCTGCTTCCTGGGTTCAAGTGATTTTCCTGCCTCAGCCTCCCAAGTAGCTGGGATTACAGGTGCATACAACAACACCCGGCTAATTTTTGTGTTTTTTTAAATAGAGATGGGGTTTCACCATTTTGGCCAGGTTAGTCTCAAACTCCGAACCTCAAGTGGTCCACCAGCCTTGGCCTCCCAAAGTGCTTGGAATACAGGCGTGAGCCATTGCACCTGGCCTATTTTACTATAATTGTCCTGCCATTTTAGGAACAACTTTACATTCTGACTTGTCCATGATTTGTGTGTTTTTCTCTCTAATATATTTCAGCTCAATTAAACAAGGGAAAGTACCCTCTAAGCTAAATATCAGCAGGGCTGTCATTAGAGGTGACTGGAAGAGCAAACAAATTAAGACTCAAGAGTTTTTGGACAATAGAGAATAAATGTCCCTTGAGCAAGTAATTCCTTAATACTTAACAAAATTTTGTTTACCCTAGAAGACACATCAAAAAAATGACAAGTTGATGACTGAACTGTGTTTCTTGGTCTATGAAAATGAGTGTTCTAGCTGAGTGGTGAAAGAATTTGTGGCAATATAAAAAGAGGAGGAAGGAAATTCCAGGGTTGTGAAAACAATTGTCAGGGAAAGTAGAGCGATATCAATCCCTGAAAATAGTAGTGAATATGAATTTCTTATTTCAGTCTGTTGAAAAGTGAATGGGAATTGAATAAGATGAAGATAATGTATGTATGATTCCTTCGATAATCAGCTTCTGATGAAAATGGAAGAGAAGGTATTTAGCATATTAAGTGGTATTTATATTGAGAGACAATAAAGGAAGTAAGGAAAACACTAAATATTTTAGCAGACACATTGGAAAGCACTGTAAAAGGATAAATTGATGGAATAGTCTAAACAATTGTAAATAATAAGAGTCAGCTAACTAATTGTTATTTTCAAATAGGAGGTCATTTATAGTTATTTACTACTCAAAAGGGTCTGGACTTTGAAACAAGACTGTTAAGGGCATCTTTTGTACACCTACTGTTGTCTCTCTTTGTACCTTTTATTGTTTCATGGAGACACATTTATGAACAACTTATTGCACTAAATTTTCCATATCTCAGGCTTATTACTGGTAGTGTTGTTATATTATTTCTTGTACCTTAAAAGAATGTAGATTCATGATTCTGTCTTTCTGAGACATTAGATTTTTAACTGAAAAATGATCCATCATTGTCTTCAGTGCTATATGAAAAAAAAATGTATTGACAAGAGCTATTTGCGTGAGAACATCCTAGGCACTACAGGTGCTTGAAAGTGAAAGTCAATGAGATCACTCTAAATTAATTTAAATGTTTTCTCATCTCCTTCACACACTGCAAAATATCTATATAAATATAATTGCTAACCCTTATTTATATGGAAGTTTGAAAACGTAGAGCAGCATCAGAAAGATGTAGAATAGATGGAACAGGTTTGGTTATCACCTCTGCAGTATATGAGCTCTTTAACAGAGGGAAATGTAACCAGTCTGGTTGAGCCTATTTTTTCACATGTAAAATGGGTTTATTAATTTCTTCTTGCAAGTATTTTTGTGAAGTAGAGATTACATACATGTAATATACACAGTATGCGTGTGTATTTGTGTATATGCATATGTAATGCTTAGCCTGGCAAAAATTGGTGTTCGATAAAGCAGTTCTCATGATTTTTGTTAATCTGAGAAAAGGTAAAAAACAGTATTTCAAATCATAAAAGGTTCAATGAATTACCCCATCTTTAAGGTAAAATTTGGCAGATGTCTCAATTTGTATTTCAACTTATATGAAATAATATACTTTGAATTCCTAACATAAATTATTTTGAAATGCAAATCACAACTGTTAGCTGACTCCAAATCTAATTTTAAATTTATTTTGCTAAGGTAATTGGAGTGCAGATCAATTGTTTTCTTCTAAAGATAACCAAAATATATTTTTCTCAGAAAGTCACAAATCATTCATTTTACCCTTGAATAATTTTTTCAGTTGTAATGATGCTGCCTTATTAATAAGATATGATTATTTGATACAGTATCAATTTACTATTAAAGCATTGGGAAATTTGACTTAAGTTAATTTATAGTTTAGTAGCTGTTTGAATGTTGGCTTCCCAGACACTGTCTTCCTAATCATTGACTTATTTTACATACTCATCGAGTGCTAGACTAATTTTTTCACACTATAATGTAAGTAGAAAAAGAAACACTTTAATATTTGTGGCCACTTATGTCCTACCCATATTTTTATGCCTCAAAAATATCCATACTTCTTTATTTTCATATTGGGATACAATTATCTCCATGATATGTCAGTTTCTTAAGTAATGGTAGGGATATTTTAATATACTTTTAAACTATTTATTAAATGATAAATATTGTATTATTTCTTTAGAAAAATATAAAAAGTAATTCTGACTTGAAAACACTCACTTAGATCAAGAACACTTTCATCTCTCTACAGGCAATGGCAGAACTGCTATTCCTTACATGCATAAGCTAAACCATAAAGGAGATACAATCAATACAAATATGAAAGCAAGATTTGTATGATCAAGTGGAATTAAGATGGCAGCTAAAGATGGTAAAGTTATGTTTCACATAGCATCTTCCTCCAAGAACTCATAACTTGAACAACTAATCTTTGATGGAGAGTGAGAACCAAAAAAGCACACCAGAAGCAATCAACAAAAAAGGCAATCACCTGCATAGGCAGAAATATCCAAGTGTTCCCAAGATTTAGATTTTGCAAACACATGTGGCACTTAGCTAAACCCTGAAGAGGAGTGCTAAAAAGAGGCAAAGGGAGAAAAGAGTGAGTGAGGGCAAGTGGAAGTGATGAAAGTGCTCACAAGTAAAAGACAAGCTCCAACTTAGAAAGAAAATTAAGAGTGGATACCAACGAGTAATGATATCACACTCTGTGGTGTAGAGAAAAACTTTCCTTTCTAGTGAAATTCCCCTCAATAAAAATCTATATAACATCAGATACAGAAATCATTACTGGGGTTAGCTATTTTTGTGAAAATTTGGATTTAGTTTTTGGTTTGCAGTAAGATGACATTTAGCCAAGCAAATACTAAAGAGATAACTTAAAAAGAGAAATATCTATTAGAAAGCAAGCTTCAGATAATTAAAAAAAAAAACAGGAGGACACCAACATAAAAATTTAGTCATGAGTAGTAAATTAATGTTGTTTATTTCTGGTAAACTGAAATAAAATGAACATCATAATGGAAAAGGTATAGTATGTAAATTGTGTATGTCTCATAATGAAGATAGAGTTGAACTACAAAACTATGGGTATAAAAGATTTTTACTTCACATTAAATCTTGGAGGAAAAGGAGAAAAGGAGGAAAAAGAGTTGACTGGTAAAGTTCATTATAGTTAATAGTAGGGAACCAATATACTGTATCCAAATTTGGGGGACAGAGATGAGAACATTACATACAAAAGTAAGTATAAGAATTTGACCATTTGAATGAAAGTATAAAACTTAAATAATAAAAAGTGATAGAAAAAAATAAAATAGAAATGAAACGACCACAAGAGAACTGAAGCCAAACGTATTGATAATATTTAAAAAGTTAGAGAGGCTTTCTCACCCTATGCAGAACACTAGAGACAAACCTAAAACAATGAAATCCAGAAACGCTAAACATAAAAACGTGACAATGATGAACTATGGAAAAGTAGGAGGAGAGTGAAGAATAAAATATTAGCGTCTAGCAAGCTTACTTTCAGAATAAAATCATAATAGATTCTAGTTCACTTTATAATATTAAAAGCTTTAATACTCAAAGAAAACATACCAGATATTAATGTCTATAGCCTCAAAAATGCAGCAAAAGTCTTCATGAGGAAGAAAATACAGAGCTGCAAGAAAAAATAAAAATAAGTTTGTAAGAGAAAATAAAACTAAAAAATGCTTTAGAGAGAAACACACTAAAATGAAGAATTGAAAACACATATTCTCATTCCAGGACAAATAACAAAAATTAGTAAAGATATAGAAGATGAAAAGAGCATGATTAAGAAGGTAATAAACCACACAAAGTCTTTTCAAATAAAAATAGAATATTCACAAAATTTGCTGTAGTTGACTACAAGGAAAAACTTGACACATTACAAGAAAATGAGTAACACAAATGTATCTAATCACAAATCACATATAAGTAGAAATTAATGACAAAATTTAAAAAATACTTTGCATTTAATAATATTAAAATATTTTAAATACTCTGATCAAACAGGAAATATAAAAGAAACATATACAATCTCAAAAAATACAATAAAACCTATTGTCTAGATTTATTGTATATCGGAGGAATTTTTTATCATTAAAATCCATATCAACTTCAGCTGATAAACAACTTCAGCAATGTTGCTGGCTATAAAATCAACGTACAAAAAGCACTAGCATTCGTACACACCAACAACAACTAAACTGACAGCTAAATCAGAAAGGAAATCCCATTCACAATTGCCACACACACACACACACACGCTACCCAGGAATACAGCTAACCAGGAAGGTGAAAGATCTCTGCAATGAAAATTACAAAACACTGCTCAAAGAAGTCAGAGAAGACACAAACAAATGGAAAAACATCCCATGCTCATTAATAGGAAAAATCAATGTCATTAAAATGGCTATACTGCCCAAAGTGATTTACAGATTCAATACTATTCCTATCAAACCACCAATAATACTCTTCACAGAGCTAGAAAAAATATTTTAAAATTTATATGGAACCAAAAAAGAGCCCAAATACCCATGGCATTGGTTTAGGCAGTGATTTATTTGATATGACCACAAAGGCACAGGCAACAAAAATAGACAAATGGGATTACATCAAACTAAACAGCTTCAGCACAGCAAAGGAAAAAAATCAGTAGAATGAAGAGATGACCCACAGATTGGGGAAAAAATTACATATAACTCATCTCATGAGTAGTTAATATCTAAAATATATAAGAGACTCAAATTACTCAATAACAAGAAAGCAAATAACCCTATTTAAAAATAAGCAAAGTACATGAATAGACATTTCTCAAGAAAAGACATACAAATGGCAAATAGATATATAAAAAATGCTTAAGTACAAAAATTATCAGGGAAATACAATTTATAAAAACAATAATGAGATATCACCTTACACCTGTTAGAATGCCTATTACCAAAAAGATGAAAGATGGCAAGTGTTGGCAAGGATGTGAAGCAAAGGGAACCCTTGCACTCTGTTGATGAGAATGTAAGTCAGTATAGCCATTTTGGAAAACATTATGAAGATTTCTCAAACAAATAGAAATGAATTACCATATGATCCAGCAATCCCACTTCTGGGTATATATCCCAACAAAATGAAATCAGTATGCTGAAGAGATATGTGCACTCCCATGTCCATTGCCGTGTTATTCACAATAGCCAAGATACAGAAACAACCTAAGTGTTTAATATGGATGAATGGGTATATATATATGTATATACACAATGGAACATTATTCAGTCCGAAAAGGAAAGGAAATTCTGTCATTTGCATCAACATAAATGACTCTAGAGGACATTACACTAAGTAAAGTAAGACAGGCACAGAAAGACAAATACCACATGATCTCACTTGTATCTGGAATATAAAAAAGTTGAACTCATAGAAGTTGAGAGTAGAATGATGGCTACCAGGGGTCGGGGGAGTGGGGTGAAAAACAGAGGGGAGACATTGGTCAATGGGTACAAAGTTTTAGTTAGACTGGAGGAATAAGTACTGCTGATCGATTGCACAGCGTGGTGACTGTAGTTAATAATAATGTATATTTGAAAAATGTGAAGGGAATAGATTTTAAGTTTTCTCACCACAAATGAGTATGTGAGGTGATAGATATGTTAATTAGCTTGATTTGATCATTCCACAATGTACACATGTATATAGACGTCACAGTGTACATGATGTACAGAATAATTTTTATTGTCAATTAAATATAAAATTCTAAAAAATGAAATAAATCATATAACCATCTTAATAAAATCTGAAAAAGCTTTAAACAGACAATTCCTGTAAAAAGCCCTTAAATACTTCCTTGACACAGTAGATGTAGACGTAGTTGTAGATTAGATAGAGATGTAGCCCTCCAGCAAACAAGAATTCTGATTTAGTTGTAACACACCAGCAGCTTCTTCATTACTTTTTCTGTTATTTTCTTTTGTCTGGAACTAGACAAGGAAAGCCACCATCTCTTTGACAATTCAACGCCATTGTAGAGAAGTTAGCCAGTGTGATTAGGCACCAGAAATGGAGTATAAAAATTGGAAAGGAAGAAGTAGTGTCACCTTTGATGTAAATGGTATAAATGTACACATAAATGTGCCAATAAAACTCAACAAAATTGGCAGATTTATGAGAAAAATAAGGGGATCTAGTAAATTCGCTAGAGATATAAATAATATTCAAAAGATCAGTATCTTTTTATGCACATTCAAAAAATAAATATGTAAGGAAAGAAAGTGACCCACTTAAGATAGAATAGAGATAAATAAAAGAACCATATATAAGTTTAACAAGAAATAGCTTTAACACCCCAAAATCTTAAAAATATTCCTGAAAAAAGGTGGTTTTGAATGTCAACACATATCAAGAAAAACTCAACATATTAAATGTAATTTTTCCTAAATTAATTTAAAATTGTTAGAATTTCAATTAAAATACCATGCATTTTTATGGAAAAAAATAGAACAGTTTATAGACAAATTGATTACAGAATACATTTGGAAGTACAAATAAGTGCTTTCTATATTCAGTTGAAATTGGAGTGTGTTAATTCTAAGAAGACGATAAAAGTTTAGTTCGTAAATTTTAATCCCTAGAACAACAAATTAGTGTAAAAAGACTAGTGTAAATAAATGAATAAATAATCTTGAAACTAGATAAATTATAGTGAAACGCTTTGTACACATGTTTAAATAACCCAAACAGAAAGTAGAAAGAGGAAGGGAAAAAAGATAAATAAAAAGCAGAGGGAACTAATAGAAGGTAAATAAGAAAAAGTAGACAAATCCAAATATATCATTAATTACATTAAATGTAAGTGGTCTTAAAACACTAATAAAAGAGACTAGATTTGGATAACGGGTTAAAAGGTAATAACCCAACACCATCTAAAATAAACCCCCTAAGAACAACGATATAGATAAGCTACAATTAGAAACATGGAAAAACGTTATACCATGCAAAAACAAATCAATAGTAATCTGGAGACAAAACAGATGTTAGAACAAATAAAACTAACAAAACAAAAAGAGATAGTATATAAAGATAAAATGATCAATTCACCTAAAAGACACAACAATCTCAAATGGGGATATGTCTAACAAAGGGTTTTATAAATGGAAAAATCTGACAGAAGAGAAAGAAAAAACATACAAATTCACAATAGAGAACTTCAACATTTATCTGTAAATGATAAATGGATAGAAAACCAACAAGAATTTAGAACAACATTATCAACCAACTGGATCTAATGGATATTTATAGAACATTCTACCCAAACACATGAATGTCATTTTTTCAAGTATATGTGGAACATTCACCAAAACAGACATATCCTAAAGGAAACTTTAACAAATTTGAGTGATTCAAATCAATGTAATATATTATTTATGTAGATAGTGTAATTAAACTAGAAATTAATAGAGAGGGGAAATATCCAAATTCTTAGGTATTAAATAACGCATTTCTAAATAATCTCATAAATCCAAAATAAAACTACAAATACATAGAAAGATACTCAATATTGTACAGTTGTTCTCGCCATTATTATAAGGCAAATCTATTAATGAAACAATCAATCCATCCATCGGAACAAACATTAATGTCATTCTACTAAGAAAGTAAGATGTAAAACTGTTTTTATTCCCTGATGACATCATTCTGTAGAATATCCTAACAAATCTGCATTTAAAACTACTAGAACTAATAAAGAAGTTTAGCAAGGTTGCAAGATGTTAAGATCAATAAATTGCATTTTTATGTACTAACAACAAATAATTTAAATATGAAATTATGAAAATAATTTGTTTTATAATAACAAAAATATAGAATACTTAGGAATACATTTAATAAAATAACTTCAAGACATATTCAATTAAAACTACAAAGTATTGGTGAGATAATTGATCCAAATAAATGAAGGCCATTCCATTTTCATTGATTAGAAGACTCAATATTATAAAGATGGCAATTCATCCCAAAATTGATCTATAGATTCAATTCAATGTCTGTCAGAAGCCAAGCAGAATTTTTTTGTTGTTAAAATTCTTAAACTCACCTAAAATTTACCTGAAGATGTAAAGGCCTTTAAATAGCCAGAAAAACTCGGGAAAAAAAAGTAATGCTAGAGGACTTATACTACTTGATTTTAAAACTCACTATAAAGTTACAGTAATCAATAGGGTATGGTATTGGTATAACTATAAGTATCTGGATCAATAGAACAGAATGGAATATCAATCCAGAAATAAACTTTTCCATTTATGATAAATTAATTTTCAAAAAAAGTTAAGATATTTGCTGTGGAAAGGATAATGTTCTCAAAAAAATTGTGCAAGGACATTGGATATCAGTTTTAGTTGAGGTACATTTTTTATTGTCAACCCAAAACTTCAAAATGGTGTTTTATTAATATAAAAGTTATAAGAATAGGCATACCTGACTCCCAAACTAGAAATGTGGCTGATCAACCTCACAGGCATGAAATATAGATGGCTGTGTGAGCACTTGTACTTCATCAGTGACAACAGTGTTAGTTCCCTGTGCTTTTACTCTTAGAAACATCTGTTAGATTTTGGCCAATGATACAAACTGACAGAGGAAAATTATGCATAGTACTGTAGGTGGACTCCTGACAAGATCTGGATTAGCAATATGCTGCAATCATTTTTTTAAGTATACATGTAAATACATATATCCCTCATGCACAAGCACACAAAGATATACATGCAATATTTTGAATCAGATAGCTATGGGTATTGACTCAATTTATATCATTTATTAACTGTAATTTACAATGAACTGATAGGAAATATAATCCTTCCCATTGTTGTGAATTTTAAATTAGATGATACATGTCAACCAGTTCCCACAATCAACACGTGAACAAGCATGTTTGGATATTCACACTCACACATGCACACACACACAATCCTAAACAGCATACCCTTTTCTAGGGAAGAAAAATAAAGAATTTCCAATTTAAAAGGTAAGAGGGGCTATCTGTATTATATTTCAAGAATCCAAGGTCTACTGTTGGTGTCTGTCATTGACAGGCAATAAATCAGAAAAATAACAACCATGACAACCTCATTTCTAATTGGGACAATCAAATTTTCACTTTCATGAAAATGGTTAGAGGCTGATGCACAGTAAGGTTAACTCCTCCTTGATGCTTCCCACCCCAAGGAAGTTAGGATAAAACCTCCTTAAGCTTGAAATCATGTGTATTTATATGATTCATACTCTATTCTGGATTTCCAACCCAGAAATGGGTCACCACAGAGTGTGTGAATATAAGATTGTGGCAGTAATTGTCACGATCAGGAAATTCATGCTTCAGTGATACTTTCCTATACCTTACTCTTAATGAAATGGTAGAAATATATAGGAATTCATTTACACAGTCATTCAGGTTTCATTAAGACTAAAGATATTCAGTTTTAAAGTTGTGTAAAGTTTTTAGGACAAAGGCCTAAAACCCAGACTTTCTAGATAGGAAAACAAATCTAAATAACCAATTGGGATGAAAAAGTTACTTACTTGCAATGTTGTGAGGCTCCACAAAAATTATACTTTCTACAGCCATGCGCAGATTATGTGGTAGAGGATGTTTCAAGTTTATGTCTGTTTATTAATCTAATTTGATAACTTCAATTTTCTTAACAGACTTATTTTTGATCTTTTTAAAATAACACGGTTTAGAAAATTTTGCACAAGAAATATAAAAAAGCTAATCTTGTGTTGGGCCCAAATGAATATCTGAGAGTCATTATACTGGAGAGCAGGGAATGTTGGGTGGAGTAATTGGGAAAATTACATTAAAAAAAATAGCCAACCAACCAACCACTGAAATTCATACCTGTGGTTAATATGTAAAAAGGTCTTACCCTTTGGATATCATAACACATGCACATATATTTTTTCATAGATTTGACAAGGACTATACTGTAGTATTCCTTAACTAACATTCACAAATCAATGGTTATGCTATGTCACTTTATCATTTTTACAGTGCTTTAACATATTGCAGTATGTTTTACACATTTTATTGATATGGTAAGTGAAGTTCATGGAATTAGGGGAAAGAATTCCATTGCCAGAGAGTAAAGAAGCTTGTCTCAAATCCAGCTTCCCTAATTCTTTTTACTATACCTATGGTGCTTCATGCAGCTATTAGTATGAAAATAAGATTTATTGACAAACATTAAAATTATTAATGATCATAGAAATAGTACCATCAACATCCTAAAAACAGTAGCGTAAGCCTTGGAATAGCTGTTCTCCTGTTCTCCTGTTAACACTAGCTACTTTATCACAAGTGTATTTCTAAATATTATAAATTATGAATTTGTCTACAGCTTCCTTCCGGAGGAAATAACCTCAATGTGTGCGCTGAGGAAACCATAAATCAGTCACTGCAGCAAATGATTGTTTTCTACTTTCTAATCAACACTACCTAAATATCCACCCTCATTTTTCTTATACTATAATTGTACAGAATCATTACTCTTTTTTTAATTCTTAGCCCATTGAAAGATTTATATTTTCTTGCCATACACCTTGATACTGATATTATTTCCCAGGAAAAATGATATTTTAGCATGGCTATAATGCTCTGCATGGCACTAATATTACAGAGAGTCTATCTGTAAAATGCCTAGGTGATAAACAGGATAATTCCATTTAAATAAGAATAGTGTGGGAGACATAAACCAGGGGATAGATTCAACAAGACATCTTACTCTTCTGCCAGGACTGTGGATAACACCTTATGCCTGTTAACTTATGGAAGAAAAGCACTTAAATATTACTAAGGCTGAGAAATAAGGAAGGGGCTCATTGAACATTGATTATGGACCAGTACGTGTCTTATACACTTTGCTTATATGTTATAATGTTTATGAAACTGGCCCAATTGTCCTATAGAACTGATGTTTATGGTTTCTTTTGAAAAAAAAAGTAAAGAAAAAAGTTGACCCTCCCAGTCTTAAAACTGAAGAAAGTTACACTTTTCTTATCTGAGTTCCTTTCTCAGGAAACCAACTATCAGCCTTCCAAGATAGTTTCAAGGAACTGCAACTCACCAGATAACTGCACCTGGACAATGAGATGCCAGACCCAGACCCCTTGCCGATAATGGTTGCCTAAGTAACCTGCTGCTGCCTGTTGAACACCTTCTCTTCTTAATACTCTCCTAATTCCTATTTTTCCATACTTAGTTACATTTCTTCCCTTATTTTTCTACGTCTAATTTTAGTCCATTGAGAAGATTTAGTCCATTGGGACATTTGAGTGATGTCCCATTCTCCTTGGCTGCAGCATCCAAATAAAGCCCCTTTCCCCGGCAATGCTCCTTGTTTCAGTGATTGGCTTTCTGTGAAGCAAGCAACAGGACCTAGACTGAACTCTTGATGTTTCAGTAACATTTAGTTACACTCCTAGCAAATATGGTGGGTAAGTTATATAGATTGTAAAATAGAAAGATAGAATCTGGACTGGGATTTACATAATTATGGTATTATTATTATTTTACAAAACCATGCAAAGTAACAGACTAGAACACAACCCACAGATTTGTCATTTCATAAAGGTAGAACCTGAGACCAAGTGAGTTTGAATGACTCACCCAATTTCATACAAGCAAGCAGAGGAGAAATATATACTCCTATCCCTGGATGATTTAAACTATGGTCTATCTGGCTTGATGTAATGGGCTTCAAGTGTTTCATTCACACTGATTACACCCTAGTTTATGCAAAAAATAGGACTGATAAGCTACTTTAGGCTATGGTCTAAACTTTAGACAAGTACATTCAATCAAGTACCTCTATTGGCAAGACATTGAGTGCTGAGGATAAATTGGTGAATTACAACAGCAAAATCTAATTTTAGGCTTTAGGCTATAGTCTAAACTTCAGACAGGTACATTCAAACAAGTACCTAATTTTAGACTTTAGGTTATAGTCTAAACTTTAGACAAGTACATTCAAACAAGTACCTCTATTGGCAAGACATTGAGTGCTGAGGATAAATTGGTGAATTACAGTAGCAGAATCTAATTTCTATCCTCATTGAACTTCAACTCTAGTTGAACTCTCTTGCCCACTCCTGCCCACACTTGCATGAAATTCCTCCATACAAGACATTTTCCATGGGTTTGAAGAGGCTGCTGCTCAAGCGATCCAGGCTGAAAATATTCCAGAACACCTTCCCCATACTCACTTCTCCACATGCAGTGAATAACACCAACATTAGCTAATTTTTACTAGACTTGTATAAGTGCTCTGCTCTTGTGCTTCAGGTGTACTGACACATTAAACTGTCAGAGCTTCCTGTCTATTTACATTTGAGTAATCGGAGGCACAAAGGGTTTGTGAATAATGACCCTAAACTGCCAACCTCTGGAATTTGTGGAACCAGGCAATCCAAAGCCTTCTGGCTCCAGCATCACCCTTGTGGCCACTAAGTGGTGTCACCAGCAGCTGCTCTGGGCTGCTTGTAATGTCTTATCCTGAACACAACTTGAACAGCCTGGAGTGCCCTTTCTGTGCTGTGTCCACACGTGTGAACCTTTCCCTTCATGCAAGGCCAGTGTCAGTTCTAACACCCCCAAGAAATATCATCACAGTTCTCAACACATATTGGTGCTTATGCCTTATTACATTTTTCATTCAGCATGCAAAATGATTATCTCTGCCATAGTGTATTTATTTTACTTTGACTGTGTACGATGGCCTTTAGCAGATCATTTAGTGTTCACAGTGCCCCTGCAAAGTGTATATTATGGTCTTCATTAAACAAATAAAAACATTCAGTACAGTTTAGTGATTTGCCCAAGGTCACAAATGTCTTGTGTTGGGCTAGGATTCAGAGCTGTGCAATCTCTAAACTCAATGCATTTTCATTACTAAACTTTCAAGAAGTACATTCAATCAGGAAATACTATGGTTATACTTCTGTTGACATTGAAAGATCCTGCCCATGACTTCACCATTGGCACCAGCAGAAAAGGAGGAAACAAACAAAAAAGCCTATATTACGGTATCTATACTGGTTTTCTATTGCTGCTTTAGCAAATTACCACAAATTTGGGTATAACAACACAAATTGGGCCAGGAGCGGTGGCTCACGCCTGTAATTCCAGCACTTTGGGAGACTGAGGCGAGAGGATTATGAGGTCAGGAGATCAAGACCATCCTGGCCAACATGGTGAAACCCTGTCTCTAGTAAAAATACAAAAATTAGCCTGTAGGCCCAGCTATTTGGGAGGCTGAGGCAGGAGAATCAGTTGAACCTGGGAGGTAGAGGTTGCAGTGAGATGAGATCGCGGTCCACTGTACTCCAGCCTGGCGACAGAGCGAGACTCTGTCTCCAAAAAAAAAAATTAATTATCTCAACAATTCTAGAGTGCAGAAGCCCGAAACAGATCTCACTGGGCTAAAATCAAGATGTTAGAAGGGCAGCATTGCTTTTGCAGAACAAACAAAATGTTTCCTTGTCTTTTCCAGCTCCTAGGCTCTTTTCCAAGAGCCCTCAGTCCTTGGCTCTTGCCCCTCTTCCATTTTCTAAGCCAGTAACAGCCAGTAGGGCCTTTTGCATGCTGCATCATCACACTTTCTTGTGTCTTTCTTTCACTTATAAAACCCTTGAGATTACATTGGGTTCATACATAATCAGAGACAACATCGCCATCTCAAGGTCATCTGAAGAGAAACCTTAATTCCACCTGCATTATTATTTCCCCCTTGCCTTTGCAAACTAACATGTTTACAGATTCTGGAGATTAGGATACAGACATACTGAGGAGGCATTATTCTGCCTACCACAGTGTTTTAAGCCCAATTCATTCATTTAACTAACATATCAAAATTGCCTACTATATGCCAAGAACTATGCTAGCGTGAAAAATCATGAGATGAAGAACGGAAGTATAAAGGGAGGGAATCATGGAAAGATTCCTATAAGAAGTGACCTTTGGCTTCAGTTTAAAGAAATAAGCAGTGATCAGTCAGTACGATATATGGCAATTGGGTTCTAAGGCAAAACAGAGACAGAGTTGACTAAAGAGAAGAGTATTTTCATCTAATTTGTATGCTTCATTTGCTTACATTCTAATTGCTATTTGTTATTTGTTGGAAAAATTCAGCTCTGCCATCTGAGTTTAAAGCAACGCCATGTGCTTCCCCAGTCTAGGAGATCAAGCTATGATATTTAATCCTACTCTTTAATATTACCTGATTTAAAACATTACATTTTTAGATGAAAAATATTCTCAGGAGAGGTATGCTGTATATTTTTCAGCAAAGAATGTCCAGATGTTCTTTTTGGAGAAGAAGAACTACAAAGTTAGAGCAAATACTCTTATTTATAAGAAGAATGAACTCAGTGGGTGAGAAGGAGAATACAAATGCAACAGCCTCAAATTAGCAGTGGATGCCTACTGGGCTCCTGCAACCCCTTTCCACGGGTGAGCAAACTCTCAAAGCTTGAGCTGTTGTTCAGGTTTTCCCTAGGGAAGCATTGATGGTGTCCTGGGGGCACTGCACTGCAGTGATGGCCAGCAAGCCTTGTAAAATACAAAGCATGGTACAGGATATGCATGATAAAATCACCTTGCTCAAATAAATGCAGCAGGAAAAATGGATTTCATCTTCTAATTCCTTTAGATTCCACCAGATGGCTAGCTGGTAATGACCCAGACACCTCTCAGTAATCTCCCAGAAAGCCTGACAAATATGTTGCAAACTTAGCCACATTTTAGAGTTTGCAACGCCCTCTTAAAAGCATGATCTTTTTTAATAGTGATCACTTCCATTTTTAGGCCCTTTATACGTTACTTTTGTCATTTTATATTGCTTCTTTTTTTCTGATCCTTGCAAAAACCCTGTCAAGAAAGCAAGAAAATATTTTTCCCCCTCAGGACCTGGACAATATCAGATAGAATGTGTCACATAAATATGTATTCCACAATGAAAGTTCTATAGGTTTTAAAAATGAAAGCTCAAAATGGCCAGGTGATATTCCTCAATTCATATGAGCATAGATCTCTTACCTTTTTTCTTGATATTATATTGAATATGTGAAGATATTTGAAATAGTTTATATATGAGTAATTAAACCAGCTCATCTTTTTCTCTGTTATCTTCTTTATTGCTTTAAATCTTACAAACCCATTTACCAACCAAAAATAAAGAGCCTAACTATATTGCTTTAAATTGTAAAAATATGTAAGCATCCACACATAGACATACAGGAGTTAGAATCCCAAAGGGAAATACTTCTTACCAGACGTAGAGGGAACCAGAATAGACATAAAGCCATAAGGACACCCTGAGTGTCAAAAAGAGATTTCAGAATTCTCTACAGTTTTATTACTCTTTTTAGATTTTCACTCATTCATAAGATTATATTGGCGGCAACCATTTAGTACATTTAATTATCCCCCCAATCTGTCACAGTTGAGACAAAAGTTGACCAACCTAGTATAATCAGAAAACTTATTCTTGGAGTTTGAAGCAAAAATGAGATTAAAATGTTTTTGGATGTGACTGGATCATGTTAGTGGTTATCTACAGGGCACAAAAGTCCAGCTTGCAGAAAGAAAGTATAGAAAAAAATAGATAAAACTCTTAGAGGATAGAAGGAGAAAAAAAAAAACAGACAGAGAATATTGACTAATTTTCTCTTAGTTGGTTCCAGAAATTTTCTCAGACCAAGTGGTACTTCAATCTTTTGGTTCCTTTAGTCACCACCCTCTTCTTTTTTGATTTTTCCAATTTGTGTTAACACTTGCCTGTATTGATCTCTTGCATTTGCAACCACATGAATGTGAAATCCATAAGGGCACAGAGTTTTGCTGGTTTTGTTCACTATCATGTCCCTTAACACCTAAAATAATGCTTAGCACTTAGAAATCTCTCAATAAGTAGCTTTTGCATGAATGAATGAATTAAATCAAATGAATGAAAGAATAAAAGACTATTAACTAAATAAAGCCAAGGGTCAGGAATTAAACATATCACAAACATGCTTGGAATCTTTTACTACATAATTGCCTTCAGAATATCATTACTGTACAGTAACACCTAGAGAACATCTGTAAATTAAATAGTTTGATTACTGAAAAAAACTTAATTTTAATAATGCTCAGTAAAAACAATTCAATCTCAACAACTGAAGGACTAATTTTATATCAGCAAAATGACTTTAGTAATTTTCACAGAAACATTTGTCAAACGTATAATCTTGAAACTATTTTCTTTATCTCTCCTTTCTATAAACATAATGAGCAAGTATTTAACAAAAGACTTTTTGTTTGTAACACAATTTGTAATGTTTTCATCATTCATTAATGTTTTTAAGAATGTCTCTAAGCACCAATATGTTTCAGAGCCTGTAGTAGTCATGAAGATAAAATAGTATTTCACATGCTGGCTTTCTTTCTGCTGCACATGGTCTGGCTTATACATCTTTGTTATGCAAAACTCATCCCCTTCACTGACCTTCACAGGAGAAAACTGCACCAAGAATATTGCTATTTTTGTAATTTTACTAAATGCTTAGAACATAGTTTAGAGGTTTCTTCCTTTCTCTCTCTCATATACTCTCTCTCTCTCTCTCTCTCACACACACACACACACACACACACACACACACACCATATACCATACTCCACATATGCATATATACACATACACCACACATAATACACCACAGTCATACCACTCACACTCATCACATACACCCACACCACACATCACCTACCACACATTACACTACACACATGTGCACACATACCACACAAACCACACCCCCCAAGCACACATCTCATATATACAATCACATCACACACACACACACACACAAAATAATGCACACTTTTTTTTTTTTTGAGGCTCTCTGCTCAGTGCCCTGCTAGTTTTGTCTCCCCCATAGCGCCAGCAGTGCACGATGTCTTCCTCTAGTCTGGGGCTGGTAAGTACCTGCTCTTTTTTTCACAGATAACACTTTACAAATGTCACATTCTTTAAACTTCTATCTATCTCATTTTGGCATTAAACAACAAAATGCTTCCCTCCACACACATGCACCAGTTAAGAGGACTCACACGTCTCACATTTTGTACAGAGAAATGGGGTAAAACAAAATAACAACCAAAATGTACCCAAAGTCACTGGGCGCAGTGACTCACACCTGTAATTCTAGCACTTTAGGAGTCCAAGACAGGCGGATCACTTGAGGTCAAGAGTAGTCTGAGACCAGCCTGGCCAACATGGCGAAACCTCATCTCTACTAAAAATACAAAAATTAGCTGAGTGTGGTGGCGCAGGCCTGTGATCCTAGCTACTCGGGAGGCTGAGCCTGGAGAATTGCTTGAACCTGGGAGGTGGAGGTTGCGGTGAGCCGACATCGTGCCACCGCCCTCCCGCCTGGGCAACAAAGTGAGACTCTGTCCAAAAAAAAAAAAAACCTACCCAAAGTCTTACAGAATGCTTCCCTTTCTTCAGAGGAGTTTTGGAAGACTGTATATATATATATATATATATATATATATATATATAGAGAGAGAGAGAGAGAGAGAGAGAGAGACAGAGAGAAAGAGAGAGACTCTAAAATAAAAAGAGGAAAGCGTATGATTCTATGAATTTTCAGAAAATGAAATAAGTAACTCTTTAGAATCAGGGCCAATGAGTGAGGTCCTTACAGACCAGCAATCTGGACCAAAGGCTAAAATATGTCATAAAAATAAATAAGGTTGTAAGTCAGGTTGTCCAGATCTTCACAGAAAGAGGAAACAGAACATGAGGATTTCCAGAGGCACAAAGCATAAGGTAATTTTTAAGGATTCAGACAATATTCAGTATGACCGGCATAAGGTTTGTGAAGGAGTCTAACCAGGGGTGAAGCTAGAGATCTAAGTAGGAGATCACATCATTAAGCATCTTTACAATCATTATAAGGGCATTCTTAATATTCACACAAAGGCAATTGGAACCCACTTAAAATCATGTCACTCCCCTTCCAATTCTTCTGATCCTCCAATATTGTGATTTGTTCTTCATTTTCTGCTCACTTTACCTCTTTCCACCATCTTACCACCCCTGCCTTTGAATGGCAGATAGGTTAAATAGATAGCTTACATTTTAAATCTTTTGGTGCATTGTTTTCTGCATAGTGCTTTGCTGTGGTGATATATTTCCCCCTATTATTTCATGATTCAGATTTTAGTCATTTCTGATTTTAAAAAGAATGATATCTCACTCCATAACCTATATTTAAAACTAAAAGTAAACATATTTTTACCATTGTATAAAAAACTTCTAAAAAGAGAAAAAGCATTGCTGTTAAAACAACTTGATTTCACAAGCCAAATTAGAGTTTCACAGGGAAACTGCAAAAGGGCAGAGATAATTTAGCTGAAATTGGCATGGCAGTTATGTACCATGTTGGTCATCCTTTTCAAAGGCATAAATCACAATAGGCTACATCAGATTGGGAACAAAATCATTTTGGTGGACTGAGAACTCTTTTTCATTTCCACAGCTAGACTTGGAATTTTCCAAACAAGCTGGATAAAAGAAAGCCATTTGTGTTGTGCCCTAGAAAACTAAAGACCTCTGCAGGTTCCATAAATACATGAGCTAATTATTTGCTATATTCCAAATATTTCCAATTTATTTAATGTATCTCCTAATGGGAAAAAAACAGTAGGAAGTAGCACTGGCCAGTTAGAGGCAGTAAGGCATAGCAGATAGGAACACGGGCTTTGAAGTCAGATTCCTGTCCTTCCATCAGGAAGAACTTTCCGTAATAGGAACTATGCGTTCCTTACAAATTTCTCTGCATCTAAAGCTCCTCATCTTTCAAATAGTGCTACTAATTGTGGCTAACTCAAAGCCTGGCTAAAAAAGTGGTGAACTTACACCACAAAATAATTTTTAAAAGCTCCTGACCTATAGTGAACATTCCATATAAGGTTAGCTCTTTGAAGCCTTTTTGACCCTAGGTCATGTGATGGAGACGTCAAGGCCTCTTAGAATTATGAAATCATGAATGAAGACCACCTAGTTGTATCTTGTGTGTCAGAAAGGGCAAGAGCCACAGCAGAGAAGCATTACCAAAATGGTGTTCTGGCTTTGATGGGATTTTCATGAAGTGGTTTAAGTTTTATAATGTGCATATATGTGATATACATTGTTCAAAATTTATGTAAAAATTAGATAATAAAATATGTAATGCTAATTATGATGATTAATTTTACATGTTAACCTGACTGGGCCACAGGAGGATGTGCAGATATTTGGTCAAACATTATTCTGGATGTGCCTGTGAGGCTGTTTTGGGATGAGGTTATCATTAGAATCAGAAGAGAAGCAGATTGTCATCTCTGAAGTGTGTGGGGATTATCCAATCAGTTGAAGGTCTGAGTAGAATAAAAAAACAGACCCTCCCATGAGTTGGAGGGAACTCCTACCTGACTGCGTGAGCTGGGACATTGGTGTTTTATTGCCTTCAGACTTGAACCGAAACATAGGCAGTTTCTGGGTTTCAAGCTTGCTCTCTTGGACAGGAACTTACACATTTTTTTTTTTCTGGGTCTCCAGCTTACAGATCTTAGGACTTCTCAGCCTCCATAACTGGATGAGCCAATCCTGTAGGGTAATGTTTGTTCTGTTTCTCTGGAAACCTTGACTAATACATCGATAGAAGGAAGGACAAAGACTGCATACTGGGGTTCCAAACAGGGATCTGAAATCAAGACAAGAATAAGGTGTCCTGTGCTTAGTACCTGTGAGGGAGATTCACGTGCCCTTCACATATAATTAAAGTCAATCCTGATTATTTGTGGATTTCATACTTGCAAGTTTGTCTAATAATACATTTTCTTTATAACCCCAATACTCATGGCACCTTTATAGTTTGTAAAAACATTCACAGCAGTGAAAAATTTGAGTCACTGGCATGCACGGCTGAAGTAAAAAAGGTGATAATCTGCCTTATTGTTTCAGCTCTCGTACTATAAACACATGTCTGTTTGTGGTCTATTTAGTACCACATTTTCTGCTTTGTATTGGTGATTTCGTTGTTCAATATGGCCTCAAAGCAGAGTGCTGAAATGTTGTTTAGTGTCCCTGTACACAAGAAAGCTGTAAAGTGCCTGAAAGCTGTAACGTGCCTTACGGAAAACAGACACTATATGTGCTAGATGAGCCTCGTTCAGGCAGATAATGTTGTTGGCTGTCAGTTCAATGTTAAATCAAAAATATATTAAAATTGTGTATTTCTAAACAGAAATAACATAAAACAAAGTTATGTATTGATCAGATGACAAAAGTGTTGTGATCAGAGATTCACAGGAACCTAACCCTGTATTTTTCCTAAGGACCATTGCTCTGTTTTCAATGACTCAGTGTTTTTGGTGACTTTGCAGTTGAAACAATAGTTACAAACAAACAAACAAACAAACAAAAACGTCTCACAATTGTTGAGCAAATCATGGCTTACAAAATATTTATTTCCTATGAAATGCCATTTAATTTATGCCTGTGAGTAAGGTAAGACTTTCATGCCTGTTTTCCAAACTCACGGGTTCATTATGGCTCAAATAAATAACAAGATTTGTTTAATGATGACTCAGAGTAAATGACAGAGGCAAAATTAGAAAACTCAGAGGCCTGTGATTTTTTTTTTTTTCACGAGACCAGATTTCTCAGAGCCACCAAATGCACCATGCTGGGCTGCTCAATGGGGCCAACTTGCTGGCAGGGAGTCGAGGGGAGCCAGAGTGATGGCTAGACATACACACAAGGCCACGGCACTGCAGTCATCAACAGAGCTCTGCCTAGGGATAGAATTGATGGAGAACAAGGTTGTGGTTGAGACCACAGTTCAGGGGACACGAATAACAGCTACAAAAAGAAAGAATAGGCATTATTTATTGATGACCCGGAGTATTAAAAGATTCTATCCAAACACTTCACAGTTAATTTCATTCCTAAGCATTTTATTATTTTTGATTTACAGTAAAATGTTTTTTTTTACATATTAAAGCCATATTATACTCAGTAAACTTATGTATAAAAATGCAAAATATTGTAAATTTATATTGTCCACCAAAACCTTATATTTTATTATGTGCCATGGTAGGGTCTAGAAAAGGGAGGAGATGATAAGAGAGAGTCTATAATCTTCTTGGTAGCAGAAGCTACTTTCATCATTGTTTCCTGCAGTAGTCTGCAAATGAGTAATTTGTTTTTTCTTTTTTTAAATTTTATTTTAAGTTCTTGGATATATATGAGGAACGTGCAGGTTTGTTACATAGGTATACATGTGCCATGGTGGTTTGCTGCAACTATCAATCTGTCTTCTAGGTTTTAAGCCCCACATGCATTAGGTATTTGTCCTAATGCTCTTCCTCTCCTTACCCCTCAACCCCCGACAGGCCATGGTGTGTGATGTTCCCTTCCCTGTGTCCATGTGTTGGCATTATTCAGCTCCCACTTATGAGTGAGAACATGTGGTGTTTGGTTTTCTGTTCCTGTGTTAGTTCGCTGAGAATGATGGTTTCCAGCATCATCCACGTCCCTGCAAAGGACACGAACCCATCCTTTTTATGGCTGCATAGTATTCCATGGTATGTATGTGCCACCTTTTCTTTATCCAGTCTATCATTGATGGGCATTTGGATTGATTCCAAGTCTTTGCTGTTGTAAATAGTGCTGCAATAAATATATATGTGGATGTGTTTTTCTAGTAGAATAATTTATAATTCTTGGGGTATATACTCAGTAATGGGATTTCTGGGTCAAATGGTATTTGTGGTTCTAGATCCCTGAGGAATTGCCACACTGTCTTCCACAATGGTTGAACTAATTTACACTCCCACCAACAGTGTAAAAGCATTCCTATTTCTCCACAGCCTCTCCAGCATCTGTTGTTTCCTGATTTTTTAATGATTGGCATTCTAACTGGCATGAGATGGTATCTCCTTGTGGATTTGATTTGCATTTCTCTAATGACCAGTGATGATGAGCTTTTTTTCATATGTTTGTTGGCCACATAAATGTCTTCTTTTGAGAAGTGTCTGTTCATATCCTTCACACACTTTTTGATGGGGTTGTTTGCTTTTTTCTTGTAAATTTGTTTAAGTTCCTTGTAGATTCTGGATATTAGGTCTTTGTCAGATGGATAGATTGTAAATTTTTTTCCCATTCTTTAGGTTGCCTGTTCACATTGACGATAGTTTCTTTTGCTGTGAAGAAACTCTTTAGTTTAATTAGATCCCATTTGTCAATTTTGGGTTTTGTTGCAATTGTTTTTGGTGTTTTAGTCATGAAGTCTTTGCCCATACCTGTGTCCTGAATGGTACTGCCTGGGTTATCTTCTAGAGTTTTTATGGTTTTAGGTTTTACATTGGAGTGTTTAATCAATCCTGAGTTAATTTTTGTAAAGGTGTAAGGAAGAGGTCCAGTTTCTATTTTCTGTATATGGCTACCCAGTTTTCCTGGCACTATTTATTAAACAGGGAATCCTTTCCCCATTGCTTGTTTTTGTAAGGTTTGTCAAAGATCAGATGGTTGTAGATGTGTGGTGTTATTTCTGAGGCCTCTGTTCTGTTCCATTGGTCAATATATCTGTTTTTGTACTAGTACCATGCTGTTTTGGTTATTGTAGCCTTGTAGCATAGTTTTAAGTCAGGGAACATGATGCCTCCAGCTTTGTTTTCATTTGTTTGTGTTTTTGTTGTTGTTTTGCTTAGGAATGTCTTGTCTATATGAGCGCTTTTTTGGTCCCATATGAAATTTAAAGTAGGTTTCTCTAATTCTGTGAAGAAAGTCAATGGTAGCTTGATGGGAATAGCACTGAATCTATAAATTACTTTGGGTAGTATGGCCATTTTCATGATATTGATTCTTCCTATCCATGAGCATGGATTTTTTTTCCATTTGTTTGTGTCCTCTCTTTTTTCCTTGAACAGTGGTTTGTAGTTCCCCTTGAAGAAGTCCTTTACGCCCCTTGTAAGTTGTATTCCTAGGTATCTTATTCTCTTTTTAGCAATTAGCAGTGATGAATGGGAGTTCACTCATGATTTTTCTCTCTGCTTGTTTATTATTGGTGTATAGGAATGCTTGTGATTTTTGCACCTTGGTTTTGTATCCTCAGACTTTGCTGAAGTTGCTTATCAGCATAAAGAGTTTTTGTGCTGAGACAATGGGGTTTTCTAAATATACAAACATGGCATCTGCAAACAGAGACAATTTGACTTCCTCTCTTCTATTTGAATACCCTTTATTTCTTTTCTCTTGTCTGACTGCCCTGGCTAGAACTTCCAATACTACATTCAATAAGAGTGGTGAGAAGGGGCATCCTTGTCCTGTGCTGGTTTTCAGAGGGAATACTTCCAGCTTTTGCACATTCAGTGTGATATTGGCTGTGGGTTTGTCATAACTAGCTGTTATTATTTTGAAATATGTTCCATCCATGCCTAGTTTATTGAGAGCTTTTAGCATGAAGGGATGCTGAATTTTATCACAGGCGTTTTTGGCATCTATTGTAATAATCATGTGGTTTTTGTCATTGGTTCTGTTAATGTGATGGATTACGTTTATTGATTTGCATATGTTGCACCAGCTTTGGAACCCAGGGATGATGACAGCTTGATCGTGGTGGATAAGTTTTTGATCTGCTGCTAGATTTGGTTTGTCAGTATTTTATTGAGGATTTTTGCATCAATGTTTGTCAGGGATATTGGCCTAAAATTTTCTCTTTTTTCTTGTGTCTCTGCCAGGTTTTGGTATCAGGATGATGCTGACCTCATAAAATGAGTTAGGGAGGAGTCCCTCTTTTTCTATTGTTTGGAGTAGTTTTAGAAGGAATGGTACCAGCTCCTCTTTGTACCTCTGGTAGAATTCAGCTGTTAATTCATCTCGTCCTAGGCTGTTTTTCGTTGGTAGGCTATTAATTACTGCCTCAATTTCAGAACTTGTTATTGGTCTACTCAGGGACTTGACTTCTTCCTGGTTTAGTCTTGGGAGAATGTATGTGTCCAGGAATTTATCCATTTCTTCTAGATTTTCTAGTTTATTTGAGTAGAGGTGTTTATAGTATTCTCTGATGGTAGTTTGTATTTCTGTGGGATCAGTGGTGATATCCCCTTTATCATTTTTTTATTGTGTCTATTTGATTCTTCTCTCTTTTCTTTTTTATTCATCTAGCTAGTGGTCTATCTATTAATCTTTTCAAAGAACCAGCTCCTGGATTAATTGATTTTTGAAGGGTTTTTGGTGTCTCTATCTCCTGCAGTTCTGCTCTGATCTTAGTTATTTCTTGTCTTCTGCCATCTTTTGAATTTGTTTGCTCTTGCCTCTCTAGTTCTTTTAAATGTGAAGTTCAGGTGTCGGTTTCAGATCTTTCCACCTTTCAGATGTGGGCATTTATTGCTATAAATTTCTCTCTCAACACTGCTTTAGCTGTGTCCCAGAGATCCTGCTACATTAGCTCTTTGTTCTCTTTGGCTTTAAAGAACTTATTTTTTTCTGCCTTAATTTTGTTATTTAACCAGTAGTCATTCAGGAGCAGGTTGTTCAATTTCCATGTAGTTGTGCGGTTTTGAGTGAGTTTCTTAATCCTGAGTTCTAATTTGATTGTACTGTGATCTGAAAGACTGTTTGTTATGGTTTCCATTCTTTCGCATTTGCTGAGGAGTGTTTTACTTCCAATTATGTGGTCAATTTTAGAATAAGTGCTATGTGGTGCTGAGAAGAATGTATATTCTGTTGATTTGGGGTGGAGAGTTCTGTAGATGTCTAATAGGTCAACTTGGTCCAGAGCTGGGTTCAAATCCTGAATATCCTTGTTACTTTTTTGTCTCATGGATCTGTCTAATATTGACAATGGGGTGTCAAAGTCTCCCACTATTATTGTGTGGGACTCTAAGTCTCTTTGTAGGACTCTAAAAACTTCTTTTATGGATCAGGGTGCTCCTGTATTGAGTGCATATATATTTAGGATAGATAGATCTTGTTGTTGCAATGATTCCTTTACCATTATGTTATCCTCTTCTTTACCTTTTTTGATCTTTGTTGGTTTAAAGTCCGTTTTATCAGAGACTAGGATTGCAACCCCTCCTTTATTTTTTCGCATTCCATTTGCTTGGTAAATATTTCTCCATCCTTTTATTTTGAGCCTATGTGTGTCTTTGCACATGAGATGGGTCTCCTAAATACGGCACACCAGTGGGTCTTGACTCTATCCAATTTGCCAGTCTGTGCCTTCTAATTGGGGCATTTAGCCCATTTACATTTAAGGTTAATATTGTTATGTGAGAATTTGATCCTGTCATCAAGATGTTAGCTGGTTATTTTGCACATTAGTTGAAGCAGTTTCTTAATAGTGTCATTGGTCTTTATATTTTGGTGTCTTTTTGCAGTGGCTGGTACTAGTTTTTCCTTTCCATATTTAGTGCTTCCTTCAGGAACTCTTGTAAGGCAGGCCTGCTTGTCTGGAAAGGATTTTTATTTCTTCTTCACTTATGAAGTTTAGTTTGGCTGGATCTGAAATTTTGGGTTGAAAATTCTTTTCTTTACGAATGTTGAATATTGGCCTCTACTCTTTTCTGGCTTGTAGGGTTTCTGCAGAAAGATCCACTGTTAGTCTAATGGGCTTCCCTTTGTAGGTAACCTGACCTTTCTCTTTGGCTTCCCTTAACATTTTTTCCTTTGTTTCAACCTTGGAGAATCTGACGATTATGTGTCTTGGGGGTTGCCCTTCTCAAGGAGTATCTTAGTGGTGTTCCCTATATTTCCTGAATTTGAACGTTGGCCTTTCTTGCTAGGTTGGGAAAGTTCTCCTAAATGATATCCTGAAGTGTGTTTTCCAACTTGGTTCCATTCTCCCTGTCAGTTTCAGGTACACCAATCAATCATAGGTTTGGTCTTTTCACATAGTCCCATATTTCTTGTAGGCTTTGTTCATTCCTTTTCATTCTTTCTTCTCTAATCTTGTCTTCATGTCCTATTTCAGTAAATTGATCTCAATCTCTGATATCCTTTGTTCTGCTTGATTGGTTCAGTTATTCATACTTGTGTATACTTCACAAAGTTCTTGTGCTGTTTTTCAGCTCCATCAGGTCATTTATGTTCCTCTCCAAACTGGTTATTCCAGTTAGCAGTTCCTGTCACCTTTTATCAAGGTTCTTAGATTCCTTACATTGAGTTAGAACATGCCCCTTTAGCTCAGAGGAGTTTATTACCCACCTTCTGAAGCCTACTTCTGTCAATTCATCAATCTCACTCTCCATCCAGTTTTATGCCCTTGCTGGAGAGGAGTTGCGATCATTTGGAGACGAAGAGGCATTCTGTTTTTTTGAATTTTCAGCATTTTTGCACTGGTTTCTCCTCATCTTCGTGGATTTATCTACCTTTGATCTTTGCGGCTGATGAGCTTTGGATGGGGATTTTGGGTGGGGGGTCCTTTTTGTTGATGTTGATGTTGTTGCTTATTGTTTGTTAATTTTTCTTCTAACAGTCAGGCCCCTCTTCTGCAAGTCCACTGCAGTTTGCTGGAGGTCCACTTCAGACCCTGTTCGCCTGGGTATCATCAGGGAAGGCTGCAGAACAGCAAAGATTGCTGCCTGCTCCTTCCTGTGGAAACTTTGTCCCAGAGGGGCACCAGTCTGATGCCAGCCAGAGCTCTCCTATATAAAGTGTCTGTCGACCCCTGTTAGGAGGTCTCTCCCAGCCAGGAGGCACGGGGGCCAGGGACCCACTTGAGGAGTCATTCTGTCCCTTAGCAGAGCTCAAGCACTGTGCTGGGAGAATCATCCTTGTCAGGATTAGCTGCTCTCTTTAGAGCTGGGAGGCCACAAAGTTTAAGTCTGCTGAAGCTGTTCCCACAGCTGCCCTTTCCCCCAGGCACTCTTTCCCACAGAGATGGGAGTTTCATCTGTAAGCCCCTGACTGGGGCTGCCGCATTTCCTTCAGAGATGTGCTGCCCAGTGTGGAGGAATCTAGAGAGGCAGTTTGGCTACAGCCACTTTGCCAAGCTGTGGTGAATTCCACCCAGGCCAAACCTCCTGGCCTCCTTAGCACTTTCAGGGGAAAACGACCTACTCAAGCCTCAGTAATGGTGGATGCCCCTTCCCTCACGGAGCTTGATAGTCCCAGGTGGACTTCAGACTGCTGTGCTGGCAGTGAGAATTTCAAGTCAGAGCTTCTTAGCTTGCTGGGCTCTGTGGGAGTGGAACCTGCTGAGCGAGACCACTTGGCTCCCTGGCTTCAGGCCCCTTTCCAGGGGAGTGAACAGTTCAGTCTTGCTGGGGTTCCAGGTGCCACTTGAGTATGAAAATACTCCTGCAGCTAGTTCAGTGTCTGCCCAAACAGCCGCCCAGTTTTGTGCTTGAAATCCAGGGCCCTGCTAGTGTAGGCACATGAGGGAATCTCCTGATCCGCGGATTGCAAAAACCATGGGAAAAGCATAGTATCCGAGCTGGGTAGCACACTCCCTCACAGCTTCCCTTGGCTGAGGGAGGGAGGTCCCCCGCTCCTTGCACTTCCTGGGTGAGGTGATGCCCCACCCTGCTTCCTTTCACCATCCATGGGTTGCACCCACCGCCTAACCTGTCCCAATGAGATGAACTGGGTACCTCAGTTGGAGATGCAGAAATCACCCACCTTCTGTGTTAGTCTCACTGGGAGGTGCAGACTGGAGCTGTTCCTATTTGGCCATCTTGCTAGATCCCTGCAAATAATTAATTTCTTAAAGGAACATTTTATTCTGGCACATGCCCCTTCTTCTCATATGATTTCAGCAAAAGTGATCAAGTCCACAGCTCTAGCATTACATTTAGTTGATACAAATGAAGTTCATTTGGAGGGGCTGGTGGCTCACACCTGGAATCCCAACAATTTGGGAGGCCAAGGTGGGAGGATTTCTTGTACCCAGCAGTTTGAAACCAGCCTGGGCAACATACCAAAACCCCATCTCTACAAAAAATAACAATATTAGCCGGGAGTAGTGGCATGCGACTGTGGTCGCAGCTACTCGGGAGGCTGTGATGGGAGGATTGCTGGAGTCCAGGAAGCAGAGGTTGCAGCAAGCTGAGGTCACACCACTGCACTCCAGCCTGGATGACAGAGGAAGGTCCTGTATCAGAAAACAAAAAGAAACAAAAGAAAGAAATAAATAAAGAAAATAGTTAAGTTCAGTCTTTCTTTTTGGTGTGGTTAATTTAGAATCACCTGAGCTTCAGTGAAATTTAAGGAGAATTCTACAGTAGGACCTCGTTCCTAAAAGGCACAGAAAGGGAAAAGTGAATAGAATCATAAGATGCCGAGCAGGAGACTTGGCATACTACAAGTGAATTTTTCATTATTATTTATCCTATTGTATAAAAAAATTAATTTTTAAAATATGCAATCCATTTTGAACTGGATTTCTATTACTTGTAGTAGAAAGCATTCCAACAGAAAGGACCAATTGAAGCCTCTGAAATAAATAGAATATGACACACATCCAGCAAAAATGGGTTAATAACAAACAGATGGTTCAGATGCATGTAAATCAAGTTAAGTGATCTTTTTTGACACTTGCATTGTACAGGGTCATCATTTTATAGCCTTATTCCTCTGCATTTTTCCACATTTCTAAGGGATTTAGCTGTGTCTAACATTTCATGGGGAAACATATAACATATGCAAATTTACTTTTTCCGAGTGTTTATTTAAAAAAACTGAAGTAATTTAGTAACTCTGAATAATAATTTTCAAAGTTGAATAATATTTATTTGAATTAATTATATTCATTTTATATAATGCATAAGTACACCAGATATTCACTTGTATCCAAATTTTATCAGGAACACCTAGCGCATGCATAATAAGTATCTATTTACCTTTATTTTCTAAATCATTGGCATACTTCCTCTTACCTCTTATTGCTGTGGTATATGATTACTAGAAAGAATAAGTTTTAATTCAAGTTAGATTCAATACAAATGGATGTCTCCTAGTGGAGAATCACACTAGTGATTGCCTCTAAAGATTCAAGCAAATGGTTCTCTCTGACTCTAGGGGACTTTTTTTTAATCTTCATTCTGAAAGCTTCTTTTCTGTACTTGACTGTGGCTAGACCAAGCTGGAGATTGAAATTGACAATAAGCATAAATTCACCTATGATGGGGCTCAATTATGCGCTCATAAGGAAAGAGTAAACTAGCCCATTAGCACATTCTAGTTACCCATTCATCTCTTTGGAATTCTATGGACCTGTAGAAAATGGCATTCATTTCATGTTCTCATTTATAAATGGGAACTGGATAATGAGAACACATGGACACAGGGAGGGGAACAACACACTCTGGAGCCTGTTGGGGGAGGATTTTGGGGGAGATGATCAGGAAAAATATCTAATGTATGCCGGGCACAATACATAGGTGATGGGTTGATAGGTGCAGCAAACCACCATGGCACACATTTACCTGTGTAACAAACCTGCACATACTGCATATGTACCCCAAAACTTAAGAGAAAAATAATAAAAAAAGAATGGTCTTTTCTCTTGGTATCTGCATCGACTTAGTTGGATTCTATGACAGTATGTATAAAAGAAAGGAACATTCCAGTGGGTACTATGTCAGAAGAAATAATGAAAGAATTAGTATTCTTTTCTCCTGATTTTAATTAATATCCACAAGTGACACATACCTTTTTTATGTACTTAGCAGAGAAAATAAATGTAATCTGGCATTAAATCTTTTTCACAATTATTGTTTCTCACCCTTACATATGTTGGCATATGTTAGTTAAAGAGATTTTCTTTTGCTATTCAAAGCTACTGGTTTTCCAAGTTAATCTTCTTCCTGATCTTTTTTCCCTCCCAACTTCACGTATAGTCAAATTGAATACTGACTCTTGAACTTTTCATGGCCTGCTGCCCCATTTTCCTTAGCATGTAAGTGTTTTGATTTTTAAAAATATTTCTAAAATCCAAAATGCTTCTAATAATCTTTCGCAGGAAAATTTCTTGAAAAAATTATTTCCTTTTGGCTTTCTATAAAACTAGAAGATGAACATTCATTGGGTTAAAATGCTGGAGTATGTTTTCTTCTTTTTCTGAGCATTATTTTGTTATTATATCTCTATCATATCCTGTATAGCTTGTGATGTAAGAGGAAGTCATTGGAATGAGGAAGATTGGGTTGGGCTTCAGAAAACTAAGACAAACTAAGAAAAGGTCTTGAATGCTAAGTAGAAATGGATTTAGGGTAGATAGATTAGTCCTTTATTCTAAGGGATAATTTTTTTATTCTCTCTTTTATTGGAATTGGATTAATAGAAAATCAGCATTAGGGGTTAGACATAAAAGGAAGAGAAAAAATATCACTCAGTGTGTTTTTAGTTTTCTAGTCTTTACTATTTCTTGTAGCTTAGGAATGGTTCCCTGTTTTCCAGCATACCTTTGCTTAGGTATACATGCATTATCTAAGTGTTCTTTGCTATTTGCAGGCTGCGGTTTGGGTAGATGAACACATAAATATTTAAAATTTCTAGCCCCTGCTAAGTGTCGTTTCACAAAAGTTACATCTTCCTCAACTCTAAATCCTTCCTCAGAGCCCTTCTTATTATACTCTCGGCATTTCATTGTTTTCTTTGACATAAGCATGTTTCAGTTATAATCTAAGCTGACCTCTTGGCAGCTTCTGATACTATATTCTATTTCTTTCTTCTCTACATATCCCTCTGTAATTTCAGTTTGTTGTGTACTTCTGGTTTTTCTCCTACTTCATTAACTATTCCTTCTCTCTCTTTATTGCTTTGTTCTAGCAACATGTTTGTTTACTTGGTGTATTAACCTGTTATCATGCTGCTAATAAAGACATACCTGAGATTGGGTAATTTATAAAGAAAAGATGTTTAATTGACTCACAGTTCCACATGGCTGGGGGAGACTTACAGTCATGGCAGGAGGTGAAGGAGGGGCAAAGTCATGTCTTACATGGTAGCAGGCAAGAGAGTGTGTGCAGGGGAACTCCCCTTAATAAAATCATCAGAACTTGTGAGACTTATTCACTATCACGAGAACAGCATGGGAGCGATCCACTCTCATGATTCAATTACCTCCCACCGGGTCCCTCCCATGACACACGGAAATTATGGGAGCTACAATTCAAGATGAGATTTGGGTGGAGACACAGCCAAACCGTATCATTCCACCCCTGGCCCCACCCAAATTTCATGTCTTCACATTTCAAAACCAATCATGCCTTCCCAACAGTCCCCCAAAGTCTTAGTTCATTTCAGCATTAACTCAAAAGTTCACAGTCCGAAGTCTCATCTGAGACAAAGCACATCCCTTCCACCTGTGAGCATGTAAAATCAAAAGCAAGTTACATACTTCCTAGATACAATGAGGGTAGAGGAATTGGGTAAATACACCTGTTCCGAATACACCTGGCCAGACTAAAAGGCTACAGGCCCCATGCAAGTCCAAAATCCAGCAGGGCAGTTAAATAAAGCTCCAAAATGATCTCCTTTGACTCCATGTCTCACATCCAGGGCATGCTGATGAAAGAGATGGGTTCCCATGGTCTTGAGCAGCTCTACCCCTGCAGCTTTGCAGGGTATAGCCCCACTCTTGGCTGCTTTCATGGGCTGGTGTTGAGTGTCAGTGGCTTTTCTAGGTATACAGTGCAAGCTGTTGGTGGATCTACCATTCTGGGGTATGGAAGACAGTGGGTCTCTTCTCACAGCTCCACTAGTCAGTGCCCCAGTGGGGATTCCATGGGGGTGCTCTAACCCCACATTTCCCTTCCACACTGCTCTAGCAGAGATTCTCCTTGAGGGCCCCACTCCTGCAGCAAACTTCTGCGTGGACATCCAGGCATTTCCATAGATCCTCTGAAATCTAGGTGGAGGTTCCCAAACCTCAATTGTTGAATTCTGTGTACCCACAGGCTCAACGCCACATGGAAGCTTCCAAGGCTTGGGGCTTGCACCCTCTGAAACCATGGTCAGAACTGTACCTTGTCCCCTTTTAGCCATGGTTGGGGCAGCTGGGATGTAGGGCACCAAGTCCCTAGGCTGCACATAGCAGCAGTCCCTGGACCTGGCCCAAGAAACCATTTTTTCTTCCTAGACCTCTGGGTCTGTGATGAGAGGGGCTGGCATGAAGTTCTCTGACAGGCCCTGGAGACATTTTCCCCATTGTCTTGGTTATTAGCCTTTGGCCCCTCATTACTTATGCAAATTTCTGCAGCTTGCTTGAGTTTCTTCCCAGAAAATGGGTTTTTCTTTTCTATTGCATCATCAGGTTGCAAATTTTTCAAAGTTTTTATGCTCTGCTTTCTTTTGAACACTTTGCCACTTAGACATTTTTTTCCACCAGATACCCTAAATCATCTCTCTCAATTTCAAAGTTCCACAGATCTCTAGGGCAAGGGCAAAATGCAACCAGTCTCTTTGCTAAGCATAATAAGAGTTACTTTTCTTCAGTTTCCAACAAGTGCCTCATCTCCTCTTGAGACCACCTCAGCCTGGACTTTATTGTCCATACTATCAGCATTTTGGTCAAAGCCATTCAACAAGTCTCTAGGAAGTTCTAAACTTTCACACATTTTCCTGTCTTCTGAACCCTCCAAGTCTCTAGGAAATTTCAAACATTTTCCTATCTTCTTCTGAGCCCTCCAAACTATTCCAACCTCTGCCTGTTTGTTACCTAGTTCAAGTCACTTCCACATTTTCAGGTATCTTTACAGCAGCGTAACTGCTCAATGGGTTCACTTTGCACACTGCCTAGAGAGAGCCGATTTATCAAGACAGGGGAATCGCAATAGAGAAAGAGTAATTCATGCAAAGCTGCTGTGCAGGAGACTGGAGTTTTATTATTACTCAAACCTTTCTCCCAGAACATTTGGGGATCAGAGTTTTTAAGAACAACTTGGTGGGTGGGGGAAAGCCAGTGAGCCAGGAGTGCTGATAGGTCAGGGATGAAATGATTGGGAGTTGAAGCTGTCTTCTTACACTGACTCAGTTCCTGGGTGAAGGAGGGAGCACAAGATCAGATGAGCCAGTTTATCCATTTGGGTGGTGCCAGCTGATCCATCAAGTACAGGGTCTGTAAAATATCTCAAGCACTGCTCTTAGGAGCAGTTTAGGGAGGGTCAGAATCTTGTAGCCTCCAGCTGCATGATTCCTAAACCATAATTTCTAATTCTGTGGCTAATGTTAGTGCTACAAAGCCAATCTAGTCACTGGGCAAGAAGGAGGTTTGCTTTGGGAAAGAGATGTTATCATCTTTGTTTTAAACTGTAAACTGAGTTTCTCCCAAAGTTAGTTTAGCCTACGCCCAGGAATGAACAAAGACAGCGTGCAGGTTAGAAGCAAGATGGAGCTGATTAAATTAGATCTTTCACTGTCTTAGTCATAATTTTGCAAAGGCACTTTCATCAGCACCCCACACTACTGGTACCAATTTACTGTATTAGTCTGTTCTCACACTGTCATACCTGAGATTGGGTAATTTATAAAGGAAAGAGGCTTAAGTGACTCAGAGTTCCACATGGCTGGGGAAGCCTCACAATCTCGGTGGAAAGCAAAAGAGGAGCAAAGTCCCGTCTTACCTGGCGGCAGGCAAGAGAGCTAGTGCCCCTTTATAAAATCATCACATCTCATGAGACTTATTCACTATCATGAGAACACCACGGGAAAGACTCGCCCCCTGATTCAATCGCCTCCCACCGGCTTCCTCCCACAACACATGGAAATTATGGGAGCTAAATTTCAAGATGGTATTTGGGTAGGGACACAGCCAACCATATCACTTGTTTTTTTTCTTCTTATTATTATTGATTAATTCTTTTCTTTTTCCTCTATTTCTGTTTCTTCTCCTCCTTCTCCCTCACCCGTGCCCCCTCTTTCTCTCTCTTCCCCATTTCCTTTCTCCTCTCCTCTCCTCTCTCCTCTTTCTTTTCCCTTCTTCTTTGCCCCTTTCCTTTCTTCCTCCCTTCCATCCCTCTTCTCTGGTTCTATTTTTGGTGCTGTTTCAACATTAGGTGCTGAGACTTAGCTTAATAATATCCTCCTATGATTTTTTTTAAATTTACAGTTTGGCCTATTCTTTCCCAAACTTTCCTTTAACAGTGTTTAAGGTTTTTGGTTTTTTTTTAACTGTAAATGAAAACTTTTTAGATAATATATTGTTGAATATCATATTTCTCACCAGTTTGAGAGTATTAATTGATGGGTTAAACTTATTTATATCTATTGTAAGTACAGCTACACAATCATTCAATCATACTACATTGTTTCTCATTTGTTCCACTTAGTGTATTTACATTACTTCCTTTTCTAATTTTTATTGCATAGATCAATTTTTCTTCTGCTAATTTTAAAGTTATGCACTAAATTTATTTTTTATTATTCCCCCTAATATAAGCCAGACTTATGTTCATTTACAACTATTCATTTAATAACTTATCAATATTTCTATCCTTCCAGGAAAACTTATGTATTTCTTTAGGTCCATTTGTTTCTTCTATTTATTCCCAAGCTTTCATTACGTCTACATTGTGTTAAGATTTTTGTTCTACAATGTTATTTTTCTTTTAATTTTTATACTCCCCTGTGGCACTTCATCCAATGACAAACATTCATTTATCTCATAAAATGAGTAGTGTGTCTATGTGTGTATTAGAGTCACATTAAACATTTATATAAATTTTAGCTCTAGACATTGATCCTGAACATCAAACCTCCATATTCCTAGGCAACTAAAATTTAAAGTGCCCCAGATTAATTTATTCACATTTCTGTCTATATGTGCTCATTCTTTATTTTCTAAGCTCTCCACACTTATTCAGACTACAATCCATCCACAGGCCACATAGATAGACACTAACTCACAGCTACAGATATTTTCCCACTTCCCACAAGAAATCTTGACATATATCATCTGTTCTCTGAACTACTGGGATATACTTTTAATTAGTCTTCATGATTCAAGTTTTTTAAAACTCTTATACAACCTTCAGATTACTTGCTGAATGATTTGATAGAGTAGCATTTGATAATATAATCACAGCTTCAACAAATGTTAGTAAATAAATTTTTTTCACCTTTAACAGGCCTCTCCCGCGTCATAATCTCACTCTCCTCCTGTAAACTCATGCACTTTATCTAAGTCAATTTGTCACCATTGTTTAAATAGACTATATTCATGTATGTCTCCTGTGTTTATTTTCCCTTTTGTCTACCTTCCTCTACTTGTTTATCTAAAAAATTACATACCCTTCTACATTTAGGTTAATCATCACTTTTTCTAAAAAACTTCACAGTAGAGCACCATAGAAGCAGACTTGTTCCTTCTTTTACACTTAGCACTTTGCTAATGCCCCTTTCTTAACCCTCATTTCAATATATTGTGCTTATCCGTATTTTAGTTTGTTTCCCTAAGCTACAGCATGAACATCTCTAGGACAGGAACAATGCCCTAGTCATTTATTTTTGTAGTGTCACTTTCAATGCCTGGTAGAATTTCTTCAACGAGTTAACAGATGCTGAGATGTGTTACTGTTCTGAAAGATAATGCATGCTAAAGCAACATAAGGTATTGTGTTAGGTGTTAGTGCAAAGTGATATAATGGAAAATGCATGTATTTTAGATCCAAACAGACTTCCACAAGTTTTATATTTTATTATGTTTAAATTGAAAATGAATTTAAAGACACTAGATTAATTTAATGTATATTTATCCTGTATAATTGTGCCATGCTAAGAACTGTTAAGAATAAAAGGAAAAAAATCATACAATTCTTTTCTGACCACTTTTAGTTGAAAGGCTTGAGAATAAGGCATCTATGGCATATTATATTCCCCAGGAAGATGCTTCCTAGACAAAGATTAGTTTGCAAATGATTTGTTAAGAAGTGTTCACTTAGGAACATCACCTGCAAAAGGGATGAGAGGAAAACAATTAGGTATAGAAAAATAGTGACCTAAAATGCAGTCATACCCTAGGGGCTTAGTTTAATTCAAAGTGAGTTCTCAGTTTGGGAAGGCACTACAGAGTTATTCCAAGCTAGAGAAAGAGGTCTGGGTCTTTATATTTCTGATAGTGCCTAATTGTTGGATGGAGGCTGCCCAAAAGGTTGGGTTAATCTTGAGTGAGATAATTGTCTCCAATGACTGCTAACAGCTGAGAGCTACCTTCTGGCAGCACTCTAAAAACCTGGGAGAATATGTTTTTAAAGGAGGGTCTAGATGGTGGTGGTATATCAAAACATGCAGCCTGTTCACCCTGAAGGTATACATATATATAACAGATTTTTGGAGATGCTTACAGGCCAATTTTCCTGGATAAAACAAAACATAATAGAAAATTAGTGAAAGAAACCTCAGCCTCTTGCTGGTTTTGAGGCCACAATTTGTACTCATTATATTTCTCCTCTATTCTTATTCTATATTTTGTTCTGCCTTGGCTAGCACATCTGCTGAGCCCAGTGACACAATGTACACCTCATTCTTGAGTAATATGAGCCAACATTTATAATGCCCTTCTTAGATCACTGCTGCTGCACTTGTCCATTTACCATCAAAATTAGCAGATAATACCAATATATGCCCAGGTGATTTGCCTGAGTGTCAAACATATTGCCCCATGAGACCATTGTTTAGCAGCAGATCAACCCCTTTCTGATTGTCAGAGTCATCAGATTACACTGTGGGTGAAATTTGGGTCTGCTACTTGGTTGAGTTGTCACTACTCCACTCTCATTAAAAAAAAACAAAAAAAAACAGGCTAAGACTGTTACATTAAATGGAGATATAATGGGTACCATCAGTTATTGGGATGCAATACTGCATGTGGTTTATATTTTTGCCAAAGTACAGGGAAGTTTCAGAAAATTCTACTTGGGTTTCTCTATTGGATTAGTCCATTTTCACACTGCTATAAAGAACTGTCCAAGACTGGGTTTAATTAACTCACAGTTCCACATGTCTTGGAAGGCATCAGGAAACTTACAATCATGGCAGGATGTGAAGGCAGAGCAAGGACCTTCTTCACAAGACAGCAAGAGAGAAAAGTGAGGGCACAGGAAAAATATGCCACTTTAAATACCATCAGATCTCATGAGAATTCACTCACTATCACAAGAGCAGCATGGGGGTAACCACCCCATGATCCAATCACCTCCCACCAGGTCCCATCCTTGACATGTGGGGATTATGGGAACCATAATTGAAGATGAGATTTGGGTGACACAGAGCCAAACCATATTAGTCCACTCCTGGCTCTCCCCAAATCTTATGTCCCCACATTTCAAAACACAATCATGCCTTCCCAATCATCCCCCAAAGTATTAACTCATTCCAGCCTTAACCCAAAAATCCAGGTCCAAAGTCTCATCTGAGACACGGCAAGCCTCTTCAGTCTATGAGCCAGTAAAATAAAATACAAGTTAGTTGTTTCCAAGACACAATTGGGATACAGGCATTGGGTAAATATTCCAATTCCAAATGAAATAAATTGGCCAAAACAAAGGGGCTACAGGCCCCCATACAAGTCTGAAATCCAGCAAGACAGACATTAAAGCTTTAAAATGATCTCCTGTGACTCCATGTCTCAAATCCAGAGCATGCTGATGCAAGAGGTGGACTTCCACGGTCTTGGGCAGCTCCGCCTCTGTGGGTTTGCAGGGTAGAGCCCCACTTCCAATACCTATTTACTGTATTAGTCTGTTTTCACACTGCTATAAAGAACTGCCTAAGACTAGGTAATTTATAAAGAAAAGAGAGTTAATTGACTCACAATTCCACATGGCTGGAGAGGCCTCAGGAAACTTATAATCACGGTGGAAGATGAAGAGGAAGCAAAGACCTTCTTCACATGATGGCAGGAGAGAGAAGTGAGGGCGCATGAAAAAACTGCCCCTTTGAAAACCACCAGATCTCATGAGAATTCACTCATTATCACGAGAACAGCATGGGAGATACTTCCCCCATGATCCAGTCACCTCTTACCAGTTCCCACCCTCGACACTTGGGAATTATGGGAATTACAATTCAATATGAGATTTGGTTGGGGATATAGAGCCAAACCATACAATCCATCATTACAACTCTTACTCTAAAGGCATAAGAATCAACGTGCAGAATATAGCAACTACTAACTGTGTCTATTCCAAGTATATATTAAGGAATTGGGAATATATCTACTGGTGAAGGATACATACATTGACAAGTGGTCCCACTGTGGGCTGATCTGTGAACAGACTGTTTATTAAACTAGTTTTGATACCTTCATTGTTATACTTCAAGTTTCTGGGTATCATTACCACTTAAAATTCTATGCATAAAAGTCTTGAAATGTTTGAGTCCTCCCTTTTCTTTAGTTGATGGTTACTTAAACATAATACCATAAGTCGTTTGGAGAAGGACTTGAAGGTATCATTATTTCCATTGTATTATTGGGTCCCTCTTCCAAAAACCCAGCCTCATCTTCAGTCTGTGGCTTCTGAATCTAAAATCACCTCTGTACAGAAGCTGACAAAAGCATGATCCTTCTGATCATCTATCCTTGATGTATTTGGTTGTACAGAAAAAGCAATACCCTTATTGGATGCTCTTCAAATTTACATCTAGGGAAGCCATGCTCCATTAACCACTTCATAACTCTCAGCAAGTCAGGTCTCCTTTGATATTACTCTAGTCTTAACTCTCATATGATAACTGTATCTACCTGGTTCCTTTCATGTAAATGCCACCTCCTGGTCTTTGTTTTGGTGTTGTATTATCACCATTGCTGTTAGTGAGCCCAGTTCTATAGTGGTATATCCTACAAGCAGTCATGGCCTATGGAAGGGAGCTGTCATTGAATTTCTTAATGACGCTGGAGTTCATACTGCCAACACATTCTTAATTACTTTGGTAAATAGTTTATCCCTGCCACACCAACGGAACGCAGTAATCTGAGGGCTGTGTGTGTGTGTGTGTGTGTTTCTGTGTGTTTCAGGCTTACATGGTATTTCCACTCTAGAATACCTATTTACTTAAGCCTTGTAATCCTGTTTTGCATAAGCTATCAGAAGCAGCATTTCTACCTTACTTAGTGTGGGTTATCAGTCTTTCCATGTTTTTATAAGACATCCTCCTTTCATGTTTTTATTATTTACTAGGAGTCTGAGAACTGAGATAACACTCCAAAATTGATCAATACTTTCCTATGTAGTTTTTTTTATTATAATTTAAGTTCTAGGGTATATGTGCACAATGTGCAGGTGTGTTACATATGTATACACGTGCCATGTTGGCGTGCTGCACCCATTAATTCATCATTTACATTAGGTATATCTCCTAATGCTATCCCTCCCCACTCCTCCCACCCCATGACAGACCCTGGATGTGTGATGTTCCACATCCTGTGTCCAAGAGTTCTCATTGTTCAATTCCCACCTATAAATGAGAACATGCAGTGTTTGGTTTTCTATCCTTGAAATAGTTTGCTCAGAATGATGGTTTCTAGCTTCATCCATGTCCCTACAAAGGACATGAACTCATCCTTTTTTTTATGTCTGCATAGTATTTCATGGTGTGTATGTGCCACATTTTCTTAATCCAGTCTATCATGGATGGACATTTAAGTTGGTTCCAAGTCTTTGCTATTGTGAATAGTGCCGCAATAAACATACGTGTGCATGTGTCTTTATAGCAGCATGATTTATAATCCTTTGGGTATGTACCCAGTAATGGGATGGCTGGGTCAAATGGTATTTCTAGTTCTAGATCCTTGAGGAATTGCCACACTGTCTTCCACAATGGTTGAACTAGTTTACAGTCCCACCAACAGTGTAAAAGTGTTCCTATTTCTCCACATCCTCTCCAGCACCTGTTGTTTCCTGACTTTTTAATGATCACCATTGTAACTGGTGTGAGATGGTGTCTCATTGTGGTTTTCATTTGCATTTATCTGATGGCCAGTGATGATGAGCATTTTTTCATGTGTCTTTTGGCTGCATAAATGTCTTCTTTTGAGAAGTGTCTGTTCATATCCTTCACCCACTTTTTGATGGGGTTGTTTGATTATTTTTTTGTAAATTTGTTTAAGTTCTTTGTAGATTCTGGATATTAGCCCTTTGTCAGATGGGTAGATTGTAAAAATTGTCTCCCATTCTGTAGGTTTCCCATTCATTCTGATGGTAGTTTCTTTTGCTGTGCAGAAGCTCTTTAGTTTAATTAGATCCCATTTGTCAATTTTGGCTTTTGTTGTCATTGCTTTTGGTGTTTCAGTCATGAAGTCCTTGTCCATGCCTACATCCTGAATGGTATTGCCTAAGTTTCCTTCTAGGGTTTTTATGGTTTTAGGTCTAACATTTAAGTCTTTAGTCCATCTTGAATTAATTTTTGTATAAAGTGAAAGGAAGGGATCCAGTTTCAGCTTTCTACATATGGCTAGCCAGTTTCCCAGCACCATTTATTAAATAGGGAATTGTTTCCCCATTTCTTGTTTTTGTCAGGTTTGTCAAAGATCAGATGGTTGTAGATGCATGGTATTATTTCTGAGGGCTCTGTTCTGTTCCATTGGTCTATATCTCGGTTTTGGTACCAGTACCACGCTGTTTTGGTTACTGTAGCCTTGTAGTACAGTTTGAAGTCAGGTAGTGTGATGCCTCCAGCTTTGTTCTTTTGGCTTCGGTTTGTCTTGGCAATGCGGGCTCTTTTTTGGTTCCATATGAACTTTAAGGTAGTTTTTTCCAATTCTGTGAAGAAAGTCATTGGTAGTTTGATGGGGATGACATTGAATCTATAAATCACCTAGGGCAGTATGGCCATTCATCCTGATACCAAAGCCTGGCAGAGACACAACAAAAAAAGAGAATTTTAGACCAACATCCCTGATGAACATCGATGCAAAAATTCTCAATAAAATACTGGCAAACCAAATCCAGCAGCACATCAAAAAGCTTATCCGCCACGATCAAGTGGGCTTCATCCCTGGGATGCAAGGCTGGTTCAACATACGCAAATCAATAAACATAATCCATCATATAAACAGAACCAAAGACAAAAACCACCTGATTATCTCAATAGATGCAGAAAAGGCCTTCGACAAAATTCAACAGCCCTTCATGCTAAAAACTCTCAATAAATTAGGTATTGATGGGACGTATCTCAAAATAATAAGAGCTATCTATGACAAACCCACAGCCAATATCATACTGAATGGGCAAAAACTGGAAGCATTCCCTTTGAAAACTGGCACAAGACAGGGATGCCCTCTCTCACCACTCCTATTCAACATAGTGTTGGAAATTCTGGCCAGGGCAATAGGCAGGAGAAAGAAATAAAGGGTATTCAATTAGGAAAAGAGGAAGTCAAATTGTCCCTGTTTGCAGACGACATGATTGTATATCTAGAAAACCCCATTGTCTCAGCCCAAAATCTCCTTAAGCTGATAAGCAACTTTAGCAAAGTCTCAGGATACAAAATCAATGTGCAAAAATCACAAGCATTCTTATACACCAATAACAGACAAACAGAGAGCCAAATCATGAGTGAACTCCCATTCACAATTGCTTCCAAGAGAATAGAATACCTAGGAATGTGTAAACACATTGTGAGGGTGGAATACTTTGTAGTATGAAGGGGAGGTCTCTAAGTCATCTTGATGCAGAGGAGGCAGCCCTTAACAGGAATGTGTTGGTCATATCTGCGGACGATGTTGAAATATAAGGGGATATGGGTTTACAATATTTTTAGATGTAATAATCCAGATGCTTTTACTCCATGAGAGTTTCATTCTTTCCTGGTCTGAGTTTTTATGTGGTTATAGCAGACCTGCTTAGTTTGAGAGTTTAAGTTTTTTTACAGCTCTCTTCTACTCTTATGATTGAGACTTTGATTTGGTCCTCAACATTCTTTGCCCCTAGCTGCAGTAAATGAGATCCTCTTTACATGCTACTTGCATTCATGCCCTGGCATTCATGCTTAGCTTTTAATTTCAGATTAATCAATCCTATTTTTATCTTTTTCTTCAAGGCATACTTCAAGTTTAGCAAAGCTACTCAATTCCACTCTCCTTATAACTACTATGTCTCCAATATTTCTCAAATATTTAACACATCACACCACATCATCTAGTGCATTTCTCTTCTACTGAGTGTATACCATTCTTTTCTACCTGAGTGTATACCATCCCTCCGCCACTGAAGATTTTAAAAATTGCACTGTTCCCTTGTGCCAGGGCGGCCTTTACTTATTTATCACCATTGATGGTGTCCTCGTTTTTTTGTTTGTTTGTTTGTTTTGTTTGTTTTGTTTTGTTTTGTTTTGTTTTGTTTTGTTTTTTGAGACGGAGTCTCGCTCTGTCGCCCAGGCTAGAGTGCAGTGGTGTGATCTCGGCTCACTGCAAGCTCCGCCTCCCAGGCTCACGCCATTCTCCTGCCTCAGCCTCCTGAGTAGCTGGGACTACAGGCACCCACCACCACGCCAGGCTAATTTTTTGTATTTAGTATCTGTATTTGTATTTAGTAGAGACGGGGTTTCACCGTGTTAGCCAGGATTGTCTCGATCTCCTGACCTTGTGATCTGCCCTGCTTGGCCTCCCAAAGTGCTGGGATTACAGGCGTGAGCCACCGCGCCTGGCCGATGTCCTGGTTTTCAACAGGGCAGTGGATAATCCAACTGCAAAATCTCATTTTAGCATCTGCTTTCTGAGACCAGTTCAGATACCAGCCCTTTTTGTCAGGTTCCAGAGGAAGAAGGGCCTGATATGGGAATTAGCATGCAAAAGATTTATTGGGAGACTATTTTTGAGAATAATCCCCTAATAAATGAAAACTGCTTCCTCTGCCCAATCTTGCTTCCTGTCCTTCCTGTAAAAGACAAGGAAAGGGAAGAAAAGAAAACAAGATTGGGCAAAGGGAGCAGTTTTCATTCTCAATGAATTCTTTTCTCAGTTGATGGTGTCTGTATCTGGAGGGCCCCTCAGATCTATAAGGGGCCACAGAAAGGGCTTGAATCTTTATAAACCTGCATGAATCAGTTATTCATGTACATGCCGTCTCTTAGGAATTCATGAGATAAAGACAATTACCTCATCCAACATCACTTTGCCCTCTCAGGGCAAAATTGTGCAGCACAGTTCTCTGTTGTGCTGTCTAATGTGTTGCAGATGTTTACAAGCATCCCTGGCCTCTACTCACTAGATGTCAGTAGCACCCTCCCCTAGTTCAAGAATTACACTGTTACCTTGTGTCAGGGGCTGCCTGTACTATACCTCAGCAGTGATGGCATCCTTCTTTCCATCTGGGCAGTGAGTAATCCAATTAGATTAATTAAATGATTAGACTAAGTACATAATGTATATTTTCCCTCAAGTGGTATCAAGAACAAATGGAATGCTAAATTTAGCTAATTGGTAAATTTCACATATTTTATACCATTTGGACATGGGAGATTGGGAGTTAAATAAAGTTTGAAAGAATAATTTAGGCTAACATCCAGGGTGATCCCCCTATCACCAAGGACCCTTTAGGACAAAGAGAAGATTAGAACTGCTGTCCTAAGCATTTAACATGACAATGGCAAGCTGTTGTAGTGTATATATCAGTGCGTGTGTTATGCATTAGAAAAAGGCTTTGCAAACTACTACATGCTCATAATAAAAACGTAGTGGAAAGATGATAGAAACACAAGTTTGAAATACTACGGAGCTGCTGACTAGCTCAGTGACCTTGGTCATTTCACTCACTCACTGAGCTTTTCCTCACTCTTATTTGAATATGATTCAAACCTTACAGTGTTAATATTTTTGTGCATATGTGAGTGCATTCATAAATGTCTGAAATTTAAAAGAAATTTAACTTATATATGTATATAAAATATGTACATATATATAAAAATATCTATGCCTGGCCTGTAGTGGTTACTCAAATGACAGATGAATTTTAATGACTAGCACTCAGCCCTACCTAAAAAGACAAGAACATCTTGCAAGTAATTGCTTCTGTCTTCTAAGATAACTGCTGCTGTTTGGCAACACAGTAGGGACTCCCAGTAGAAGCAACCTTGCTCTCATTGCATCTGCTCCAGAGAAATCAGGAAATAATTACCTTTTTATTTGGAGACATGATTCAGCAGCCTTCCCCGTGGCTGTAGAGAGATAAACTGGGCCAAAGAGAATAACCTGGATTTTATTCTGCCTTGATTACTCCTGTTGCAGGGATAATTAGAGTTCAGGGCGGGAAGTACCACAGCTGATTAAAGAGAGGACCTTGGGCACATCAACTCTCAAATATCTTGATTACAGAAATTGGAGGCTCCCATTCCATGTTCGTGAATACCGTGAAAATGTGACATCCTGCATTGCCAAGGTAGCTATCTGAATTCTATGAATACAAGGAGAAATAGGGTTTTAATGATCAGCGGCAATGTCAAGGACTGGAATCATGACAGGAACAAGTACTGCTTCCTAAAACACAGTGCAAATGATTTATAGTTGAAAATGGCAATAATTTCAATTTATATTGATGAAAATAGAATTCTTTTAGAAAGTCTCTATTTAAAAAAAAATATGCCTCTTTCAGTGATGATAGCTACATGACTACCCCATATTACCAGTTGAAAATTAACATTAAAATACCTTTCACCTACATAATTTTTGGAATGGATGTGGAAAATATTCAGATTATCAAAGATTGTAAACACTTCAATTGTAATGCTTTTTTTTTTTAACTTGGCTAGTTTCTTATACTTAAAAAAATAAAAACACACTTAAAACTGTCTACATTTTATAAACATTAATTAGGTAAATGGGGAGGCATAAGAATAGTGGAAGGCTTCGGACAGAAAGATTCAGTGCTCTTAGTAAATGTCAGTAAGGTATAATGAGAGGAGAGCAGTGTTACAATTGAGAGCACCTAGTTTCAAATCTTCAGCACAATACACTAGCTATCTGGAATTACACAAATCATTGTATCCCTTTGAATTTTACTGTCCTACTCAAAAAGTTGAGATGAAAAATAGATCTATTGGTTAAAAGTTTCTAGAAGTTTTCATGTCATTGTAAATGTAATATGCTATGTAGATTATTTTAAAGCACAGCGAAACTATTCAACATTTTCATTAACAACATTAGCTAAAATGTAATTAATTTATCAAGGAATAAATAAAATATGTTAAACCCAGTGTGAAGTCCACAGTAGGTCTTCAGTAATGGTGATAAATGAAAGTTGTATTGAATATGTTATTTATTGTCTTTATTTTTCATTAAAAAATCTGCTAAATGTTGAATGACGAGTACTTAATTCAATTCATGTAAACAAAGTTAACTGGTCAAATAAACATTAAAAATATTAAGTGATATTGATGCTGGTAATATTTGCTCGATGTTTGTAGTGGTAATATATGTCGTAGTAATAATACAAATTTATATTAAATTAATGCCTTCTTACGAGAACTCAATTCAACATTTAGAATGAGTCAATCAAAAAATAACCTGGGATTTTATCTATCATGGTTTATCAGATATTGTTTGTTTTATACAGGAATATATATATGTATATATATATAAAATTCTGGGAAAGAGAAGAATCTTGATTTTATTCTCTTTGATTTCCCCTGCTGCAAAGATAATGTGAGTTTAGGGTACTGTGTATATATTTTATTATAAATTACAGAGTCATGAGCTATGTATAAAATTTTTTAGAAAGGAAAAAGTAGTGCATAGCATAAAATGTACATATACAATTATTTTATATGTAATTTATAGTTACATATAATTGCTAATACATACACAGTTAAAGCCATTTCATAGTCTAGCTCTGTTGTTAGTAGAAAAGTGATAGGTGATCATAGCTACAAATACGTCCATAATTTTCACAAATAATAAAGGGGGAAATTGAGAATTTTTATTGCAATCTCATGATGAGACATTGGGAGTAAACGAAGACAGAAGGAAAGATAAAAGCTACGCAGAGAAGTGCTTTTGGGTAGAAAAAGATACTATGCAGAGAAGTACTTTTATGCATAAAGTGCTTTTATGCACTGTGTCATCAGTTCTTAAAAGGGGGCCTTGTACGTAGGTGCTTACTGAGTGGTTCTTTAATGAATAACCAATGCAAGATCCAATGCAGCCATTAAGAGTAAAGAACAGTTTCACTTACTTACATTATCTCATTTAAGTCTCTCAAAATCTTGTCACATAAGAAAGTGTGTTTTTATAATTTAAAAGGAGAAGATGTGAGGAATATTATGCAGATTTGATCTGTTTTTTGTACTGTAATGTTAGTTATTCCATAAGTATCAAATGGCACTTACCACTCATTAATGATATATTTGTAATTTTTGTTACTTCTAGGGATTAAGACTAACTACATAGATTCTTCTTTAATGCTTGCTAAATTTAAGTTGTGTATTCATATTCTGGGACATGAGACAAATATAACCCACCCCAGGGAGCCTCATTTTCTGATTTGTTTTTCTCTTTTGTGTTTATATCTATATTAGCCCTTTTTATATTGTGGTGCAATCAAATATTCAAATATCTTTAGCCCTAATTTAAGTCAGAGCAACATGAGATGGCAGGAAAAAAAGAATATGTTAAATGATAGTTGATTCTACCTGAAAAAGCATAAATGTTTCTCTTATTAAAAATAAAATAAATTAAAATTGATTAATTTTTAAAAAAATTTTGTTTGGTTCTCTGTTTTAATTTGTTAAGAGTAAATGAATATATTTATTGGCATTTTATATCTAAGAAGTTTGATTTTGGTTATCTAGCATGTAAGTGTGGTATCTTCTAATATTTTATATCCTCTGTTTTATTTGTGGCTTTGTAGATTTCATTAATCTGAATTAAATTGATCATTTGAGCAAGTGCTTTACCAGTGACTCCTTTCACACTTCTAGAAGGGTTTTAATTAGAATAACCTTTCATAGCATTTTTAGTCTAGTAACTTCAAGCCTCATAATATATTCACTCCACATAAAAACAATTATCAATAGAGTCCACAGGATGATTTAACATGCCACACACACCTCTTGTTCTTCACAATGATATGTATGTAATACAGTCAGACCCACCTCTTCATTACTTCCAAAGAGCCAACTTTGTCCAGTCTAAAAAATAATAGCTCTTTCTGATATTTTTTTCAAGGGAAAACCTATTCTTGGGACTTTTTTCCACTTTTCTTTCAGTTTTTCTTTGAATTTTCTCTTCTGTCACGTTTTCAAAATGCCATTATTCATGATTTATCACTGTCTTTAAGTATCATTATAGGAATTAAATATCTTTTTACTTTTATAGTTTCAAGACTTTTGTTGAACTTATTCAACTAGCACTAAATATTTTTATTCATTTTAAAGAAAATTATTTCAGAAAATTGTCTACATTAATTGTCTAAATGGTTTTATCATGGTGAAATATATATATAATAACATAAAATTTGTCATTTTAATCATTTTAAAATATTCAGCTCAGTGGCATTTTATATTCATATTGCTGTGCAACCATCATCACTATCTATTCTAAAACATTTTTATCACTTCCAACAGAAACTCTGCACCCATTAAGTAATAACTTCTATTTCCCTCTCCCCCAGCCCCTGGGAACTTCTCTATGAATTTTCTTATTGCAAATATTTCGAGTAAGTGGAATGTTACATCATTTATTCTTATGTGTCTCATTTCTTTTAGTTAGTATAATTTATCCAAGGTTGACCCATATTGTAGCATATATCAGAACTTTTTTGTGACTGAATAATATTACTTTATGTCTATTTAACACATTTAGTGTATCCATTCATCTGTTGATGGATATTGGTTGTCTCCAATTATTTCTATTTTATTTTTATTTTAAGTTCTGGGGTACATGTGCAGGATGTGGGGTACATGTGCAGGATGTGCAGATTTGTTGCATAGGTAAACATGTGCCATCGTGGTTTGCTGCACCTATCAACCCATGGCCTATGTATTAAGCCCAGCATGCATTACCTATTTTTTCTAATGCTCTTTCTACCCCCACTCCACACCCCCAACACTCTGAATCTTTTTGAATACTTTACATAAAGCTTTTGTTTCCAATACCTCAAGGAAATTAATGTTATCAAGGTCCTCAGTGATATTCATATATTTAAATTGAATGGTTGATTATCAATCCAAGTATTGTTTGATATATAAATGGCATTTTACAGGACTGAGTACATTTACCTACGTGAAATGCCTTCACTAGATTACCAAAAATTACTGAAGAGATTTAGGAGGTAGGATGGCCCTTGTGCAGATTCTGTGTAGAAACTGAGACCCTCCCCCTTGAAAATACCAGAGAGGATTTCCACAGAAGCTCTAATCAACTATTTATATTGTTTTATTTTTCTGGGTTAGATGACGTGCCCATTCTTGATTCAAATACAGAAAGGGAAGATGTAATCATTCTAATTTTCTCCAACTATTCTCTGGAGCCGAGAGTAGACTCAGTAGCTGCTGAATAAGATGCACAGACTTGTGAAAATGGTGAATATTCAAGACCTTTCTGTTTGAAAAGAGAGAGGGATTCTGTTTGGAAGGAGAAAAACAAGAATGATACTGGATTGGCAGCTAACAATATCCACTGTATGCCTGAAAGCATATCCATAGAATATTTTTTAAAAATATCATTTCTACCTCAAGTACTAGTATTTGACTCTAAGAAATGTACTTATGTGCTTATTTAAACATTAAACCAGCATAAAATTAGAATATTTTCTAAATTTTCTCCATGAAGGTTCATATTGAATAGAAAAAGCTATTGTTTTCTTCTTTTCCATTACAGAGCATGACCATTTAAATGTTTGAACTTTTTCCTTGACATGCACTTTAAAACAGAAGTGATATGCATTTATCTTCATGATGATTTTAGGTGAGATTTAATAGCTAGCCATACAAATAAACCCTGCAGGTGGTAAGCAATGGTCCATGCATGAAACAAGCATCCCAATTTCCAAAAGGCTATCGATTAAATGAAAATGACTATTGAACTGATCTTCTGCTACCAAAATGTTAATTAAAATTTCATTACTATTCATCAGCCACTCATACTGTAGCTCTGGGATAATGGTGATGCAGGATCTCAGTATATTATAATCTTAGTGATATATTTTTATATCATCACCATAAGAAACATTGTGTTACTCCAGAATATTTGAGATTTCTCACTGCCTGAGGCATGTATTTATTTCATATCTTTTTATTTTAGTTTATTCTGTTCAATCCTCTTCTCAATCCATCCACCTGTACCTGATGCGTGTGTCTCTGATACTAGGCCACAGACAAATGTTCACCCAGGATTGGCCTTGAAAATAAAACATGATGTTTGTGTCATAATCATAGCTCATATCTGACTTCATACTTGGTACAGCTAATTTTACTCCTTTTTCCTTGTGTAAATGCCAGATCCTGATGAGTTTTAAATTTTAAAAAATCCTCTTTCCTATGTAATTATAAACTATTTCATTGTTTAAACCTTATAGTATCATGAATTTAGTACTATTTTTTTTTCTGGAAATATTTGGCATATGAACCTCTCTCACTTATGAGCAGCATATTTGTTAATTGAGATTATTGTAGATTCACTTGTGGTAGAAGGAATGATACAGAGAGATCCCTTGTATACTTCATCCAGTTCCGCCTAATGGTGACATTTTGCGTAACCATAGCATAATAGCATAACCAGGATATTAATATCAATAAAATCCATTGATCTAATTCAGACTTACCCAGTTTTACTTACACACACATATGTGTGTATTAAATCTGATACAATTTTAAGATGAGTAGGTGTGTTTATCCACAAATAGGAGTAAAAATGCTAAACACTAACAACAATGTCAGGTTCCTTTCTATTCTTTGATAACCATACACACCTCCCACCATTTCTCCCACTCATTTCTAAACGTTGCCACTAAACTTATCTTCTATTTCTAAAATTTCATCATGAATAGAACAATACAGAATATAAACTTTGGGGATTAGTATTTTTTTACTTTGTGTGATTCTCTGGAGACTTGCCTAAGTTGATATGTACATAAATGATCGATTCCTTTTTATTGTTAAGTAGTATTCCATGGTGCATATGTACTGCCATTTGTTTGACCATTCACCTACTGAAGTACATCTTGATTGAGCCGAGGTTTTGCTATTATGAATACATCTGCTATAAATATTTGTTGTATAGGCTTTTGTGAACAGAGCTTTCTCCCCACTCTTAGAGAAATTCACAAGAGTACAACTTGCTAGGTTGAATAATAGTTGTATACCTTTTTTATTACCAAGCTCCAAGCTGTTTTCTACAGCGGCTGTATCATTTTACATTTTCACAGGAAATATATGAGTGATTTAGTTTTTCTATGGAAATGGCAATATTTGCTGCTGTCACTTTTTTGTTAATTTTAACCATTGTAATAGATGTGTAGTATTAGGTAATATTATATCACTGTGGTTTTAATTTGTGATTTTCTGGTGATCAATGATGTTGATATGATGCTTATTTGCCATCTGCATATCCTATTCACTGAAATGTCTCTTTATGTCTTTTGCCCATATTCTAATTGGTTTTTCTAGTTCATTTTTGCAAGACCTTTTGCAATCTGTATAGTTTTGTTTTGTTGAGGTTAGAGAGGTCTTTCTTATGTTCTAAATACTAGTCCTTTCTCAGATATATAATTTTAAATGTTTTCTCCAAATATGTACCTTGGTCTGTCTATCCTTTTCACACTGGTTTTCACTAAGAGAAAGTTTATAGTTTATAATTTTTTTATTTTATGTATTGTGCTTTTGATGTCAAGTCTGAGAAATTATAGCTTTCCTCTGGATCCTGAAGGTTTGTTTTCTTTTAGTTTAAACATGTTTTTTAGTTATATATTTACATTTAAGGATATAATTTATTTTGATTTAATGTTTGTGTGTTATATGAAATGTAGGCTGGGATTCTTTTTCTTTTGTTTTTTTTTTTCCTTTTGGTCTATGCATGAACAATTGCCGCAGGACCATTTCTTGAAAAGAACATCTTTCAGTTTAGTTCCTGCATCTTGCTCAAAAGTTTGTTAGGTATATTGTATGGGTCTGTTTCTAGGCCCTCTACCTTGTTCCATTGGCTTATGTGTCAATACCACGTAATATTAATTAATGTATGTAGATAATAAGTCTTGAAATCAGATATAATAATTCATTCCTTTTTATTTTTCCTTTTTGAAATTGTTTTAGCTAGTTTAGTTCCCTGGGCATTCCATGTAAATTTTACAGTGATAATTCTATATTTATACAAAAATGGGCTATTTTGGATAAGAATTACATTGCACCTCTGCATTGATTTAGAAAAAATTAGCCTCATTACTATACTGTTTCTTCCAATCCATGAACACAATGTCTTTCCACTTATTTAGGATTTTTAATTTATTTCATCATTGTTGTATATTTTTCAGCATAAAGGTCGTGCACAGTTTTGTTAGATTTACAGTTAATTCATTTTTGAGTGTTGTGAATGGTATTGTGTTTTTAATTTCAGTGTTCATGGGCACATTCTAGTTTCTAGAATGAAAAATTGATTGTGTTATGCTTATCTTGTATCTTGTGACCTTGCTGGCATCATTAGCTCTGTTTTTTGATAGATCCTTTAGGATTTTCCACACAGACAATCATGTTATCAGCAAATAGAAAAAATTTTACTTTTTCCTTTCTTGTCTGTATACCTTCTGTTTCCTTTCTTTTCATTATTGCACTAGTTGAGGACTTCCAGAACTATGTTGAAAAGAGAAGTAAGAGTAGTCATCTTCACCTTGTGTGCTAGGCTGTTCTTATGTTGCTACAAACAAATACTTGAGAATGAGTAATTTATAAAGAAAAGAGGTTTAATTGGCTCACAGTTCTGCAGGCTGTACAGGAAACACGGCACGGGCATCTGCTCAGCTTTTGGGGTCTCTCAGGGAGATTTTACTCCCTGAGAAGCGGGAGGAGGTATGTCACATGGCCAAAGCAGAATCGAGAGAGAGAGTGGAAGGAGGTGCCACAAAGTTTAAAACAACCAGATCTCATGAGAACTCACCTACTAACCTGAGGACAGCACCAAGACATGAGGGATCTGCTCCCATGACCCCAACACCTCTCACCAGGCCCCACCTCTAACACTGAGGATTACATTTCAACATGAGATTTGGTAGGGACATATATCCAAACTATAGCACCTTGTTCCTGATTTTAGGAAGGATTTTAGGATGTTTTTCATCATTAAGTATAATCTTAGCTGTAGGGTTTTTACCTGTTCTTTAAAATTTGGAGAAGGTCTTCCTCTATTCCTAATTTTCTAACAGTTTTTTATTATAAATATTTATTTTTTGCTGAATTAATTTTATGCATCAATTGATATGATCATCTGATTTTTCTTCTTTAGCCTGTTGATATTGTTCATTGCAATGACTGATTTTGTAATGTTGAACCATCCTTGTATTGCTGGAATAAACACACTTGGTCATGTGTATAGTTATTTTTATGTATTATTGAGTTTTATTTCATAGTATTTTGTTAAAGATTTTTATATCTATATTTGCGAGGGATACTAATCAATTATTTTCTTTTTTGTACACTGGCTTGGGTATTAGTGTAATACTTCATAAGAATATTTAGGAAATTTTCACTTCATTTCTATTTTCTGGTAAAGCTTGTATAAATTTAGTAATAATTACTTCTTAAATGTTTATTACTATTCTCCAGTGAAACTGTTTCAGCCAGGAATTTTATTTTTCAGGACCTTTTAATTAATAATTGAATTGCTTTGATTGTAATGGAGCTATTTTACATTGTTAATTTTATTTTGGTAATTTTTGATAGTTTGTGTTTTCAAAAAATTAGTCCATTTATTTTAAGTTGATGAAACTATGAGCATGAAGTTGTTCGTATTATTCTCTTTATCTTTTTAAAAGCTACAGAATCAAGAGCGTTATTTCTTACTTTAATTTTGACATGAGCAATAGCTGTCTTTTTGTTATTTTTGTTTAGTATTTTTGGAGTTTTATCAATTTTATTGATAAACATATTTGAAAGATATTTGATTATATTAATTTTCTTTCTTGCTTTTCTGTTTTCAATTTTATTGATTTCTGCTTTGATTTTTTATTATTTTTTCTTTTTGTTTTGAGCTTATTTTGCTCTTCTGTTTCTACTTTTGTTAATAGAAATGTAGATTATCAACTTGAGACCTCTCATTTTTAATGTAAGCCTACACTGCTATCAGTTTTTCTCCAATCGCTTCTTTAGTTCTATCTGACATAATATTTTGTATCTTTTAAATCATTCACATCTATGTATTTGTTTTTAAATTATTTGAGACTTCCTTTTTCACCCATGGATCATTTAAAAATATGTTATTTCCCACATGTTCTCAGATTCCTCTTGTTCTGTTATTTATTTCTAGTTTGATATCATAAAAACTACAGAACACAATTTAAATTATTTCTTTTTTTAAGTTTGTTGAGGCTTGATTAATGTCTACTTATGTCTATGATCTATCTTGATGAGTATTCCATGAAGGTCTGAAAAAAATTGTGTGTTCTGCTGTAATTGAACGGAGTGTTTATATGTGGTAGTTAGATCTTCTTAGTTAAATGTGCAGATATTCTAGATATTCCAGGTCATTGCTGATTTTCTAATAATTCTATCATTATTATCATTGTTATAATGATAGTGTTGGAGTCTGCAATTACAGTAGTGAATCTCTGCTTTCAACTCTTTATCAGTTTTTGTTTCACATTATTTTGCAAATATGATCTTGTGGTCAGTACATATTTAGAATTTTTATGTCTAGTTGATTGATTCTTTTATCATCATTAGTATAAAAGACACAAGGATCAAAACATCTAAATGAAATGTGGTTCAGACAAGAAGGCATAGACGCACTTCTTCTTGCTGTCTCTCACGAGACACAACCTTAAGCACTAGAAGTAGTGAAAAGACAAATATAGAGGAGAAACCTGAAGGTAGTAAAAATAAGAGAGCTTTCTTTGTACTATCCTTGAGTGTTTCACTACATATTAAATTTCCAGAATGCATCACTAGAACCTATATTGTATCTGTGGACACTCTTTAAATGTAGACATTTAAGCAAAAGTCAAAAGATTAAATCTAGAAATAAAAATGAATATGACATTTGATGAGAAGGATTGGCTCCTGCTGCAAATAAATTTCTGTTCATTATACATTACTCAGTCAGTGGTATTCTATTACAGCAGCATGAAGTAGTCTAATACATCTGACCAAGAACGGAGAATCTCAGTCCTATGAGGACAAAGAGGCTTCCATGACCTGCTAAGTTGCCTGGTATTGTTCAGTCTCTCCTGCAGGCTCTGTCTTGTAGCCTAGGTATCACTTGGTAGAAAAAAGCAGTCTCAGGGCAGGTGGGTAAGGAGAGGCACTCTCATGTCTTAAGTTCAGCTGGTGCTATCCTGGGGACTCCTGTTTGATCTGGAGAAACAATGGGCCTATCTGGGCTGCCTTCTGCTACTGTGTCATGGGGGAAAGAAATACTGGATATTGATGGCCTTCCTCTGGCAGGTGGGAGGACACAAGGCATCTTGATGTTGTGTTGTTGCTCAAATCCTGGGTCCCCACACCAGCTCTTCTATTTTTACCACCCACAGAGTTCTCCTTTATTTGCTTTTTGTACCATTTGCAGTATTTAAGGTTGTGCCTAGTGAGAGGGAGCAAGAAGAAGTGGGTCTATGCCTTCTTATCTGAGCTACAGCTTACTTAGATGTTTTTGATCCTTGTTTCTCTAATATTAATGATTAATTTTTAAAACTTTAGCCTAAATTAATCTGTATTACCTTATTTCCATAAACTCCATAAAGACAGAATGTAGGTTTCATTTTTATATAATTAAACACCCTGTCTACAATTTACAAAGAAATGATATGTCATTTAAGTTTCATAAAATGGAAAAAGATTAATCACAGACAGTTTATTTCTTTAAAAAAAAACACAAATTTTACTTATTTCTGTATTTGTCATAAGTTCAACCTTTTTGCCATTATCTTGATCAGTGTAAAATGCTTGGATGGTCAGTGTTGTTTGACTTGTGTCTGTATTTGGTTAGGATCCATTTAAACTCTCTAGGATAATGTCAAAATCAATTTCTTCCTTTATACTTTCTTATTTCCAAAGAAAAGGTGCTAGATATTTCTATGAATATATAGAAATATCTATGCAAATATGTATCTGACTAAAAATGTTGCAGGCATCTTTTCTGTTTTTTTTACCCTTTGTAATATTTTTATTTTCTGTTTATTTAGTGATATAAGGGAAAGTTGTAAGCATTTAACTACATAATCTTTTATGTTTCCACCAAACTCAATTTTTTAGTTCTTAGTATATGGCCTGTAATCTAACTTTAATATATCCCTTTTATATTAGCTTATTTCCTTGTTAACAACAAGGATATCTCTTCTGGAGTATCCCAAGTCAAGGTGGAAAAAGTAGTCAACAGGAAAATGAACAGAACACTTATTGGATCTGTATGAGAATTTAAAGCAAATGTTTCTAAATGAGAAATTGTAACTCAGGAAATATTTTGCATATTCTATCAAAATTTTGTGAATTTTGATAATAAAACATTCACAATTCAATTAGGAGAAAAGGAAGAAAATATAAGCTACATCTATCAATAAAAGATTTTTTTTTCCATTTTTGTTTCATCTAACAGTATTCTTTTCCCTCCATAAGGAATCTGTTAAAAACTCTCTTCTTACTATCCTTCAGTCTTTTAAAATGTGTTAAATTCCCACAATGCATTATTTGAGCCTATATCTGTGGACACTCTTTATGTGTTGGTATTTGAGCAAAAGTAGGAAGAATAAATCCAGAAATAAAAATGAATGGGAAATTTGACAGGAGAGATTGCTTTCTACTGCCAAATATATAACTATACTTCATCTAGTCTATCACTCAAGGAGGTTTCAGAATGAAGAATCATTTCCAAAATGCCATCCTACTTTCATCTTTTCCCAAGGAAGTTCAGAATAACCTGCAAGTGGATCACTGAACAAAGAAAGTACAAAACCACAAATAGTCCCTCTAAGGTCCTTTAAACCACAAACTTGGAACATTTTTATGACATTTCAAAATGACTTGTGATCCTGATACTACTAGTTAAAGATATAGCTTGAATCAAATAAAATAAATTATAGGTCATCTGTCTAAGGATGGAACATTTTGTTTTGTTTTATTTTCCCCATTTGACTTCTTAAAATTAATTATAGTTTCTTTAATATATATTGCAGAGATTATATATTTTTAAATCCAGGTTATAGAATAAAAATACTTTGCTTCACTTATCATTTGATATAAGTTCTATAAGTAAAAACTCAGTTCTACTTATATATTTCTACATAGAAGCACCACTTATAGTTCGTTGGCATTTTAAAAAGAAGGTAAAATTATGCTAACTGATTTTGCTATGAGACAGATCAACCTAGATTTTATGAATACAATAATTAACTTAAGTGCTTCAAATGGGTTTAGTGCTTTATGGTCTGAGATACTGCTTCCACCTAAAGAAACACCAATTTAGCAGAAACTAGAAAAAGAATTGGGAAAGAAGAAAGTGTTTTTTGGAAATACACCAACCATAAAAGAACGAAGCTCACTCTGCTCCTCTTAAAGTTTACTGCATTGTAATTGGGAATTTGTTATTTCCCTGGTTCCTTTGAGTAATATAGACATAAGCAAAGAGAGTATTTATGTTCTGCACGAGTCCACTCATGTCTGTATTGTTGTGATTACCCTCCCCTAACGCTAAGTTACTAACTTATGCTTTAGCAAAGAGAGTGTAAACTATTCTAATGAAAGCTTATATAACTGCATATTATAAAGCATAACTGCTTACATAGGCTACCAATATCTGAGGCAGTCATGATCATATGCTTGCAAATTGGTGAATGCAGAGGTTGCATACAAACCGTTGAAAAATTTGGGGTACTTAGCAATTCAAATTCTAAATTAAAGGAGCAATTATTTCTGAGATCTTCAGAGCAATTCTGATTTTTACAGCCTACTCTATGGATATGGTATGTCTCAGATGACATCCTCTCTTATGATTCCAGCTCAGTTCGCTGTATCCCTTTAGCTTCAAGTTGAACTCAGTTCTCTATTAGGTATTTAGAATCCTCAGATTATTTGCAAGGACTATCTACAAATATATAAATTATCCACTTTGTTAACCATTCTAAAAACACAGGTGACAACTTAACATTTTCCCTTAATAAAATCACTATATTGTAATATGGCAGAAAGAACTCTAGGCACTTAAATCAGATTCTGAAATGCTATATTGCTTCCTATTGACCTATATGGGCTTGGACAAGTAATTGTATCTCTGGGATTATCAGTGTCCTCATATGGAAAATTTCACTCTTAAAGCTGTTAAGAGGCTTAAACCAGATAATTTGCTAAAATTGACTAAGATAGTGCCTGGCACAAAACTTCCCCATGCTTCTTCTCTGCTTCTGTCTCTCCCTTTCCATTCACTTATTGTACTCTCGGGCCATCATATCTGCTTTTACATTGGCTGATCAGAGTAAAGTGTTAGCAGGGTTGGCTCAGCAATGGGAGATGAGAACAGAAATTTAAAACAAATAAGGCTTCCACTATTTTTCATCCTTGGCAGAATCCATTTTAATTGCTTGTTTCATCAAGTAATCATTGCAGTCAATAACTTGTCCAACACACTAATGCAAAGCTAAATGACTGTCAGCTGGCTCAGGACAGCCTGGCCCACTGCATGATGACAGGCTGTGATAGGATCTCTCATTATATTAGTGGAAATGCATTTCTAGTAAAATTATGCACTCATAAAATATAAATAAAAATATCTCTGAACTGAAGGAGTTATGTGCCAAGTAAGATAATGCTTTTGAGGTACTGAACTACAATGCTTGATAAATTAAAAAGTACTCAGTAAATGTCAGATGTAATTATTATTATTAATTGGCATATTTCTCCTTAAAGTAAGCTAAACCTACATTAAGTAAATTGTTAAATTTCAGATGTCTATGTTAAAAACAACATGGAAAAGTTGTAGTTTCAACTCAGTTTTGGACATAGCACCATCTTTAAATTATGACACACTTAAAATTGTTTATTCATTATTTATGATACCAGAATCTAGAATGCTCCATTCTTAGTATGACTTTAAATCAAGGCAAAAAAGATATGCAACACATTGCTAATCACTGTTAAATGATAAAGATACTGAGTTCTAAGGGTTTTTCTTTCTTCTTCTTCTTCATTTTTTTTTTTTTTTTTTTGAGACAGGGTTTCACTCTGTTGCCCAGGCTAAAGTACAGTGGTTCAATAATGGCTAACTGCAGCCTCGAATACCTGGGCTCAAGCAATCCTCTCTCCTCAGCCTCCCAAGTAGCTGAGACTATAGGTACATGCCACCATGCCTTGTTAATTTTTTATTTTTTGTAGGGATGAGGCCTCACTGCATTGTCCAGGCTGGTCTTGAACTCCTGGGTTTCAGCGATTTTCCCACCATGGCCTCACAAAGTGTTGAGATTCTAGGTGTGAGCCACTGTATCTGAAAGTTTCAAAAGAAACTTTCAACTTTCATTAGATTTTGTTCTTCTTTTAGGCAGTAGAGATAAATTAGAACTAGAGACTGCTTTGGGATTAATCTGAGAGACTGACACATTATGATAATAATAGTTTTATTATAAGACTTTTTTGTATATTCAAAATGTTATGGATGATAGAGCAGCAAGTTTTCTAAGGAGTAAATCATAGAACTGGCAATCAAATGACTATGGCCTTGCCAGTTGGATGAGGGAGAGTGTAAGAAAGGCAAGTGAACATGTGATGTATACAAAACAACACATTCAGAATCACAGATCTGTGAAAAACAGTCAAACCAAGTCAATGAGAACTTGAATGCCATACAGTGAGAAGAGAGAGGTTTGGGATAAATTATGCAGGATATTGTGAGTTTAATCTTTGGAAAAAGGGACCAAGAGAAGCCTATTGGAAAGAACAGTTTGGTGTTTAGGCATCCACTATGACAGCACTGTGGAAGATTAACAGAAAAAAAAAAGTGAGATGTGTTACCTTTGGTTTTAACTTGGACATTTAAACAGCTTGGAAGTCATCAATTTAATCCCCCAAATAACAAAAAGCTAAAAATTCTGAAAATCAATGACTTTCCTTGGATTCGTCATTTAATTGAGGTCACAGGACAATCTGTCACCCCAAAATCCGGAGATAGGCAAATGCAGAGAATCACAGCGAACATTAGCTTACCTGAAATAGAGGCTGGTGGAACCATAAATTGGTTGGAACATTTAAATGGCAATTTTTGTGAATTGTTGGAGACTAAGTGCTGAGTAGCTTTTGAGAGGGAGAAATTCCTGGGGAATCAGTCTTATGAGTACCCTCACCCATTCATGGGTTTTACTTGCAGGAAAATCACCAGGAGTCCCCAGTGAAGTGCCAAGAAAAACCCTATTATGTTTTAGGTAGGGCAAGACAAAAATAGCCATTTAAAATATGCCCAGAGTTTTCTTAATAAGAAGCCTATACTCCAATTGAAAACACTTTATCTGAGCCTTATTTAAATTGGAGGATGAACAATTAACCACCTTCAGCCCCTTTCAGCCTTTCTCAATGACCTCAAGTAAGAGGAAAAATCTAAGGAACTTTGAAGGTCTAAGGTCATGGGCAATGGCTACTAAAAAGTCTAAGATTTACTAAGAAGATTATAGAGTACTTCTCCACCTCTTTCATACCTTAACATCACATCAACAGGGCTCCAACATAACAACATGGAATTACAGCTAAAGGAATTGCAACTCCTGGACTATTTAAGGAGTTCTTAGGGAAATGTAAAGACAATGAGTCGGGGGTAAAAAATAACATTAGAAGAAATTGGAGCCTCGGTCACCTATACATATAACAAACATTAAATACTGCCCAACTTCTGGGCCAGGTGCGGTGGCTCACACCTGTAATCCCAGCACTTTGGGAGGCCAAGGCGGGCGGATCACCTGAGATCAGGCGTTTAAGACCAGCTTGGCCAACATGGTGAAACCCTATTTCTACTAAAAATACAAAAATTTGCCAGGCACAGTGGTGGGCATCTGTAATCCCAGCAACTTGGGAGCATGATGACAGGATTTCTCATTTCTCCTGAGGCAAGAGAATCGCTTGAACCTGGGAGGCGGAGGTTGCAGTGAGCTGAGGTCACGTCACTGTACTCCAGCCTGGGCGACAAGAGCGAGCGAGACTCCATCTCAAAAGAAACAAACAACAACAACAAAAAAACAACACTGCCCAACTTCTAGTCATGTTAACATACAATTTCACATCAAAGCTTATTTACCTCTTTTCCTATTACCTGATTCATCTTACTTGGACATCAACAAAAAATTAAAGGCAAGCTTAAAGGCAAGAGAATACACAGTCGTAAGAGACAAAGAAAGCATCAGAACTAGATTCAGATAAGACAAAAATATTGGAAATATCAGACAAGGAATTTAAAATAATGATCATAAATATGTTAAAGGCTTTAATATATAAAGCAGACAGTATGAAGGAATTGATGACTAATATAACTGGAGATATAAAACTTCAGGAATGAATTAATAGGACATGCTAAAACTCAAAAATACTTAAACAAATTTCAAAAAAAAATGTCTTTGATGGGCTCACCAGTAGTCTAGACATAGATGGGGAAAGAATCAGAGAACTCGAAGATAAGTAAATACAAATTTCCAAACATGAAATAAAAAAGAAAAAATGGAAAAGAAATCAGAAAAGAATATTCGAGAATAACAGAGAGGAGAGAAAGAATAAAAGGGCAGAAGAAATATTTGAAGTAATAGTGGTTGAGAATATTCAAAAATAATGAGAGACACCAAACCATAGATCCAGGAAGTTCAGAGAATACTAAGTTGCATAATATATATATATAAATATCTACACTTAGACATATTGTATTCAAACTGCAGAAAGCCCAACATAGTGTCTTGTAGGAAACCAGAGGTGAAAATATCAACTTATCTTTACAGAAAAAAAAAGGATTAAAAAAACACATTGGACATATCAGAAGCCATCCAAGCAAGAGGAAAATGGATTGCAATTTTAAAAGTGTTGCCAGAAAAACCACACCAACCTAGCATTCTATATCCAGGGAAATAATCCTTCAAAAATGAAGAATAAAAAACACTTTCTCAGACCAACAAGAACCAAGGGAATTTGTCCCGACTAGATCTGCTCTGCAAAAATATGGTAAAAGAAGTTGTTGAGAGAAGGAAAACATATGTAAAAATTCTAATCTACATGAAGAAAAAAGATATTCAGAGAAGGGATAAACGAAAATAAAATAAAAATATTTTTCTTTTTCTTAATTGATCTAATAGATAACTCTCTCTTCAAAGTAATAGCATCAATAACATATTGGGTGGTTATAATATATGGTAAATGAAACACATAATAAAAATAACATGGATCAGAGTACAGAAAATAAGAACATCTCTGTTTTAAGGTACCTACACCACATGTCAAGCTATATAGAGTTATTTTAAGGTAGACTTAGATCAGTTAAATATATATAGTATACTCTGAAAAAAAACACTACTTTTTTTAAAGATGTATAACTGATACACTAAGAAAGGAAACAAATCAGAATGATACAAAATATTTGACTAAAGCTAGAGACAGCAGAAAAAGAAGGAAGAAAAAGAAAAAATATAACAGTAGAAAAAAGCTTAAAATGTGGCTCATATGCATAACTAACCAACCATATTAATAATTACTTTAAATATGAATTGCCTAAATACTCTAATTAAAATATAAAGCTCATCAGAGTGGATAACAGCAATGAAAACAGAAAATAAATAAGAACAGACAATAGGTTGTCTAAAAGAAACCTCCCTTAAAAATAAAGACAAAGGAAAGAAAAAAGATTTACCATGCTAATATTAAGCCAAAGTTGGAGTAGCTATATTAATTTCAAACAAAGCTGAGAAATTATTAGAGCTAATAAATGGGCATTATATAGTGAGATTACTAGAGCTAATAAGTGGGCATTCTATAGTGATGAATGAAAAATTGAAATTATTATTAGATCTAATAAGTGGGCATTATTAGAGCTAATAAGTGGGCATTATGTAGTGATATTATTAGAGCTAATAAGTGAAATTATTGGAGCTAATAAGTAGGCATTATGTAGTGAAAAATGGGTAAAGTCTTTAAGAAGACATAAAAATCTTTATTAATATACAGCTAACTATAGAGCATCAAAATATGTAAAGCAAAGACTGATAGAACTGAAAGGAAACGTAGTAAATCCACTATTGCTGCTGATGATTTCAGCACTTCTCTTTCAGTCATTGATAGATTGAGCAGAATTAGGTCAATAGGATGTAGCTGAACTGAAGAACAGCAACATCTTGATCTAATTGACAATAATGGAATAGTTCGACCAGCAACAGCAGAATTTACATCACATCAAGTTCGCATGAAACACACTTTAACAAATTTAAAATAATATAAATCATACAACATATGTTCCTTAATCACAGTGGAATTAAACTAGAAATTAGTATCAGAAAGATAACTGGAAAATTCTAACATATTTGGAGATTAAATACATGGGTTGATTTTCAAGACATTTAAAAAGTCTTTGATCTAGATTAAAATGAAAATAAAACTGTGTGGGATGAAGCAAAAGCAGTGCTTGGAAGGCAACTTAAAATATTAAATGCATACGCTTAAAAAAATGAAAGGTCTCATGTCTATGATCTAAGCTTTCACCTCAGAAAACTAGAGATAGAAGACCAGGTTAAGTTTAAAGCCAGCAGAAAAAATAATAATTATAGCAGAAATCAAAGAAATTTAAAAATAAAAATAATAGAGAAAAATAGCAAGCCTAAGTCCTTGTTATTTGAAAATATTAATAAAGTTTATAAACCTTTAGCCAAGGTAACAGAAAAAAATAGAAAAACACAAACTACTAATATCCGAAATGAAAGGTTATCACTGCTAATCCCATGTACATGAAAAGATAATGAAAGAATGCTATAAACAATTCTATACACACACATTTTCTAACTTAGATAAAACGGACTAATTCCCGAAAAGACAAAAACTACCAAAACTCACATAAGGAGAAAAAGATAATATAAATAGTCCTTTACCTTCTAAAAAAATGGATCAATAATTAATAAGTTTGCAAAAAAAAAACACATGGTTTAGATGGTTTCTTTGGAGTACCAAATATTTAAGGAAGAAGGAATACAAATCCTCTATGAGTTCTTACAGAGAAAAGAATCAGAAAATTCCTCATAAGGAATTCCATGAAATCATTGTTACCAGAATACCCTAGCCAAATAAAGATATTACTAGAAAGAAAAATATCAGACCAATATCTTTTAACATGGAAAAATATCCTCAAAATATTCACAAGTCAAATCCAACTATATATATATGTGTGTGTGTGTGTGTGTGCATGTGTGTGTGTGTATACACACATACATATATAACCACAACCAGTGGGATTTATTTCAGATTTGCAAGACTACTTTAACAGTTAAAAGGCAATTAATGTGATCTACCACATCGAAGGCTAAAGAGAAAAAATAATACAATTATATAAGTTGATATAAAAACATTTGAAAGAATCCAAAATTCATTAATGTAATAACAACAATCTCGGCAAACTAGAACTACAGGGGAAACTCTTCACTTTATCAAAATAGTTTCTCACAGTTAATTATAATGGATACAGTAGGTTTATTGTTTATCTACAATAATAAACCTACTGTGTATCTACAATAAACCTGCTGCATCCATTGTTTATCTACAACAATAAACCTATTCTTTATCTACAATAAGCCTACTGCATCCGTTATAATTAACTGTGAGAAAGTAGATGCTTTCCTCCTAAAATTGGGAGTAAGGAAGGATGTCCTGTCCCACTCTTCTTATCCAATATTGAACTGAAGTTGTAACTAGTGCAATAAGATAAGGAAATAAATCAAGGGTGTACAGAATGAGAAGAGAGCACTAAAACCATCTGTCATTTACAGGTAACATAATTGTCTATGTAGAAAAATTCTGAAGAATTGCCAAACATATCCCTTGAACTGTGAGAAGTCTAACACAACCACAGGATAAAACAATTAATATACCATAGTCAATTGTTTTCTGATATATAAGTTCAACAACTGGAATTTGAAATTAAAATTAAAAACACAATGCAATTTAAAATAGCACCAAAAATGAAATATGTTAAGTATAAACTAACAATATCTGTATATACTAAAATCTTCATGAAAGAAATGAAATATCTAAATAAATATAGAGATATTCCCTGTTTAAGGATTGGAAGACTCAATATAGTTAAACTGTTTATCTTCCCAATATGATCTACAGATTCACACAATCCTAAACCAAATTCTAGCAAGTTACTTTGTAGTTATTACCAAATTCATTTTAAAGCTTACAAGAAGAGACAAAAAGACCCTAAATAACCAACACAATAGTTAAGACAAAGAATAAGATCAGAGGACTGACAACTGCATTTCAAAGCTTACTATAAAGTTACAGTAATGAGATCAATGGAAGACAATAAGCTCCTGCAATATATAGCCAATTGATCTCTGACAAAGGAGCAAAGACAATTTATGGACAAAGGATAGCCTTTCCAACAAATGGGGCTTGAACAATTGGAGATCTATATGCTACAAAATTAATCTAGACACGTATCTTATACATAATAACTCAAAATAAAGCATAGAGCTACATGTAAAATGCAAAACCATAAAACTTCTAGAAGAAAATATAGGAGACAATCTTGGTGATTTGGGACTTGGCAATGAGTATGTAGTTATAACACCAAAAACACAGTCCTTGAAAGAAAAAAACTGGTAAGTTGGACTTCATTAACAACAACCACCATCACCACAACAACAAAAAACAAATTTCTGTTAAAGACACTGTTAAAAGCATGTAAAGACAAGTCACAGACTGGGTTAAAGTATTCATAAACACACATATTTGACAAAGGATTTGTATCTAAAATATACAAAGAGCACTTAAACCTCAACATAAGAAAACAAGTCACTCAACTAAAAATGGGCAACAGACCTAAACAAAAACCTTACTAAGGAAAATAATAAAATGGCACTTTACTCCTGCTAAAATAGCTAAAATGCAAAAATCAGACCATGCTAAAGCTATTGAGGCTGTACAGCAATGGAAACTCTTCATTGGTTGCCGATGGAAAAAGAAAATAGGTCATTCATCTTGGGGGACAGTTTGGTGGTTTCTTACAAAGCTAAACATAGTTTTTCCATTGATGTGGCAATCATCTTCCCAAGTATTTACTCAATTGCTTTCAAATATGTACGCCACTCAAAATATCCACACAAATATTTTTCATAGCTTTATTCATAACTGCCCAAAACTAGAAACAACCAAAACCCTCTTTAAAATGAATGAAAAAATAAACAGTGGTACATTTAATAGAACATTCTTTACCTTTAAAAATAAATGAGCTACCTAGCCATGAAAACACCTGGAGGAAATTTAAATTAACATAGATAAGTGAAATAATCCAGTCTGCAAAGGCTACATACTGTATAATTCCAATTATATGACATTCTGGAAAAGGCAGAATTTGAGACAGTATAATGATCAGTGGTTGCCATGGATTCTGGAGGCAATGAGAGAAGACTGGTGAAAGGCAGGGGAGGTTTTAGAGCTGAGAAACAATTCTGCATGATAATATAATGGTGACTACATGACACTATGCCTTTCCCTTAACCCATAGAACTTTATAACGTAGATAGTGAACTATAATGTATGCAAATGTGAAAGAATTTATTTCAGAGGTGGGAAAATCCCGTGAAGTAATGCAGAGTATGACAATGAATCTAAACTGTAATATAAATGTAAAAAACAACCTCACTGAAGAGAGTGGTGGGGGACAAGGAGGGGAAAGATGATGATTAACTTCTTAAATGAGTGAGGACTGTAAGATTAAAGGCAAAAGAAATTATACGTAGGCACTGCAATCTAGTTACTGAAGTTGTTTTCCATGGAAATATGGGTTAACAATGTTGATACTTCTATACATATTTACTGAACTGAACAATTAAGTATATAAATGGCAGATTGTAGAAGTCAAGTTTCTCATTGATGGAGTGGGGATTTACAGATAACACATTGAAGGAGACTAGACTGATCCATGTGCTAATGGGCTAAGTAAGAGACATTAGTGTGAACCCTTGTTTAGTTATGTATAGATCCAGAAAAAAACATACAAAAATAATTACAGACATGTATAGTCTTAGTTACTATACATATATATAACATGGTAACTAAGTAATATAATATCCTAGATGGGATACTGGAATAGAAAAATTACATTAGGTAATAACTTTAAAAATCTGAATAAACAGTGAACTTTAGTAAATAATAATGTGTCAATATTGGTTCATTAATTGTAATGAATATATTACACTAATATCTGATGTTCATAATGGGGGAAGCTGTATGACAGAATATATGGGAACTCCATATTACCTGTTTCATTTTTTTGTATATCTAATAAGCATTCTAAAAATAAAGTCCATTAAAAATATAAAAGTATAAATAAATACATGATAGAGGTGATATAACTTGATATGTTTCAGAGATTAAAATGTACTGTATTTAAGTTTTTATTTAATGCCTTAGATGTATTTATGGAAGAATTAGAGAAAATTGTAGAATTGCTTGAATTTGAGAATTTTCCCCTCATTTGGAAGTATGAAAAATGTTTTGCTTTATAGTAACACGTGTGCTCTAAAACAGAGACACAAAGCGAATACCTCAAATAATTGTGTTGAACTTGTGTGACAGTTTTCAACAAGAAAATTTACAGTTTTATATGGGTTATTTTAGTGTTAGCTCTAGGCAGGTCAAAGAGAAAACCGTAAAATCTCTGCATATTTGCAAAATTCTAAGTAATTTTCCCCCAATTACTTTAATTGTAATCCCCTAATTACTTTAAATAAAAATTATTGTGCTGTTATTACAATGCTGTATGACTTTTTAGAGTAATGGTCAAAATACAAGTTCTGAGGTAAAACAATATTACATAAACACAGAATTACACTTCTGACAACTTGAGTCTGATCTTTTTTTGTTTTTATTTATTAAAAAATCTCAGTAAGAAACAAAATACTGTATTATCCAAATTCTATTCACTAGGCATATTTAGAGGACTTCTTTCTTTGAAAACTAGATAATTCAAGTTGAATAAGGCACAGACCCCACAAAAATGTAAGCCATTGTGTAGTAGGGGAGGAAGAGCCACATATAAAAACTTTGTGTATAATATATGTACCATAACAGAGATGGGGAAAAAAGTAGATGAATTGCACAGACCAGAGGATGTTTAAATCTAATGTTGTGTTTATTATATAAGAACATAATGTGTGTATTCTTATGCGTATATAAGGAGAGAACTTGGTACTGAATATTTTACTTGAACTGAGCTTTGACAGGTAAGTAAACTTCCTTCAAGGTAATTGTGCATGAGACACTAATGGACAATAAAAGAGCAAGAGTATAAAGGAGTATAAAAGTGAGCAGAATGCTTCATGAATGTTGATTCCTAGAACTAGAGTGCAAGATGTATGATGGAGTTGAAGATGAGGTTGAGAGCATTTGTTCAAGCCAGTTCCTGGAAATCTTTTAACACCATGATCAGGAAAGGTTTTCAGCCTTACAATGAGTCATCAGTTACATTTCCTTCACCTAGAACAATTGCTGGTTGAAGTGAATTTTCAGTCACTCAACCTAGATGCTCAAAATCCTAATGAAACATCATCTTTATTTTTACGCTACATTTTAACTAGTCCTCACCTCAACTAACATACCTAGCCAAGTTGTTTTTTGAAATTTCATGTGTATGTATCTGCCCCCATCCATTAGTCTCAACTTCTTGTAGACAATAGCCGTGTCTTTTATTTGTGTTTTCCTAGGACATTGTCACAATTTTTGGTACATAGTTGCACATATGTAGCATAAAGAGTTTCTACTGAACTATGTTTGAAAGGAACAAATTAAGATTTGGTTGATACATAGCAAATAATTATTGAGTACACACTGGTATAGATGTTACCATTTCAATTACTTTTATATTTAAGGAACAAAATAATGGGGGTGACAGCAGCCTCTGAAGATTGTGACGTGTGTAGACAGGAAAAGTGAAGACAATAGAGAGTTGACATGTACCATAGTCCTCTTTCCTAAAGTTAATAAATAATAATAATTTTGTCAATGGAGACATGAGAAAAGTCTTGTAAAAAGATACTGGCCTTCTTTGACTCTTATACTCCTCTTCTTGAAATAGAGTAGACTCTTAGTTTATGTTTGATAACTGAATCAATGAGTGAAAAAACATAGAGCTGATTGTCTTACTCCTGTTCCCATTTTCAAAAACATTAACTTGGTTCTTCAGAATCTTTTCATAGGAATTTTATATTACTTTGAGTGCTGCTAAAACTTCTTCCCCATCATCTTTTTGTTTTCACAAATAGCATTTGTAATATACTTTTAATCTGTTCATTGACATTTTAAATATTCTTTCTGTATTAGTGAATCATCCCTGTACTCTATTATGCCATATTTATTTCTGAACTTGTTGAACATCTATTCAATCTTTCCTGAATTGGTAAACAGAATATAATACAGATTTTTAAGCACAGAATTTAAAACACACAAGATTTTTAAACATGCAATATTGTAGAATATTGGATTTCATGAACATTCCAATGTCCATTTGAATTATGCAAATGCATGAGTCCCATAAAGAAAGCTGGCACATTTCAGAAAAAGTGACTGTATTGGAGAGATGTAACAGGGATTTTTTTTTAAAATTATTCCATCAAAAGTAGCCACAGCAAAGTCAAACTTCATCTAGCAACCAATGAATATTGAAAAAAATGTGCGGTTTTTGAAGCCAAATCCATGTTTCTAACTTACGTTTAGATTTTTGAATGTATGCACTCAAATTAAACTTTAGTTGAAATATGCAAGCTGTATTTATATGCTCTATTCCAGACATCATTCTAAGCATTGTATTTACTAATATAAATAAAGCTTTTTCCTCAAAAAGTCACAGTCTTGTTAAAATGAAAGAGGCAAAAGAAAATAACAGCACATTTGATGCAATCCATACTCATCTTTCAAAGACACTTCAAGTGTCACTTTATCTTTAAAGTGTGTCTCCAGCCCTCATCTCAAACACATACCTCACACACATTTGAAAACCCTTTAATACAGAAATACCAAGTAAACATTATGTATTATTTATTAATTTTTTCTATACCTACTTACTTATAAAGAAAGCATTTACAAATGCTATGAGAGGATGTACGAGGAAAGCAATTTTTCCTGACAGACTATGATTAGCATCTGAAGAAAGAATTGTAGTGACATATTTGCTTTTATTTTTGATCCTCACTTTTTCAATGGATAAACAGGTGAGCAAGGTCATCTGATTCACCTATTTTTTTCAAGTACATTTTTCTTTAAAGAAAAAATATTGATTTCTACAAGTTTGAAAATTACTTCTGTATGGCCTCCAGGTCTTCTCCCAGCATTAACAGGCTATGGATCTGCATTTTAGTCCCAGTGAACCCTGCTTAGACTTACTCTACAATTTGGCTAGAGTATCCATTATCACCCACCATCAGGGATAAAGTCCTGTGAACATTTTATCTTTAAATGAGGCAGAACAAACACAAGTCATCAAATATAATTTCAATAATGAACCTTAGCATTTTACATTTGAATACTTCCCCAAATGGTTGCAATTTATTAATGTCAGATTAGAGGGCTCCATTCATTTTTCCTGTTCAGTAAAGAGACAGTTAATGAATGATGGTGACTTGGTCAGGCTTCTACTGAATGAGTCTGGGAGTGTGTAGCCTCAGTGTGAAGGGAGGCAACTAATGCCAGAAGACTATTGACATGTTTTTCATCCATGTAGAATATGTCTCCTTATACAACTTTTGGCTAATGAGATGGTAATTATGTCATCAAGAGCTCTATAGAAAACACTGGGCTTTATGCCTGTATCTCTAAGTGCCATTCCATGAAATAATGCATGACTTTCTAATTTCTTTACTTTTCTTGTTATAGCTACATTGTTTTAGAGAGATTTCCATAGCAAATGAAGAAAAATGTGGTAAGACTTTGTGCCCATTTTGAAAATTTGGATAATGAAGAAGAGCGCAGAAAGAAAATACCTGCCAATCATCATTAGAAGGGAGCACGCTCACTTCTAATTGATGTTAACTCTGGAAGGGACTGGAAAAGACAAAAGAGTAGAAGGGAGAGATGCTGTTTTATGTTTTCAAAATACAGAATGGAAGTAAAAACATAGTTCAATTTGATTTTCTTTTCAGAAAATGCAACCATATTCAAGTATCAAGCTGCTTTAATTTGGCAATTTTAGGTTGTAAACAACTATCCCAGTGCATTAAGAAACTGACTACGTATTTCCATTTCCCCATCTAATGTGTTTCTCTTCTTAAATGTAATTTTTCATTGTTATCAATGTGATACATGTACAAAGGGGTATAAATTGTATTACGAGGCTGATAATAAAAAACAGCAATAACCCAACTTACCTCTTTCTGATAATTCTTGTTCCAAGAAAGCAATAGCTTTCAGTGTTTTAACCTATTTATCCTGGCATTTACCCCGTATTTCTTAATAACATTTATAGAAATATTTCTTGTTTATCAGCTTTAGTTACTAAGAAAAACTTTTTTACAGAAAAATAAAAGTAGGTTATTTAACTCTCTTTTCTTCTTTCATTTAGGTAGATAGCATCATAAAAATGATGTATGTAGTATATCATATAGTAATATCAAAAATTATTAATATTTACTTAAGTGATTCCCCTTAAAATATATATATATTATTCTAAACATTTTGTATATTTTTCCCCCTTACAATCCTCATAAAGTCCTTGTAAAGGAAGTATTATTATTACTGTTTTTAGAGAGGAGGCAAATAGTTTCAGAGATATTAACTTCCTTTTAATGATGTATCTAATACTTGGAAGAGTTGAGATTCAAATCCAGATTTTTCCCATTCAATGTCTATACTTCTAAAAACTAGGTAAAGGCCAGGCACGGTGCCTCAGTCCTGTAATCCCAGCACTTTGGGAGGCCAAGGTGGGTGGATCATTTGAGGTCAGGAGTTCGAGACCAGCCTGGTCAATATGGTGAAACCCCATCTCTACTAAAACTACAAAAATTAGTTGGGTGTGGTGGCAGGCACCTATAATCCCAGCTACTTGGGGGGCTGAGGCAGGAAAATCTCTTGAACCAGGGAGGTAGAGGCTGCAGTGAGCCAAGGTCTGCTTAATTGAGTGGTAATTTTGGAAATAGTCTTTTATTATTATTATTATTATTATTATTATTATACTTTAAGTTTTAGGGTACATGTGCACAATGTACAGGTTAGTTACATATGTATACATGTGCCATGCTGGTGTGCCACACCCATGAACTCGTCATTTAGCATTAGGTATATCTCCTAATGCTATCCCTCCCGCCTCCCCCCACCCCACAATAGTCCCCAGAGTGTGATGTTCCCCTTCCTGTGTCCATGTGTTCTCATTGTTCAGTTCCCATCTGTGAGTGAGAACATGCAGTGTTTGGTTTTTTGTCCTTGCGATAGTTTACTGAGAATGATGATTTCCAATTTCATCCATGTCCCTACAAAGGACATGAATGCATCATTTTTTATGGTTGCATAGTATTCCATGGTGTATATGTGCCACATTTTCTTAATCCAGTCTATCATTGTTGGACATTTGGGTTGGTTCCAAGTCTTTGCTATTGTGAATAGTGCTGCAATAAACATACGTGTGCATGTGTCTTTATAGCAGCATGATTTCTAGTCCTTTGGGTATATACCCAGTAATAGGATGGCTGGGTCAAATGGTATTTCTAGTTCTAGATCCCTGAGGAATCGCCACACTGACTTCCACAATGGTTGAACTAGTTTACAGTCCCACCAACAGTATAAAAGTGTTCCTATTTCTCCACATCCTCTCCAGCACCTGTTGTTTCCTGACTTTTTAATGATTGCCATTCTAACTGGTGTGAGATGGTATCTCATTGTGGTTTTGATTTGCATTTCTCTGATGGCCAGTGATGATGAGCATTTTTTCATGTGTCTTTTGGCTGCATAAATGTCTTCTTTTGAGAAGTGTCTGTTCATATCCTTCGCCCACTTTTTGATGGGGTTGTTTGTTTTTTTCTTGTAAATTTGTTTGAGTTCATTGTAGATTCTGGATATTAGCCCTTTGTCAGATGAGTAGGTTGCAAAAATTTTCTCCCGTTTTGTAGGTTGCCTGTTCACTCTGACGGTAGTTTCTTTTGCTGTGCAGAAGCTCTTTAGTTTAATTAGATCCCATTTGTCAATTTTGGCTTTTGTTGGCATTGTTTTTGGTGTTTTAGACATGAAGTCCTTGCCCATGCCTATGTCCTGAATGGTAATGCCTAGGTTTTCTTCTAGGGTTTTTATGGTTTTAGATCTAACATTTAAGTCTTTAATCCATCTTGAATTAATTTTTGTATAAGGTATAAGGAAGAGATCCAGTTTCAGCTTTCTACATATGGCTAACCAGTTTTCCCAGCACCATTTATTAAATAGGGAATCCTTTCCCCATTGCTTGTTTTTCTCAGGTTTGTCAAAGATCACAAATCACTGGTAGAAAAACATTTTCATTTACGGGTCATTTTAAATTTTTATCTGGGTAAATCTACATCTACGTGTAATTCTCTTGTAATTAGTCCCTTTTCAGGAGAAGCTCAGAAATATTCTCTCAACAATAGCACAGCAGGTAGAAGAAACTGGTTCCCTTGAGTTTTTTTAAGCAGTGCCTCCAGAGTTTTGTTTGTTTTTTTAAATTTTTTTTGTGTGTTGTTTTAATTTTAGCCAGCCAAATCTATTTTTTCTAGTATGGATATGAGAAAATATTTTGAAATTGCAAAGCTATAATTTTCACATCTTTAAAAATATGCCATATTATGAAAATATTCTGGGAAAAGGGAAAACTAAGAAGTCAACAAATTAAAAGGTAATATGCTAAGGAAATGATCTAATAAAAAGTCTTTCCAACTAAGTATTGAGAAGTTCACATGATGTTTGTCAGAAATCTAGATCTGAATCAACCTCACTTACATGTATGACCTTAAGCTTCTCATTTAGTATCACTTATTCTCAGTTAAAGTGACTATTTTGCAAGGTTCTATTTACATTAAAGTTGACAGTGGTTTTAAAAGTGTTTTGTAAGTACACTGTTTAGTACTTGTTAAGTACTTAAAAATGATAGTCATTTATTTGCAATGTAGTTTTATACATAATTACTATTAAAATTTCTTGCTATTAGATCACAGGCACTTTTATGAAACTAATGAGGCAGGTAAAATCTCTATTCTTCATTTTGCTTCCTTTAACTCTTGCTCCTTCAAAGAAGGCCCCCATTTGCTTTAATTCCTGTGAAATTTCACAGAACTAAAGGTAGTTAAATTTTGGGATGCTTCCTAATGCTTCTTTAAGACTAACTGCCACCCTTGAGAATATATTAAGCAATAGTACGTGCATTGGCCAACAGAAAACACCATTGACCAGGTTCTGGGAAATTAACATGATTTCCTCTTCCAAAATAAATGATTGTTCTGTGATCAACCCTACACTGAACTGATTTCAGGGCCCTTCATTGGCAGACAGTTACTTCTTAAATACTATTTGTTGTGTTAGCTACACTCAGTTTATTTACAATTTGCACCTGAAGTTCAGTGAATAATCAGCTATGTTTTATGAACATGACAACAGACATGCTAATTGACATATTTACAATAATCAAATCCTAAAATATTAATGTTGAATGGTGGTTCATGCCCACCCCCTGAATTATGCAAATTAGAAAGCATAGGCTTAGAAAAAGAAAGTAACTTCTTCTGAAATCACCTAACATTAGTTACAAGGCAAACGTCATTGTCAAGAACTGCAAGGGGTTCGGAATTTATCTCTCTTTGTCAGCTGACAGTTGTAGGTAAACCACAGTTTTATAAATGCTGACAGAAAACTTGAGACTCCTGGGTCGGAGACAAAGGACTTTGTTACTCATAGCATTCACTGCAGGTAGAATGAGACTCATGTTTGCAATGATCACCCTTACTCTCTCAAGTCCCAAGGGGTGATGCAGAAGCAATCCCAGGTAGATTCTCTGTACACAGTGGGTTTGTGGTCAGATGTGGTACGGATGAGTAACCCTTAACTTAGAAAAACCCAGTCTTTTAAAAGGGGCTGCTAGAGAACCTGCCCAAACTTAGTTCCAGTGTTAGGTTAACTTGGAGGCTTCCCTTTAAAATACTTAGAAGCTGCCCAAACTTAGATCCATATTCATATTGTGAACTAGTTAAAGTATAGTCTAATAATTACAATTTATTAGAAGAGGCTTTTTTTTCATCCAGAGTCAATTTCTAAGGGAGATTAGTTTCCTTTTTGCTATAGTTGACAAAGAATGAAACCAGTACTAAGGTATGCTTTAATCAAGAATGTACCATTTTGCAGGACGTAGCTTAATACTTGTGTCTAGAAATCTGACTCTCCACCATACACAGAGCCCAAGGCCTTTTCTCCTGTGTCCTACCTGGCCATTAATATTTGTTACTAATGGGTGCCTAAGGCAGACTATAGTTTAGTGTTGAGTTTTCAGCTTCCTATTCCCTTCTGTCTGCATTACATTTACTTTATAAATAAAAAATTATTTATGTTTGAGATACTATTGCAAGGTGTTTGCAAAGAAGTTCTTTTTTTTTTATAATTTCTATTCTGCCAGTAGCCCTATTATAAATAGAAGGCCTCCATTATTTCTTATTTGTCTCCTGTGTTAGTCTATTTGCATTACTATAAAGGAGTTTCTGAAACCAGGTAATTTATAAAGAAAAGAGGTTTATTTGGGCTCACAGTTCTCCAAGCTGCACAGGAAGCATTGTGCTGGCATCTGCTCCTGGTGATGGCCTCAGGAGGCTTACAATCATGGCAGAAGGCCAAGGGAAAACAGCAGGTTGCGTTGCAAAAAGAAGGAGTAAGAGACAGAGAGAGGAGGTGCCAGGTGCTTTAAACATCCAGATCTCATGTGAATTCATAGAGTAAGAACCCACTAATTACGTTAAGACAGCACCAAGCCATTCATGAAGGAATCTCCCCTATGACTCAAATATCTCCTACTATGTCTATCTCCAACATTGGAGGTAATGTTTCATGAGGGGATTTGGAGGGATCAAAACATCCAAACCATATCATCTCCAGACATATAGATTATGTATGTATTCAGGCATAGTGGATTGTTTGTTGTTCCCAAACCATAGTCTAAGTTTCTGTTTATCCCTCCCTTTGAGTGTGTATTCAATTTACTGGAAAGTCCTCCTTATTCTATTAGTTATTTTCCATTAATCTTTCAAAATCCATTGCAGATGCCTACCTTCAAGGGAGACTATATAATCCTCCACATAAATATGGTATTGCCTTACATTGAAATAAAATTTTGGCTGGTGATATGGATGTTTTAGCACTTATTTTCTCCAGTAACCATCAGGAGATGGTAACATTATTAATATTATTGTAATAATATTAATAATTTAGTAACAGTATTAATATTATGAAAAATATCAATAATATCATCACCCATAGTTTGAGTCAGGGACAGGACTTTCTACTTTGCATGTATTTCCCTAATGCTGGAAGTTATCTTTCAAAGTCAATGTTTTGATCCTTATTTTAAAGCTGAGGTAATTATACCTGTTAGAAATTAATTAATAATCTAGAATTTACACAACTGGTGAGTTCCGGAAAGTGAATACAAATCCACATCTTTTCATCCAAAACCCATGTTAATCCAACTGTAAATGCTGCAAGAAATTAATTATATAAATATTATTTCTGCAGCGTATGAAATGTATAAATGCCTGGTTTAAGTTAGGGCCTTAGACTATGTGTTTTGCTTTCCAAGCTTCATAAAGAGTATACCAGTTTGGAAAATTTTGATGTAAGTTTAAACAACATTATTATGGTACACTCAACTGATAATGCAAATAGAGCACCTAACACATCATATTTATCTATAATTCATTTTAGAATTGATGTGAGAACAAACACAACTATGACAAAATAATTTGCATAATATGTTGTCATCAAAGAAAAACATGCATCCTAGGTTAACTTTGAAGATTCTATTTAATATACTGCTTGCATTATTTCTTATATTCTCTATTAAGTTCATGGAAACTCTGCTGGTACATATGTGGGAATAAAGAAAATTGAATCACATATCATAGGCATCCCTGGACAGGTTTCAGAATGGAACTGGAAAATATCACTAAGGTAAATTTTCTAAGCCAGGAGGCCACAAAAGTATATTAGTCTTTGACTGAGGTCCTGATGACAGTACAATTTAAAATATAAATCAAATTAGCTTTGTGAGTGTTCACTATCACTAAACAAAAATAAACACACAATAGAAGTAAAAAAGGGACAGAAGCAAAAATGAAAATGAAAGACAGCTTCCCCAAATATAATGATATCTGCATCAACTCCTAATATTAAATAGATAATGCTGATTATGTGATGTTAAGTAAAGCAACAACCACAACAAAGATTTAAATAAAACACCTCCTTAATTTTAAATTGGATGAGTAATTATTCATCTTTCCCTTCTATCTCTGCCTTCCTCATGTCCGTTTACAGGTTTATCACTTTATCTATCTGATTTTCTCTCCATCAAGCAAGTGGCATCTGCTGCCTATCTCCATGAGTAGAATCCCAAACACTTCTGTCCCACTGCATCTTGTTATTCAGTATTAAAGTCGCTGAGAAAAACACAATGCAATCAAGCACTGAATGGATCATTTTAATCACATAGAAAAGGTACAGTCCAAGGTCAGCTTCACAGTGGGCTTTGATCCCCCATGGCCAGTGGGTCCCTCCTGGCAACTGACACTGGGCCATTGGCCTGCAGGAATCTTTCTTGTGCTTCAGAGTAAAGGAACCTGCCTCTCCCCTCAGGGGACAGGTGTAACAGCAGGGGTTGGTCAGCTTCTATGTGATGCACACGCTTAAGCAAAACAACGGAGTACACATTGCATTTGAAACAGGAAGAGATACTCCCATACAAGGTGACAGGTCCAGCACAGGCTGTAAAGACTCCCTGTCTCTTGGTAAGAGAGCGTTCCAGGCCCAAGTCCTATTTTAATGCTTCTGAGTCAGGGCTGAAAGACTGCATGTAGGAGGCTGCTTTTCCCAATGCCCTCCGTCTCTGTCCATCTGTCCATCTACATATCACACAGGCATCATTATTCACATAGAATCAACTTCAGGTGTAGGTTATTTTTGGTACTCTCCTCTGTCTTCCACAATTTGTGCAAAGAGCCTCTGCTTATCATTAACACAAATGGTTGTATAAAAGGCTAATTAGACAAAATAATAGTATTAGAAGGGAAATCCCTCAACAGTAATGTCATTGTTTCTCCATTCTAATATACATTTCTTCATGGACTAGATAACCCCCATGTGTGCTCACATAGTCAAGCTTCCATTGTACTCACACCTTCATTAATGGTGAAGGAACTGATTAGAAGAAGATTGGATACGCTGATGGAATATCTGTAACAGACTTGCTGAGGTCCACAAGTCATGGGAGGAAGCTTTTCTCATCTATGGGGTAGCTAATAGTTTCCCATTTAGAACATAATGGCTGCACTAAAACCCTAAAAATATTTCTTTCAGGCATAACTAGTTTTCCTTTAGAGAAATCATCTAATGTTCAGTTCTAGCAGGCCCAGGCTAAACAGATAGTAGGCCAAGCCTGGTAATTCTCTAGAGTTGATGTAATTACAGCGAGAACGGTGCTTTTTACTTTGGTAAAATTAGCAAGAGTGGGATTGGTGACATGATTGGCATTCTCTGTCTTCAGCCAGTGACCTTTTTAGGTGCCTGTGAGATATATGAAAGGTATATCTTCAGAAGGTAACCATATGTTATGTATTGAGTTTATCCAAATAGGACATGTTTAGTGAAATAGAGAAAACAGATATTACAAGGGATAAATTTGACAAAGTCAGTGCTTTGTTGTGATATTATTTGGTGTAATACAATCTGCAGAATTTTCAGGGTTATGTATTTATTACATTCTTGCAACTGTCTCATCAACTGGGGAATTAGATTATGACTTAAATTTGACCAAGTGGCATAATAAGATGTTGTTCCAGAGATCAGAGAAGCTACTCTGGGGAAGTAGATGAGAATCATTCATGAAACAGGTCAGGGCATTCTGTCATATGCCAGACCCAGCACAGCACTGCAGTATGTATGCAAGGAAACAATTCTGTTGATTTCTGTCCAAGTATGACTTTTCTTCTTTGATGTCATCACACTAGTTTCTATTGTTTAACCTAATGCTCAAAGTCAAGCTTGAGGATAGCAAGTACTGTTTAGCCTTGAGGGTAAGATGGAGAGTCTGAAACAAGACTGTGAGGAGCCCCACACCCCCAAACATAATATGTAAAGTACTGGGTATACGACGGTAGAGAGGCTTGAATGCTTGTGGTGATTTTCTGTAAGATGCCTGCATTAATTTATCCATACCTACAACGGGACTGGTTATAAAGGGATTATGGACACAGAGTTTGCCTAGGAAAGTGACAGTCTTAAGAATTTTCACAATCTTGTTTTCACCCCATCTGGTGCTAAAGGGAAAGGGAAGGGGATACCATATAGAATATCACAGCTATCTAAATTAGTGGTTACAACACTAACAACAATAATCATCACAGTGACCCTATCTGCTACGGCAAAACACTACCAGGAGCTTTCCTAAGAATATTTTTCTTAATCCTAACAATTACTGTATGAGACATATTATTTTCACCATTTTGCAGATAGCAAACCAGATAGCACTTGTAAAGAAAAACGAGAGGTTTATTGCAAACTTCTTTTCAATTCACGGTGAAATGGAGGAACAGAAATGTTAAATAACTTACAACTCCAGGGAAAGTGGTTAGCTGACTCTAAGAAAAGAGTATAGCCCCATTTACACCATTTAATATTTCTCTGCAAAATGAGTGCCGGTTATATGATCTTAAAAGCTGGTGCCTGGCTCTGTGAATTCACTGGACAGAATCTCATTATCCCTTCCATCCCTTACAATATTTTGCATGTAACTTTCACTAAAGGGCTGTTGAATTAAAATGCATTGCGACATGTAAAGTATTCTGAGGTTTCCTCTGATGCCAGGTGCATATTCTGTGCTTTGGGATCTGGTATTGAACTTTAGACCTTATCTCCTAATTCGAGATAAAGGATGGATGGTACTATTGTAGTATCTACAATTTGTAATTAGTTAAAGAGGACTCTACTTTCCACACAACTTAAAAAGTTCTGTCATTTTGAAAAAAAAATGAAAACTTTGTTTTTATAATGGAAGAAACAGATATTTTTGTGAAAAGTCCCAGGTAATGTAACAATGAATCTCAAAGTTAGTGGCATCTTGGCGACCATGGTATAGATCCTATTAATTTCAGAGATAAAGGAACTAAAACTGAAAGAGATAGCATGCCTTGTTCAAGTTAATAGACCTTACCAGAAAAAGCAAAAAAGGAAACAGACATTAATTCACTAAATGACTCATGAATTCATTCAGTAAACATTAACTGAGTATATCTATAGTGTCCAGAAAAGTGCTTTGCCTATGGAGATAGAAAAGAGCAGTGGAGACTATACTATAGGAAATGAAGGGGTGGACATAGTACAAACTGTTGTGTGCTTTAACAGAGTAGAGTACTAGCACATCAGTGTCTCACAAACCTGAGTGTCCTGACTCTCCGACTTTAGCTCTGCCCAATAAATTATCTCATGTGCACACTGCATCTGAATGTGACTCCTCATAATTTTTTGCTTTCATAGGATATAATTCATAAAGAAAATGACCTTTATTCAGAACGTTTTATGTGACAGGCACTGTGGTACATACCTCACATATATTGTAGTTTATTTTTATGGGGAAGGTTTCCAATGATGTAAAAATATATTAAGTATATTTAATAGAAAAGGTATAAGAAAACAAAGACTCATGTACCCAGTATGCTTTTATTAAAAGAGACAAAGTGTATCATTAAAACTGTTAAAATACCTCTGTCCCTCTCTGATTCACTCCTTCTCTAGTACCCAGATAGCACCACGAGCCTGAACTTTAAAAATAAGATTTTTAATTTCATTTTTAGTTTGACAATATATGTACATATCAGCAGCATGTATGTATTTATACATAGGTATTTTAATGGTTTTGAAATTTAGAATTAAAAAAGATATAATGTATCTACCCTTCTGTAAATGTATGAGATTCACCTATGATGATATAGGTAATTCTAGTTCATTCCTTTTCAATTATTTATTCCACAAAATAATTCCAAATATTTTATATATATATATATATATATATATGGTTGGGGCAAAAGTAATTGCAGTTTCAGACTGTGAATTTTAAATCATTATAACTAGGCTAAAACACATCTTTATTAATCAAAATAGGAACCATAACAATCAATACATTTTTTGCCAATGAGAAATAGGTATGTTTATTCCGATAGCATAAAAATCCATGCTTTGGGATTCGACAAAATCTTGGAAAGCATTTTCTGCATCCTGCTGCTTGTGGAAGCATTTTCCCTGCAAAAAGTTGTCAAGATGCTTTAAGACGTGGTAGTCGGTTGGCAAGAGGCCAGGTGAATATGTTGGATGAGTCAACACTTTGTAGCCCAATACATTCAACTTTTGAAGCATTGGTTGTGTGACATGTGGTCAGGCGTTGTCATGGAAAAGAACTGGGCCCTTTCTGTTGACCAATGCTGGCTTCAGGCATTGCAGTATTCAGTGCGTCTCATTGATTTGCTGAGCATCATTCTCAGGTGTAATGATTTTGTTGGGATTCAGAAAGCTGTAGTGGATCAGGCTGGCAGCAGACCACCAAATGGTGGCCATGACCTTTTCTGGTGCAAGTTTGGCCTTGGGAAGTGCTTTGAAGCTTCTTCTCAGTCCAACCACTGAGCTGGTTGATTGTCATATAAAATCCACTTTTTGTCACATGTCACAATCCAGTTGAGAAACGGTTCATTGTTGTTGCATAGAATAAGAGAAGACAACACTTCAAAACAACTTTTTTTATTTTCACTCAACTCATGAGGCACCCACTTATCAGGCTTTTTTGCCTTTCCAATTTGCTTCAAATGCCAAAGGACCATAGAATGTTTGATGTCGAGTTCTTCAGCAAGTTCTCATCTAGTTGTAAGAGGATCAGCTTCGATGATTGCTCTCAACTGGTCTCAGTTGGTCATTGTCAACTTCCGATGGCCAGCTACTACACTCCTCACCTTCAAGGCTCTCATCTCCTTTGCAAAACTTGAAACATCACCACACTGTGCATTCGCTAGCACTTCCTGGGCCAAATGCGTTGTTGATGTTGCCAGTTGTCTCCGCTGCTTTATGACCCATTTTGAACTCAAATAAGAAAATCTCTCAAGTTTGCTTTTTGTCTAACATCATTTCCACAGTCTAAAATAAACATAAAATAAACAGCAGGTAATAAGTCATTAGCAAAAAAAAAGTGAAAAATGCCCATTAAAATGATGTATAACATAACCAAATTTAAGAATATGTTCCAATATCGATTGGCAAATTGCAACAATGCAAAAACTGCAATTATGTTTGCACCAACCATGGATTATGTATATATACAGGCACTCAAACATATTCATTGTCCTTTCAATTGACATGCTTACGCTGTTTGGAAAGCATATCTTACCCCCCAGAAAATCTGTTTAGAACATTCTTGAGAACTTCTACATATAAAAGAGTGTAATTGGATTCTTTGTAACTCAAAGGATAAGTGCTTGAGGGCATGGATACCCGATTCTGTATGATGTGATTACTAATACCTAGTATTTGGTAGCACAACAGGGTGATTATACTCAAAAGAATTTAATTGTACATTTTAAAATAACTAAAAGAGCATAATTGGATTGTTTGTAACACAAAGGATGAATGCTTGAGGGGATGGATACCCCATTTCCCATGATGAGATTATTACACATTGCATGTCTATATCAAAACATCTCATCTACCACATAAATATATACAATTACTCTGTGCCCACAATAATTTAAAATTTAAAATAAAAGAAAAATTCTACATGGTCACATGTGCAAGTGTTACTTAAGAGTATATTTATTAACATAAATGTGGACCTCAGGGTAATTTACATATAAATACATATGTGTATGTGTACATACGTGTGTGTGTGTGTGTGTGTGTGTGTGTGTGTGTATAAAGTTTGGATAGGCTAGTAGGTATAACAAGATAGAACCCAAATATACAGTTGTTAATTGCGCCAGCACTGCAATAAGTGTTTATTTCTCACTCACTTATGCATGCTAAGTGGTTTCCAGGCGGGGCAGAGTTTTCAAGTTCATAATAGCATTACCTGAGAATAATCTAAGTGGTCATTTTCTCTAGAAGTTCTTGCTAAACCTCGATTTTCTCATTTCCCAAGTGGTCAAGGCTTTCCTTCTCTGTGCTCCCACAGAGTCCTGTAATCAACCTCATATGTCAATATTTTTTTTTATTTTTGAGATGGAGTCTCGCTCTGTTGCCCAGGCTAGAGTGCGTGATCTTGGCTCACTACATCCTCCACCTCCTGGGTTCAAGTGATTCTCCTGCCTCAGCCCCTTGAGTAGCTGGGACTACAGGCAGGTGCCACCATGCCCAGTGAGTTTTTGTATTTTCAGTACAGATGGGGTTTCATCATGTTGGCCAGGCTTGTCTCGAACTCCTGACCTCAAGTAATCTGCTCACCTTGACCTCGCAAAGTGCTGGGATTACAGGCGTGAGCCACCGTGCCCTGCCCATATGTCAATTTTGACAGCGTTTCATTGCCTTCCGCTCATCAGAGAGAGGAGTCAATTATCCTGTGGGGCCTTCAGGGGGCATACAAAGCACAGATGACCAAAAATCCCTCTTCTGTTACTGAAAGATGCTGGACATTTTATCATTGAGATCCTGCCATTTATTTAAAGGTTTATTTTTTATCATGTCTAAATATAAATACTTTTGGGTGTAAGCATATTCTATCACCATTGATTTATATATAACATACTAAAAAAGCAGAAACTAGAAAACTAAAAAAAAGGATTATATTATATATAATATAATATATGTTAGATATAAGTATATATATTATAATACATAATATGTAATATATACATATATAACATATATATTCTCTTAAATAAAAATATATAGGTGTGTATATATTTATATTTATTTACATATAAGTATATATTTATTTATATATATATTCCCTATTCCAAGGTATGTATCCACACACACGTTTATATAAAGAGAGAGAGAACCTAATATATGTATTTATATTTATTTTTAGATATATTTATATTTATTAGGATATTTATATTTATTTAGATATAAAAAATAAATTATATTTATATATATATATTTCCTGTTCCAGGGTATGTATCTCTTTGTGTAGTTTTCAGTGAAATCCAGCCCAATGAAGTAGAGATTAATTTCTTTATTTTAAAATTGAGGAAAACAGTTTTAGTGACTGGATGGCCTCCATAAGGTCATATAATTAAATAATCAGGACTTGCATCTGTGTTCTTCTGATTGCAAAACTCCCTGTTCTTTCTGGCTTCATGGTGCTGCCTTAGGTATCATCGTTTCTAAGGAGAATGTTTTCCTCAGTAAACCTGTTGCCACCATCATAAATATATGTGTGTGTGTGTGTGTGTGTGTGTGTGTGTGTGTGTGTGTGTGTGTGTATGAAATATATGTGTTTGTGTATGCATATATGAATACATACACATATACACAAAAACACACATACACATATATTTCTAAATTCCAATGAGAGAGAATATAACTAATTAAATTTTTTAAAATATTTACATATATGCTTACACGTGAGTGGTGCATGTTTATATACATATATGTGCATTTGTGTGAGAGCACTCATAAGTCCCATGAACAAATCTGGCATTTTCTGTTACATTTTCTGCAACCATAATGCCATTTCCCCCAGATTTTATATATCCTGTTTGTCTTCTTGTTTTCAAAATACTCCTGTTAATTATCACATAATACTACTTCTCTTAAATAAAAATAAGTTGTTTTCTCCAGCTTCATGCCTGGGATATATTTCCAGTCAATGTAAATGTGTGTGTCTGTGTGTGTGTGTGTCTATGCATCTACTAGGGAAACAATAACATCATGTGGAATAAATAAGTCATTGGCTCAGGAGTAAGAAACCAGGATTCATTTCTGGCTCTGCTACCAACAAATTTTGTTATCGTCTAAAAATTGCAGACACTAAAATGTATTTCTTTGATTAGCTTTTCTGAAGAGTAAAAGGTTAGATAAGGTTAGGTTTTATAAAGTTAGATCTTTGGGTTCTAACCTTAAAAAAATCAGCGAAATTTAGTGGTTAAGTGCACAAACTCAAGACACAGAACACTCCTACTGTCATTGTTACCTCGGGAAAATTAATCTGTCTATGTATCTTTCTGGTCGTATATGTTCTCATCTGCAAAATGTTTATATTAGTAGTAAGAATTTCAGTGAATTGTTATAATTAAATTATTTAATTCATTTAGTAGCTTAGAAAGTGCCTTACAAATTATTAATGATTAACAAATGTTAGTCAATTATATTCTCTAAAATAGTCCATCAATGTGATACAAAAAATAGTTCATAATCTAGTTTGGGATAGATTTAAAAAGTCATGGTATGTCCTTTATTAAATAAAGAAAGATTAGCCCAAAAGGAAAAACATGCATAGGACAGTTATGAATATGTGTAATTTGATTTTATTTAAAAAGGAAACGTACGCAAAAGCAGAAGAGAAAATGGCTTGCCTGGTTCCACAGCAAATAAGCAGTAAGTGATTTTACAATTTCCCTCCTGCCATTGGGAAAGTTGTTGGCTCTCACCATCCACTATCTTGTTGCTGACATCTCCCTCATCTTAAATTGCACATTATGGGGGCCACTCTCTGGCTCTCCAAGGAATGAACAAATTGCCTTCTGTTTATTTCCTCCATCAATCAGGTAGAGTAATAGGCTCTTTCCTCAAACCCCAGAAATGTATCCAGCTCAATTCAAGCCCTAGTGGTTGGAAAGTGTCCAAAATTAAAGTACATAAGATTCGAAGACCAGAATTTATAAAAAGTAATTGTGCCCACTTAGAAATGTTAATTATGGTCTGTCTTTCTGACTTCTAGCAAAACCTAATTGTTCTTCTGTGGAACAGTGAGAAATCCATCAGAGTGGAGATAAAAAGTCTTAGCCTTTTGCCGTTTCTGGAACAGCTGGGACGGTATGATATCTAAAATATCCTGCTCCACTTCTTTAATTTACTCATATATGAAATAATAATAATAATCCTCAGCATTGCACTCAACGCCTTCTAAGGCTGTGCTACTCAACTCTTTTTGTCTCTGTATTTTATCCTTTTATTCTCATCTCTTACCACACCCGTTTCCTAGTCCCAGTAAACTCCCTGGAATCCCATATATCTTCGTGTTGAAGAAAACACACACAGAATTTCTTTGGATGGCCTATTTGAACCTTTCTCTCATCTAACTTCCTAATTTCTAGGCATTTTTGAACACCTACGACAGATGCCATACATCTCCATGAATCTTGCTAAAATCCCTGCGTTAGAATTGCTTAGCAATGTTTTTGTGCCTTTACAGAAAGGCACAATCAGACACAGCCTAGTTCATGCCATGTAATTTTATGGCAATCTGTGTGATATGGTTTGGCTCTGTGACCCCACCCAAATCTCATCTTGAATTGTCATCCCCACATGTTGGAGGAGGAATCTGGAGGAAGGTGATTGGATCATGGGGGCAGTTCCCTCCATGCTGTTCTTGTGATAGTGAGTTCTCATCAGATCTGATGGTTTAAAAGTGTGTGGCAGTTTCCCCCCCAACCCTGTCCTGCCGCCATACTTACCCTTCACCTTCTGCCACTATTGTAAGTTTCCTGAGGCCGCCCCAGCCATGGGGAACTGTGACTCAACTAAACCTTTTTTATTTTAGTATAAATTACCCAGTCTCAGGTAGCTCTTTGTATCAGTGTAAAAACTGACTAGTACACTATGCATTATTATTCATTGTTTGTACATACCCCAGACACCCACTCATCTACATATAACTTGGACCACATCTTATTCATCTTAATGCCCAGCATAGACAGCATTATAATAGATACACTGGTTTAATAACTTTTTGATGAATGAATGAGTTTATAAATTAAACTCAATTCTCTATAGGTGGAATGAGAAAGTGGGACTCTGAAGTTCACCTCAACTATAAAAAAAATCCATTTAACTTTGCAAATGCATCTATTCAATGTTAACGAAGACAACAAAGAGTGATTATTTTACTTATTTTTTAAGTAATGAACAAAATTGAGCAGCACATGGGTCACCTGGTAAATAGAAACTTTGCTTTGACAGAGATGAAGATGTAGATAATTAGATAAATGAAAGGGATTTGGAGAGGATTAGTTACTAGGGTAACCCAGGAGCAAGATATTATGATAATCTAAAACCAGGCAAATTTAAAAAGTGAAGACAATTATAACATGCTGAGCCAATTTTCTTATTAGTGAAAGAGGAAAATTTATTCTTCTGAATCAGCAAATATATGTGCCCAATTAGCTGAAAGCACAAAGTTAAACAAATGGGAAAATTCCTCAAGTAAATAGTTTAAGTTGACATATATGTATTTCTTAATAAACAGTTACAGTTTCAGTTCAAGTTGCTGAACAAAAACTAGAATATTCAAAATGTTAATCGCAGTAAGAAACAGAGATTTGCATATAATAGTTAGGAAACAGTTCTTGTCTTTTTTTCATGTAAATGAGAGCCTTTATGACAGTCCCAGAGCTGACTTGCTCTAGTATCTTATTTTCCATAAAAATAGGAATTGCCAGATTTGACAGTCTATCTTGTCACATCATAGGTCTTAATTTGATGATTATAAAGAGGTGTCAAAAGACAAAATTACAACTAATTTAGTTTAAAGAACTAATTAGCTTTTATTTGCAATTCTAAAATCAGGTAATATGTCATGCTTAAAAATAGAATAAATGTTCTGCTGCGTGTGATCAAACATTTGGTTTTTATAAGATGAGAATAAGGGAAAAGAACAATAAATAAAGTGGATTCATTTATATCAGGCTATTATAGTTTACTAATAATTGTTAAAACAGAGGGAAAATTTGTAGTATGCTGACTCAGGTACACTGGCTCTTTCTGATCGATTGCCATGAATCTGTTTTCAGAAAATAAACCTGATCTATTTGATTATTTACCTGTTTCTTTAAATTTTCAAGTTGATTATGTGGCACGTAGCATGAGTAACTCCATTTTGGTTTGGTCTGATTTGCTGGGGCCTATTATATAAACTCATTCCAAAACAATGGCCTCTCATATTTTTATTTAACATTTCCCCGTGTTTAGTCAGGCCGTCACCTAAGTGCCAGTGTGACAAAAACTTAATATGTTATCACTACTCTCAGTTACCACCATTCTTGGTTTTTAGCCTCAACATATCATTCATAGGTCACAGTGTCCTTGTTATATGTCACTTTGAATTTTTGTTGATCTAGCCAAAGAAAGACCATTTGATGTTCAAAGAATGGCTGCATGCAGACATTTAAAACTTTTGAGAGAATACAGAATAACAGAGACTACTATTACGATTATCAGAAGACTAATACAGAGCTTGGAGAATGCACACTAGCCAGGGTTCCCATAAAACAAATCAACTAAAATGTAATAGATCAAAGAATAAACCAGATTAGAAATCTACCCATATTAGCCAAGTAGCTTATTGATTAATTTTTTGCAACTGAGTTTCTACAATGCCCAACTTACTTATATATGTGAATTAAGAAGTGTTAGCCACCTTACACCCCTTCCCTGTTCAGCCAGCAGGTAATTGAGAGCAATTCTCTTATCTAGTACAATTCTAACAAGAGAATTTAGAAAAGTCTGTTGTGCAACTATAGCTGTTGTAGTAGAGTTTGCTATAGAGGCTATTGTGAGAAATACATTTCTAATCCTTGACTCATTTGTACCTATTCCAAGCCATGGGAAAAGGTACCTGAAAAATAATGCTCATCCAGAAGGGTTAATGCTTCCTGGCAATATTCTTCTCAACTTATGTTGTAGGTTAAGGAGAGTGAACCAATATTCTGCTTCTGACGGATTACGGAGTGATGAAGGTACCATTAGAATTCTTAGCCCATACTGACCCTTCATTTGCCATTGGTCAAGTTTCCCAATGAAGCTAGGGATTTTGAAATTCTAACTACAGGGTTATTCTGACAAGTGAAAGAGGTATGCATAAGCAAAGAAAAGATTGAGAGTAGTTAGAGTCTCATTATGACGGAGAGTCTTGTTCCAATGACTTGGGAAAAGCTGCCCACAAAATGACATCATCAACTTCTTGCCTTTGTTTGCAATTTGAATGTCTCTGGTTATAATATTGGATATTTCTGTGAATTCTATGAGTGGCTCACACATCAGGTACAAGGGTTGTCCTTTGAAATTTACATTGACTTATCCATCTCTAGCTTATAAAGTTTCAAGGACAAAACAATTCCTGTTCCTTGTGATTCCAAGTCATGAAAGTAAAACAAACAAAAAAAATGGATTGGAGAAAACTGGAAGAATTCAGGATCCAGTCCAGTCTACAGGTAGATAATAAAAATTTAAAAACAATGAATAGAGTTAAAATCTAATAACAGGTATACTATAGTTTTCTTCTGAAACATCATTTTTCTTTTTCTAGTCATCCTCATTTCTACTCAAATCTAAGACAATCAGTAAGACTGATTGTTTGAAAAATAAGTTTAATCTCATCAAGCTTGTCCTGATTATTTAAGTAAGTGCAGACAGAATAGTGATTGACCACATGGGCTGTTTTTAAGTTTGCTTTGCTGGAATTTTGTATAAGTAATCCCTGATTAGAATTTTAAAAGTTTCTCAAGGTTAGAAAGCCAAACCACAGCAGATTTCAGACTTTGCCTGTAGTACCTATATATTAGAATGAATTCTTCTCTTTTTGAAGTTTCTGAAATATCCTGGGGTTCTTGGGCCTGCCAATAAGTGAAATTTTTGTATTCGCTGTAAGGCTGGGAACCCTTGAAGCCAGGTATCCTATTCACATTCTCAAATATGACATCCCAGTCAAAGCCTTGGTAATATAATCATAATTTATAGAAATATATGCTAATACAATTTTTCATGTTTATTAACAGATCCAAATATATTTAACTTATCTACACTGCATAAACACAAGATGCCTAAATATATAAACTTAAATGTATGTTTAGCAATTAAGATTTCAGCATTTTAACCTACTTAGAAATCACTCGGACATTTAATGAATATCTGTTACTTAACATAATATAAATTTAAAACTTTAAGTTACCAAAAAATATTTTTGAAACCATGAAAAGTTCATTTATAAACTTTTATCCCATTTACACTCATCTAATTTACTTGTTTTTAATAATTATGCTTGAGTTGCTCATGAAAATTTTTGTGAAACACTAACCATCACACCCAAACTTTCCCACAAACCCTCCTGTATATTTTGGAGCCATTCATCTTTCCAAGAAATTTATTTACCCTAAGGATATCTCTCTTCTTTACCCATGACCACTTTATCCACTCCAAAAGGAAACTGAATCGAGGGACCATTGCCTAGTTCTTGATTAACCTTCCTGAGTATTACCCTAAGTGATTGTTCGCTAGTTTATTCATTGTAGTCTGTGACTTTTTGCTTTTAAATTGAGCTTCATTTTCTCAACTGGATTACTGAGTTTAAAGAGGAGCCTATTAATAAATGGGAAAGGTATTTTCTATGCCTGAATTCAGCATAGATAGCTCTGAACTAGGGTGTGAACGTGGTGAAAGAAGAAAACTGTGTTTGCCTAAGGGTCTAGCTTTTATAAACACTTTATCTAGCTTTCTTTTTCCCTTTTGGGTGGAATGGTAACTAATTGAAAAGGTTTGCAGATTCAGTTTTTCTTATCAATTAATTCCTTTATCTTTTCATTTACCTTTTGTAAGAAATGTTTTGAAGAGGCAAAATTTTTTTGAAACCTTTTAAAAAGCTTTCGTACAGCAATTAAAATAGGTACCCCAGGGTGGACCTAATTTAAGAGTCCTTATTTTAAAACACATGCCTTAGATGAACAGTCTTGATCATTTGGAATGTCCTACATAATAGCCTTTGTAATTCTAAATTATCTCTGGTAAGATTTTGCCATTTTTGTAAGTGTTTGCAGCTTCTAGGGCCTAATACTTAACACATGTAAAGGGTAGGTGTAGCCAGAAGTTGGAGTACTCAGTTCTTTACATATTAAGAATTTTATTTTTACGTTGAATCTTGGGTCTCTTGGAGCCAAAATAAAAGACTAAAAAGAAAACACCATAGTGTTGGGTCCTGTAATGCTTTTACAGTGTTCTTTTATTGAACAGAAATTTTCTTGAGACCGGTAGGTGACCTGGTGTCACCTTTCCAGTTTCATGACCCAGCTTATCTTTTATTTTATTTTATTTTATTTTATTATTATACTTTAAGTTTTAGGGTACATGTGCACAATGTGCAGGTTAGTTACATATGTGTACATGTGACATGCCAGTGCGCTGCACCCACTAACTCGTCATCTAGCATTAGGTATATCTCCCAATGCTATCCCTCCCCCCTCCCGCCACCCCACAACAGTCCCCAGAGTGTGATGTTCCCCTTCCTGTGTCCATGTGTTCTCATTGTGCTTATCTTAACATGGGAGTCTTATTTTTAGTTGACTAGTGGTCTAACAGCTTTTATGTGCCTGACTCATGTCCACCACTCAAGTTATGTCTTGGCTCGAAGATTGCCTTTGACCAACTTAGCCAATAAGTTCCCCCTATGTAAACATGCAAAACAAAAACAAGAAAAGGAGAAAAGTCAAATTTTGTTAAATTTCTGAAATCTGGATTCACACATCTCATGCCTTCATAGCCACTTGATGGAACCGCTATCCATCACCTTTAATACTCCAGTGACTGTCAGTGACCCATCAATCACCATGCAAACCCCCAAAAAGTCATGTGCTCTTGGTACAACAAAACCATACACTCTCTCACAGCACAAATAAGTGGTGGATTCAAAAGCCAAAAATATCAGGGGGCTCAAGGCAAAGAGAGCAGAATTTGAACTCAAGAAGATTTCACAACCCTCAAGATTTGGGGAGGAATCCCCAAAAAGGCGGTCAGCAGTGCCTCACCTGCATTCCCCAGGGGGCCTCGGGGTCTCCTTGGAGTCCCTTCATAAGTTGCCAGACATTTTCAGAAGACAAAATTACAACGAATTTAGTTTAAACATCTCATTGGCTTTTATTTGCTATTCTGGAAGCAGGTAACACCTCATTCTAATAAATAGAATAAGTGCTTTGCCCAGCATGACAGAACAGTTGGATTTTGGAAGGTGGGAATAAGGAAAAAGAACAGTAAAAAAAGTGGATATGTTAACATCAAGTTACTACAGTTTACTTTTCTTGTAAGATTTACAGCAGAGGGAAATTTCTTACTATGCTGAATCAGGTAGATTGGGATCTTTCTGATTGATTGCTGCGAATCTTTGATTTTCAGAAAAACACTGGTCTGGGGAGTTACCTGCTTCCTTTAGGATTCAGTTAAATTATGTGGCACTTGACATGAGTAACTCCATTTTGGTTTTGTCTGGTCTGCTGGGGTCTGGTGCAAGACCTCAGTCCAAAACAATGGCCTCCCATAATTTTGTTTAACAGAAGTACCTCAATTTTACTTTCATCATAGTCTTCTTGATTACTATTGAGATTTACAGTCTCTTCATATATTCATTGTATATTTGCATCCCAATTCTGAATTGTGATGATATTTCTTTTTGTGTTTTTTTAGATTTGCTTCTCAACAACTTTAATTTACTACTCTTAAAGGTTTCATGGATTCTATTTTGGCTTTTGTAAAATATGTCAGTCTAATAGCATTTTTGTGTATGATTAATCTGGAAAAAAATAAATAATAATCTGGAAAAAACTGGCAACCATATTTTTTTTCCAAATCATTGCGTTATGAAATTCACTCTACTTTCTTTGTGCTGGTGCCAGTAAGGAGGTAGACAACAGACAGTGTGAAATATCTTTCCTCTCTGGTAGTTTCTAAGATCTCCATATTTTGTATTCTGAAGCTTTCCTAAAATATGTGAACTTATTTCTATTTATTACATATAATATATGGAATTCTTTATGCCTCCAAGTTCTGAAGATTCATGCCTCTATCCAATTCATGATATTTTTCTGCCATTATACATTGAAATATTGCTATTTTTGTTTTCTTTATTATCACATAGTTGTTGAGGGAGAAAAAAAATCTGTATTCCATCCCTGATTCTTTTCATATACATGGGATCCTATTGATATTTTGCGCCATCCTTTGTCTACCTCCTTACTGGCACTAGCACAAAGAAAGTAGAGTGAATTCCATGATGCAACAATTTGGAAAAAAAAAAGTATGGTTGACAGTTTTTTTTAAAGCTTTATTGAGGTATAATTAACAAGAGAAAATTGTACATATTTAAGATACACAATGTGCTGTTTTGATACAAGTATTACTTGTGAAATAATTCCACAATCAAGCTGATTAACGTATGCTTTACTTCACATAGTTACAAGTGTGTGTGTATGTGTGCACGCACTTGTGCGTGTGTATGGTGAGAACACTTAAAACCTATTCTCTTAGCAAATTTCAAGTATACAATAGAATATAATTAGTGACAGTCATCATGCTGTGCATTAGATTCCCAGAACATGTTCATCTTGTAACTGGAAGTTTTTATCTTTTGACCAACATCTCTCCGTCCCTGCCACGTCACTGCCTATGGTGTTCACTTCTTCACTAGTATCACTCTGGACCCATGGCTCTTCCTCTGACTCAGCTCAACCTTTTCACTTGCTTGCCCTAGAATGTTCTTCAGCTTTTGGCACAACTGGCTTCTGTTTATCCCTCAGATCTCTGCTCTTCTTATACAAATAATTTTTTCCTAGAACTTGTCATTAGTTAACATTCTATTTCAGTTATATTTATATTTTATCTTCCCATTAGATATTATGCCTTGTGTGGCAGGAGTTGATTTGCTTGTTTACTGATTTTTCCTTAGAATCTTAAAAAAGTGTCTGGCACATGATGGGTATTAAATAAATATTGATCAAATGAGCAAATGACTGTTTATAACGTTTTATCATATATATTTAGTTGTAAAAAAGCTTTATGGTCTGTTGAGTATTTTCATATACATTTACATTAAGTGGTTGTACTAAGGTTAGAAATCAAATATCTCATATTTAAAATCTTCTATTTTTTAATGTCAGAAATATGTAGTACTATATGTAAGGTTAATAAATATTATAATAACAGCGAGTAGTCATTGAACTTTTATGTAACAAACACTGTGTTTTAGAAATATCTTTCAGTCCATACTCAAAACAAGATTGCTTATATTATTTACATTTTTGCTCTATTATATGGAAACACTATGACTGAGTGAAGTTAAATTAATTACCAGTGGTTACTTACATAAGGGTGAACCCATTAAATAAAACAGATTTATTAGACTTCAAAACCCATGCTATTTACACTAACTATCTTTTCAGATCACAGTCCTATTTTAGCTTATCTCTATTAATAACTACACAATTTATATCTACTTATATTTTTACGCCATTTTTATTCCATTCTAATATTCAAACACATTTTTCTTGTGTTTAATTGGTTTGAGTCTGAGACGAACTTTAGGTGATTTATTTAAAAGTTGATTTAACTTGGCGGCGTTCTTTGGAGAATCTGTATTTAATATCTTAATTTTCCATAAATGCTCATTATAGTAGATGTTCTCTGAACAGCACTGGTTACGGCTCCTGTGAATGATCTCACACACTCCATGCTAGAACAGCAAGATCCACACTTCATTGCAAGGAGAGTAGTGTGTAAGCTCCGTAAACTTGCAAGACTTGGAAGGACATAAAACAGACTTAGGGATTTCATTCAGAACACAGAGTACTTTACTGCCGGGTGAGAATTGCATTGTGGCTGCACCAAAGACAGAGTTTTGAGCTCCTAGAAGATAGGGCTAAAGTGGCACCGGTCATCAATAATATTACACATTCCATAGTATGTCTTGAGCAGCTATGTCAAAATATGAAATGACTATGATACCACGGAATATGACATCCTTGCCTTGTATTCCAGTCTTATTGTCATCTCTTGAGGTTAGAAATGGTGTGAGAACTCATGATGGGGTGAGAATGCTTGCTTTTCATGTCAATCAGTTAAAAAGCAAGTTAAAAGATTAGTATTTTGTGTTTGAGGCCATATATCCCCGGCACTAAAATAGCTGCTACAAACAGACAATGACAAAAAAAAAAAAAAAAAAACTTGTGTTCTGATTACATCTTATGACTCATCATTTCTATTCTTATCTCCCACTGAAGCTTCCACTCAATGCTTCAAACACACACACCTCCTTATAGCCAGGCACCCCAGAACTATTAATGATCTTGCATAACGTATGCTAGCCCTCAGCCTAGAATATTCTTTCCCCTCTGGTAATGGTTGTAGGAATATTTTCACTGACAGCAGAGGTAGAGTTGACTTATAGGTTTTCCTTCTTTCAGAGTGCTGTAAAATGTCTTGTTTACCAAACTACCTCTCTGACTAGAGAGTGAACGCCTACAGAACAAGGCATATTATCAGGCCAATGCAAAAGTAATTGCGGTTTTTGCCATGAAAAGTAACATCACAATTACTTTTGCACCAACGTATGATAAATAATTATTGGTTTTCTTTGTATTCCTAACTTTGAGCACAATACATGATATATAGAATAAGTGTGATAACTGATGAATGAGCGAATGAATGAATAAATGATTTTCAAGCATTTAAAATAAATGTAGGTTTCCCTAGAGGCCATTATCCCTAGCAAACTAATGCAGGAACAGAAAACCAAATACCACATGTTCTCCTGTGTAAGTGGGAGCTAAACAATGAGAACACATGGACACATAGAGGGGAACAACACACACTGTGGCCTTTCAGAGGGTGGGGAGTGGGATGAGGGAGAAGATGAGGAAAAATATCTAATGGGTACTAGGCTGAATACATGGGTGATGAAATATTCTGTACAACAAACCCCCATGACACAAGTTTACCTATGTAACAAACTTTCACTTGTACCCCTGAACTTAGAATTGAAGTTAAAAAAAAGTAAAGTTGAATACTGATGGGAAAAGTTAGATCAGGAATGCTGGATACTATTTTCTGTTGAGTATGTTTCCATTGCCAGCAGGGAGAATAAATCAGTTTAGTGGGACAGTAAAGGACTTAGGACTATGGACTCTAGTATCTAACTTCTTGATTTCCAATCCTGTCTTAGTAGATACTTGCTCTGTGTCTTTGCACAGCTATTAAACTTTTCTGAGTTCCCAATTCTTCAATTTAAAAATGGAGATATTGAGAGTTTCTGTAATCAATTGGATTCAAGTCAAACTTAAATTACATAGAATATGTAGGTATCTTTAGCACAATATTTAACTCATGGTAAAGGCCCAGAAATATGAATGGCTACAGAAAAATTATAATACTTACCATCTTATTATGATTCTTCTCTAGGAAAAAACAAGTCTGGCCATCACTGTGTACAAAAATGTATTGTCTTAAATAATGGAAGGTTCTGATTTTTTCTTGCTAAGTCTATTAGTTACGCTTTATGATAGGGCATTGGTCTTTACATACTTGAAGTAAATATGTTGCTTAGTTTAATTAAAAAGATATGCCTGTGCCTACCCTATCTCAGGGACTATGCTGGGTATACAGATTCAAAGCATAACAAAACATTCTCTTGCCCATAAATAATTTATAGCATGGGGAGATGTAAAGGGCTGTTTAAAGCAGCCTGCAAAATTCCTGTTTTCTGAGAGGCCAGTCCAGTTTGTACAGACTGTGGTCTCTTGAGTACCACGACTTGTGAATAGGCTAATTACACATTTTTACTGGATTTCTTCTGAAAAAGCTACCAGCCAGAGGACAATAAAGAAGTGTGCTGGGGCTAACATGCTTAGTAATCTTCATGGCCACAACAACCTTACCTATGGGCAGACCTAGCATTTATTTAGAAAGCAAGAATGCCTGACTCTTCTCCTCGCTACTATAGGCTTTCTGATTACTTTCACATCTTTGTGAAAGATTGCTGTTGCCAAATATTTTTGTTGTTGTAGTCAAGTTATGAGAACAAACAGCACTAATTAAACTTGGAAAAAATATACTCACACCAGGGATTAACTATAAATGTGCACTCTTTTTCTTTTATTTAATGACTGTGTGTGCTTTGAACTTGATAGTGGTTTTCACTCTGCAATGGTAGAGCAAAGAATTATTGGGAGAAAATATATAAAATGTCATACGTTAGGTGAAAAATAAGCAAAATATCATGAACAAGCCACTTTACCTTCTTTTTCTATAACAAGCACTAGAATGTTGCAGAAATAGTGTTACACAGCCTTGGTATATTCTCTGTGTCAGTGTATTTAAGAGTTCTTTTGTTGGAGACAATATGAAGCTAACACAATACTAAAACCAACTTAACTCACACTGTAGTCCAAATACACTTCTGCAGTAAGCATGTGAATGTACACACGTTCACACACATCATACATACATGCATACAAATGTGCACGCATGTGCACACGCAAGTATCGGTCAAATATTAAATACTAAACATCAGTGTTGTGTTTTTCTCCAAGTGCTCAACTTCAGCCTCTTCACACAGATACTTTAGTGCATCTCCTCTCAGTGATCATAGGTTTTTAAACATCAACTCCCAAATTAAAGCAGTCTTCTGAATACTTACGTTTTTCACCAAAAACAAAAAAAACAAATTCTTCAGTAGCAATGGAACAAAAGAGCACGTCTCAATTATAGACAAGGAAATGAGAAAAAGGCTTAACAGCCAGAACGCAACAGTTATCTTGATGAATTACCTTGATGAATTTATAAATATAGAAACATTAGCTACCCAGTATCTACAAAGTCTACCATCTATTAAACTGTTTACAATCACAAAATCCCATCATTCTATGAATAACTGTGAAGTACACTGTGACCAAACGAAAGTCTTATTAACTACAACACTTTCCCTCTGGAGTTAAATTTCAGGTGAAAAGTATCAGAAAGCTCCAGAAAACTGTGTTTTCCTTATTGTGCTTTAATTATTTTATTGGATTATAATTTGGATCAAATAAGTCACATATCTTAAAGTTACATACATTCATTGAATTTAAACAAATCTGTAAACTCATATGACCACCACCTTAATTAAGATATATAAAACATCATCTTCATCCCCAAAATTTATCTTGCCTCTTCCCAATTTCTACCAACTCCGGCCCCAAGCAACTAATCATCTGCTGTAATTATATATTCTCTAGGTTTCCACATAAATGGAATAATACAGTCTAATGGTTGCTCAGTATCAGTGGGTTATTGGTTCCAGGACCCCTGAAGATACCAAATTCACAGATGCTCAAGTGTCTTATGTAAAATGGTGTAGGATTTGCATACAACCTATATATCTTCCCATATACTTTAAATCATATGGTAAGTATTTACTAACTGTATAGGAAATTGCAAGACACTTTTCCAAAGTGTTAGAACTGCCTTACATTTCCACTACCATTGTATTAATATATGAATGCCAGTTGCTCCATTTTGCCCAAAAAACTTTGTGTTGTCAGTTTTGTCTCTTCATAATTAATAGTCAAACATAAAACAATGTTTAAATAATTTAAAGTTGAGTACCTGTATTCTACCATCTAGATTGTACCATCATTTTTTTTTAAAAAAATCACATATCTATTCCTCTATCTCTCCCCCTACCCTTCCATTAATCTAACTTATTTTTGATGCATTTCAAGGTAAATTGCAAATTTTGACACTCTCCTCTGAAAAGTTTAACATTCAAATTATTAAATAGAAGTGAGCATTTATTTACATTTTTAAAATTTTAAGCCAAAATTTACATACAATTAAATGGACAAACAGAAGTGTACCATGCCGAGTTTTGAAAAAGGCTTTTAATTTTTCAAATAATTGGGAATTTTATAGATGTAATTTTGTTATTGATTTCTAGTTTCGAGACCCTAAAATAAAATGCATATGTTTTTAATTATTTTCAATTTTTTGAGACACTTTTTCTGCCTCGTCAATGCCCAATTTTTTTTTTTTTTTTTTTTTTGAGACAAGGTTTCACTCTGTCACTCAGGCTAAAGTGCAGTGGCACAATCTCGGCTCACTGCAACCTCTGTCTCCTGGGCTCAAGCCATCCTCTCACATCAGCCTACCAAGTAGCTGGGACCACAGGTGTGCACCACCACGTCCAGCTAATTTTTGTATTTTTTTGTAGAGATGGTTTTTCACCATGTTGCCCAGGCTGGTCCCAAACTCCTGAGCTCAAGTGATCCACGTGCCTTGGCCTCCCAGAGTGCTGAGGTTACAGGCATGAGCAACCACACTCGATCTAAAATGGCCTATCTTTACTACTCTAGTTTCATTTGACAATAAAATTTATTCTGCCGTTGGTGATGGAATGGTCTAGAGGTATCAATTAAGTCAAATTGGTTAATAGTGCTTTTCAAGTCATATATATTTATTTATTTTATTTTTATGCATTGTATCAGTTACTAAGAAAGCATTGTTCATACCAGCTCTAATTTTAGGTTCACTATTTCTCTTCTCAGTTCTAGCTGGTTGTGTGACATGAGTTTTGTAGCTGTTATGGTGTGCCTGAACGTCTAGCTTTTAAAACTCTTATTGATGAGGCAACTCATCTATCATTACAAACTTTCTATTTATCTTCATTGATATTCTTTGTTCTGAAGTTTACCTCTTTAATATTGATATAAGCACTTCTCTTTTCTTATGTTTAGTGTTTGTATCTGTTAGTTTTTATTTTCCATCTTTTACATTTCAGCTATATCTTTAAATAAAGTAGACTTGTTGTTGTTTTTTTATGGACATCATATTGTTAGTGTAGGCAGATAGCCAGAAATGAGCAGGTGAGGGAGCCCCTGGAAAGGAAGCCCTGGAGATGCTCCCCACTGGTCCTCAGTGCTCCCCAAGGCAATGGCTACACTGTCTGTGGCTTCTTCTGCCCAGTGGTCTTCAGTGCTGCCCCAGGACAAAGGCTACACTGTCTACTTCTGGCCTTGTGGTTGGGCTCCTCTGGCCCTAAAGGGGACTTACCAATCAGGACCCAGGCCAAGATCATCATGGTACCGACTTTTGCTACTGATGAACATGTATACTTCTCCAATAATTAACCCTGGAGTAGCCTTTTGCTCATTATAATAGTAAAAAAACACAGCTGGGCACGGCGGCTCACGCCTGTAATCACACTTACTTTGGGAGGCTGCGGCGGGCGGCTCGAGGTCAAGAGATTGAGACCATCCTGGCCAACATGGTGAAATGCCATCTCTACCATAAATACAAAAATTAGCTGGGCGTGGTAGAGTGCACCTGTACTCCCAGCTACTCAGGAGGCTGGGGCAGGAGAATCGCTTGAACCTGGGAGGTGGAGGTTTCAGTGAGCCGAGATCGCGCCACTGCACTCCATTCTGGGAGACAGAACAAGACTCTGTCTCAAAAAAAAAAAAAAAAAAAAAAAAAAAAAAGAACAAAAAAACACCCTTGGGTGGAAATTTTAAATGCTTGAGACATGTGATGTATGTGTCAATGTGTATAACCACGGAGCATACGTGCCCAAGGGGACAGCCTAAAACATGATTGCAAATGACACCCTCTCACATCTCTTCATGAATAGTCATGTAAGATTCTCATAGAGTCCTCCAGCACTGACTGGTGCTGGCTCACTCTCTCCAGCAACCCGCTCTCTCTCATCTTTCAGAGTGGACACTCTCTTTAAATAACCACTGATACTGCCATTTTTCACTTGGATGAGCCCAGAGTTTTCCATTTCCCTCTTGTAGCTACTCTTATCTCTTTAATAAGCCTTTTCTTTACATTACTAATTGTCTCCTGGCAGAAGTGATTCTCTCAAGTTAGACAGTAACTGAGGATTCCCTTCACCCCTCCTGGTAACAATATTGCTGATATTGGCTTTTAAAATAGTCTGAAAATCCCTGCCTTTTAATTGGTGTTTTCACAGTACTGTAACCTTCAGTATGGCTGGATGTAAGTCTACTATCTTGCTGTTTTCTGCTTACCCGTGTGTTATTTCTTCCCTTTTCTTCTTTATTGGCTGATTAGTTATACCATCTTATCTTTTTATAGTCACTCTAGGAATTATGCTATGTTTGTTGCACATCTTACATCATCCATACAAATATTATTATGGAATTTCACATAAAATATGTTCAACAGTATACTTCCACTTCCCCTTCTGTTATCAGTGCAATATAATCATATTTTTTCTTCTACATAATGTTATAAATATCCAATATATTGTTATATTTTTACTTTTAACAAATTATTTTACTTTTGAAATTTTTGAAATGAGGAAAAATGCTTTCTTTACTCACATATTTAACATTCCCCTCTTTCATTCCTTACCGCAGATCCAAATTTCAAACTGGCATCCTTTTCCTTCTGCCTCATGAATATTCTTGGCTGGGTGAGGTGGCTCATGCCTGTAATCCCAGCACTTTGGGAGGCTGAGGCGGGTGGATCACTTGAGGTCAGGAGTTCAAGACCAGCCTGGCCAACATGGCAAAACCCCATCTCTACTAAAAATACAGAAAGTAGCCGGGTGTTGTGGCCCACACCTGTAGTCTCAGCTACTCGAGAGGCGGAGGCAGGAGAATCGCTTGAACCTGGGAGGCAGAGGTTGCAGTGAGCCAAGATGGTGCCATTGCACTCCAGCCTGGGTGACAGAGCCAGACTCTGCCTCAAAAATAAAAATAACTAACTAACTAAATAAATAAATAAATAATATTCTTTATAATTTCTTGTAGCTCAGGTCTGCTGGTGATGAATTCCTTAATGTTTTGTTTGATTGAAAAGGTTTTTATAGGCTTTTTTTCTTTTTTAAAAAAATATTTCACTGGTTATCCAATTTAGAATCTGTGTTTCTATTCATTGTGCTTTCACCATTTAAATATATCATCACATTGTCTTTTTATTGCATAATTCTGATACAAAATTAGTAGAAAATCCTGTCATTTTTACTCTGCATATACAAAATATTCTCTGGTTACTTTTAAGATTTTTTTAGATTTTTAACATTGTCTCTTTATAAATTATTTGATTTGACTTTTTTGACTTTTGTTTGTTTTGGTATTCTCTTAAATTTGTTGAGCTTTTAAGATCTTTGTATACATAATATTCAAATTTACTAAACTTTCGGCCATTATTTATTCAGATGTTGTTCCTGCCTCACCCCTTTTTCTGATACTCTATTTCTGTGTGTTTTACAGTCATTCTATCATACACAAGCTCATAGTGCCTGTTTCTTTTTTTATTGTTGTACGTTCAAAATCAATGATTTTTTCCCCACAGTGTTAAATCTGTTGTTATTCTCCTCCAGTACAATTTTTAAATTCACATATTTTATTTTTTATATCTAGATGTTCCATTTTGGTTTTATATGTTTAATTTCTCTTTTCATTAGGTTTGTATTTTCTTGTAAATACTCAACCATGGTTACAAGTTTTGTTTTAATATCCAGGTCTGTTTGTTTCCTCGTATCTGTCCCTTCTTGTTTTCTTTTTTTTATTTGACTGATTTTTCTCCTCATTACGGTTTGCGTTTCTGATTCTTGGCTTCTCTATTTTTCTTATTGGTTTGGGCCATCATGAATGCTATGTTATTTTTTGTCGTCTATTCCAGTATGTTGCTTTGCTGTCTTCTGACTTCAATTCTGTTTTCAATGAGAAATCTGTGATCTTCCTGCCCCTTTTACCTCTGTATACAGTATGCCTTTCTTCCCCAACCCCTGATAGATTTTAAAATATTCTCTTTAGTTCACACAGCTTCCGCTTTGTGTTTATTTAGCTTCTTGGATATGTGCGTTTATAGTTTTGTTAAATTTGGAAATTTTTTTGCTATTACATCTTCAGATAATTTTCTAACCACCCCCCTCCTGACCATCCAGGCACTCTAACTGCATGTACATTAAACTGCTTGAAATTGTCCCATAGCTTACTGACACTGGTTTTTTTTCTTTGCTTTTTTCCTCTATACATTTAGTGTGAATAGTTTTTAGTAATGTATCTTCAAGATCTTTTCTAGTTATCATCAAATTATCTAATTATCATCAAACTTTTCTCCTTATAATCAAATTTGCCCTTTACCCTGTATCACACATTGTAGTTTTTATATCTCAAGTTATATTTGGGTTATTTTTATATCCTCTGTATCTCTACTTAACTTTTTGAACCTATGGAATGAATGTAATTATAATAATAAATGATTTGATTTCCATGTGTGCTAATTCAGTTCTTAGTTGGTTTTAAATGAATTTTTTTCTCATAGGGCATATTTTCACGTTCATTTTAGGTCTGGTGATTTTTTACTGGATGCCAGATATTGTGATTTATGTTTTGGGAGTGTGGAGATTTTAATATCCCTATAAATATTTCTGAGCTCTGCTTTCGGGATAGTTAAGTCACCTGGGAAACATTTGGTTCTTTTGTGTCTTTAGCTTAAGATTTATTGGGTACAATCAGAGCACTGTTCAGATTAGGAGTGATTATTTCCCACTGCTAAGATAAAACTCATCTGTGTACTCTACACATTGCTTCATGTTCAAGACATTTTCCATTACGGCAGGTGGAATGGATGTTCCAGCTCTGTGAGAACTCTGGGCACTGTTACCTCTAATATTTTTGGATGTTTCTTGCCTTGACTTTGGTAGTTTCCTCAGGTGTATGTTCTGATCTGTGCTTAACTGAATAGTGAGGGGTAACTTGTGCAGACATCTAGAGTTCTCTCTCTCTCTCTCTCTCTCTCTCACTTCAAGCAGGGGAAATGCCAGACGTTTATAAAATCATCAGATCCCATCAGATCCTGCCTCAGCCTCCTGAGTAGCTGGGACTACAGGCATGCACCACCACACCCGGCTATTTTTTTTTTTTTTTTTTCCCTGAGATGGAGTTCTGTCATCCAGGCTGGAGCACAGTGGTACATCTTGGGCTCACTGCAACCTCTGCTTCCCAGGTTCAAGCAATTCTCCTGCCTCAGTCTTCTGAGTAGCTGGGATTACAGGTGCCCGCTACCAAGCCTAGATAATTTTTGTAATTTTTTTTTTTTTTTTTTTAGTAGAGATGGGGTTTTGCCACATTGGCCAGGCTGGTCTTGAACTTCTGATCTCAGGTGTTACAACCGCCTCAGCCTCCCAAAGTGCTTGGATTACAGGCATGAGCCACCACACCTAGCCTAATTTGTGTATTTTTAGTAGAGACCATGTTTCACCATATTGGCCAGGCTGGTCTCGAACTCCTGACCTCATGATCTGCCCGCCTCGACCTCCCAAAGTGTTGGGATAACAGGCATAAGCCACTGCGCCCAGGCTTTATTTTTTTTTAAACTTTGTGCCACAAAGCTGAGTGATAGGCACAGTAGGAAACAGAGTGTATCCAGAAAGCTTTATTATTTTGACACAGCTACCTATAACTTACATTTAAAAGAGGTGATTTCAAACTACACACATATATTCTATTCTTTCAGATATGTATTGCTGCATTAAAAAATTACCCCCAAATTTTATTACTTATAAAAACAATGATTTAATCTGTTTACAATTTTGTCAGTCATCAATTTTTTGCTGTGCTTATCTGAAAAACTTTTTTTTTCTTCTGGCTGTCATCAATTTCAAGTAAATGTGATTAAATCAATTCAAAATGAAGAAAAAAATGGCCTGTAGGCCTAAAATAGCATTTAAAAAAGTTCCAGTCTTTGCCAGCATTTCCTTTTCTCTATTAAATACTCTTTTCCCCTTCCAACTTTATATTCAATGATAGCTATTATGGATTTCTATTATGGGAGATCTTTGCATATAAACAATCATTTATTTTTCAGTTACTTTTGTTGTATAAAAAACTACCCCAAATTTATTAACTTGTGAAAACAACATTTCATTTTCCCATTTTGTTTTTCTGTGGTTGAGAAATTTGGGCTTAAATGACTAATTCTAATGGTCTTGTATGAATCACTCATGTTATTTTGATCATCTGGTCAGTCTGTTGAGGTTGGGATGTCCAAAACTCCCTAATTCACATGTTTAGTATTCAGGACTGCTTTTTAAATATGTCATGTATCTTCAACAGGCTAACCTGGCCTTCTTCAAATGGCAGAAGAGTTAACAGCAGCAAAAGAAGGCAAGTTCCATTGTTCAGGTACATACTTTGTAAGCCTTTGCTTGTACGTTTTGCTAATATTTCATTGTCCAAAGCAATTCACACACCAAAACCAGGGTCAATGTGGGGAATGCTCTGCAGATGTGACGACAGGGAGGATTGATGTTCCAGGGACCATCTGTAGCAATCTGCATACACAGCCACATCACTTATTTATGTCCAGGTTTCCACCAGAACTGAAGATCCTCTCTTAATATATTTAAACATTTCAGAAAATACAACAAAGCCATTTATTTTTCTTGGAGATGCCTCTCTTGATTCCCACCACTGCACTGTCTGATGCTAATGTTTACTTTATGTGCTAAACGCCTACTTCATAGTCCTCTTCCAGGGACTGTCATTCGTCTCACACCTGCACAATCCTGTTGCTTCTTTCCTTCGTTATAGCACCTATTTTGTGGAATCCATGCATAGTAGACAACTGTTATACTGTTATAACCAATTTTATTTTTAACTTATGGCTCCCCAACAATGTTTAAGTAAATTTTTCTTCACTTTTGATTTTCCACATTGTGATTACTTCCTTTCCAATGGGTAATGAAAAAAATCTACATTTTCCAAACTCCACTAGGGTATGGGCATAGTGACTTAGATTCATCCAGTAAGTTGCACCCACTGCTGATTTGGCAGTTAGTGCATGGGAGCTATACCGTATGGCAGCTGCATGTGGAAATACTGACTTCTGGAGTCCATGGGACCTCTGATTTTCAGTCTGGAGCATGAAAGTGCAACACTGTAGACAGGAAGAGCAGTGATATTTTCATTAGAAAGTTCTCAGAAGTGGTTAGAATCTGTCCCTGTCTCTGTTACCCCTAGCCTTGTACCGTATAAGTCAACAAACAATCTAGCCATCCCAAAGTATTTGAATAAACAATGTCTTTTAATGAACACCTTTCTCATTCAAACAGTTCAAGTGCATTTTTTTCATTTGCAACCAAGAGCCATAATGGATACAACATGTCATCCTCTTTCTTGGTTTCCACTTTATTTTGGTAATATTCATCTTCTAAGCATCTTCATGTTATTAAGTCCATGAGAGGCTTATTTGTAATATTCTCGTGTCTTAGACATTTTGTGCTGCTATAACAAAATACCACAGACTGGGTCATTTATAAACAATAAAAATGTATTTCTCCCTATTCTGGAGGCTGAGAAGTCCAAAATGAAGGTGCTGGCTGGTGATGGCCCAGTGTCTCTTCTTCCAAGATGATACCTTGTTCCTGCATCATCCAAGGGGGAGGAAATCTGTGTCATCACATGGCAGAAGGGCAAAAGGGCCTAAACCAGTTTCCTCCAGCCCTTTAACAAGGTACTAATCTATACATAAGTATGGTGCCTGGCATGATTTGGCTCTGTGTCCTCATCCAAATCTCATCTTGAATTGTAATCCCCCTGTGTCAAAGGAGGAACCTGGTTGGAGGTGATTGGATTATGGGAGTGGTTTCCCCCATGCTGCTCTCATGATAGTGAGTGAGTTCTCATGAGATCAGATGGTTTTATAAGTGTCTGGCATTTCCCCTGCTTGCACTCACTCCCTCCTGCCACCTTGTGAAGAAGGTGCTTGCTTCCCTTTCCACTATGATTATAAGTTTCCCGAGGCCTCCCCAGCCATGCAGAACTGTGAGTCTATTAAACCTCTTTCCTTTATAAATTACCCAGTCTTGGGTACTTCTTTATAGCAGTGGGGAAACAGACTAATATAGAGCCCTTATAACTTAGTCACTTCCCAAAAAGCTCTGCTTCCTAACACCACCGCAATAGGGATTACATTAAATGGGAATTTTAGAGGGGACACATTTAAACCATAGCATCATGATTACTTGAAAATTTTAAATGAACCTTTACAATTGATTATAAACTTCTCTGGGTGAAAAATAGAGGTTGGACATCCATTCCCATTAGCATTTTAAAGGTTTTCTTTGTCCACTTTTAAGTTGAGCCCAGTTTGATTCCGTGATTCTTTTTACGTGGTTGGCTTTTTATTCTCTCTGAAAGCTTTTAGAGATCATGACGTTGTTATTTTTATGTTTCACCAAAAATGTGCTATTATTCCATTTTATTCCTTATGCTTGGCATTCAGTTTTTATTTTCTATTTAAAAACCTTATATTTTACAATGATGAAAAATGTTCTTATATTATTTCTTTGATATTTTCCTGCCATTCTTTTTGTTTTCTTTGTTCTGGAACAACTTTTATTCAGATATCTCCTGAAAAGAACCTTTAGTTTACTTATTTTTTTCTTCCAATTCTCTATATTTTTCTACTTTTGTGATAATGCTTAGAAAACTCCCAATTTTACCTTCACAACTTATAATAAATATATCATCCCTGCCTTCATTAAACATGTCTGCAACTTTTTAAAAAATCATTTATTAAAGGGATGATGATCCCTAACGTTCTGGTTTTCTTCACATATTAACTTTACCTACCTCTTTGAGGATATTAACATTTTTTGAAGTTTTTTTTGTCTTATCTCTTTTTATAATACTTGCTTTGGAATATTTATTATTCTATCTGACATTTATCAGAAATGTAATCACTTGTAGATTGTTTATATTTGAGGGAACACTGAAATGATTATTGAAAGCTCTGTGTTCCTATTTGATGGTCTATGCCATGGTATGAGGTGCAGACCTGGATGTATCTATGGCACCTTCTTAGAGACCACCTACGGATGTTTTGTATGGGGCTACCGAGTTGGATCAGAGCAAGTAATCCACTATTCTTACTGGTGGGAGGGGTCTATAAGCTTGGCTGTTAGTGTCCTGAGAACAAAATGTGGAAGAGGAAAATCATGACTCAAAATTCTTTCGGCAGACTTTTGCTGAGCCCCTGTTTTTCATAAGGTATATCGCTACTGTCCTTTTGGATCCCTTTTATCCCACATTTAAAGTTACTTTTATTTAGAATATTGACAAAGTATATTTCTAAATTTTTCAGGGATATGTAGACACTACCTATAAGATTGAAGTTCAACCTTCATAAAGTACAAATCACCCATTCATCTTACAGTTTCCAAAATGTTCTTGTCTGTTTTCACTGCTTATATCATTCCCTTTCTTTCTTTTATTTTGAGGTTACATCTTTTTTTATTCTTTCACTGTCAGGTTCATGTAGATTTTGAAGATAATAAATTAAATATGTCTATGTATCCATCATATTAACTGAATTGGGTATGATAGTGAAATTTTTGAAGAAAAATATAATGTTCAATTATTTTTGAAAAGCTTAGTAATTTATGGTAATTCTGCTTATCGGAACAACATGCTATAATTAAAATACTTTTTATAAAGATTACATACTTTATGGAAATTGGCTATGGTGAGGATTAGACTAATAACCAATTTTACATCCATTGTGATTGCAATAATTTTTAAATGTTCATTAATAGGAAGCAATAAGTATTACATGGTATACCTCAAGGTATTATCAATATATAGGAGTGATTAAATGACAGATTTCTTGTAATCATTTTTCATTATTTCTGTATTCTCTCTGTTTACTTCAATGGGTAGGTGACATTTTTTAAAAATGAAAAAGAAATCAGACAAGAGAATACATGTGTAAAAAATTGTTTATTTACATAAAATCATCATTTCTATGTCTTATGTAAAAAGTAACACTGTCCTCTTCATGCATAGCTGGCCAATTGTTTCTACCAGCTGGACATATTGGCAATTTACCAAGAGAATGGTGCTCACACCTAATTTCCATAATTATGGAAATTATTTAGCAGCTGCTGTTTCTTTTCTATTTAACCTTTCTGTAGAAATATGTATTTTGTAAAAGGATTGTAGAAGGATGATTAGTCTATCTGTGTACCGTTAGTATAGACAACATGGAGAGATAGAACAACCCATCATTAACTAGCTATGTGACTCTAGGAAAACATATATATATATGTCTTTTCTCAGTGTAAATATTTTTAATCTATTGAATGAAAGTTTGACTCCAACATAGCTCTGATCAGCAATGTTATACCCACTTTGCTTATAACTGAGAAACCTATTTGAAATGATTTACCCTAGATATTTTCAAGTTTTCCCATTTCACTGTGCTCTTTGCATCACAGTAATTTTTTCATGGCATGTTTTAGGCCAACAGAAGTACCAAACAGTTTCAATGTATTTATTAAAAAGTTTCAAACAACTTAATAAATACTTATATCCTAAATTGGAACAATAAAAATATATATGTTATGTATGTTAAATGATAGAAAAAACATTTTTGTTTCCTTCTTAAATAATCAGAATTACTTACTAGTAAAAGTGACTTTTGGGTACTGTACTGCCTCTAAAACCTGGAATCAGGTTGGACACCACCACCCTCATTTTCTGTTCCACAGTTATTTTCTTGCTTTATATTGGTGTTTGCTTCTAAGTCCAACACCTGCTAAAATCCCAGCTTCACATTGTTGAAAGGAATGCAATGGAATCTAATGTGCAAACTGTGAAATATCTCAAGCTGCTAGTTCATATAGCTTTCAAAAGATATTAAATATCTCTTCTTTTGTTTCAAAAAATGTAAACTGTCTCTTAGAGTTATCTCTGTGGTTCTGCAGGATGCTTCAACACATAGTTTTGGAATTGTAGACTTACATAACATATCTGGAAATATTTAGAAAGCTAATATTTGCTCTTCTGGAGACATGTTTAGATGTAAAGACATCAGACTATTCTTTCATAGAAATGTTTATAAATACCAGAGTTAGAAGAATCTCTAAATTGTACTTCATTCACTTAGCTTGTTTTACAGATGAAGCCATCAAAACAAGTAAATTGCATGGCCTGCCAAAGGACACAGAGATAATTCATAGACTATCACTGTTTGATGTTTTATTACAATGTCCTGTTGACTTATCAATCTTGTTCACTGAATAACAGAAATCATGTCTTTAGTCTTTCATTTCCATAGTCTTGGTACAAAGGACATTGTATATGCTCAATAAATGTCTCTTTAACCTATAAAAAAGTTGAGATAAGCATATGAAATCAGATCTTATACATCTTTCATGTCACAATAACTTTGATAAATGAGTTTCTGCAGTCATTTATCATACAAAATCCAACTTTGCTTGCTTGGCAGAAAAATCAATATTCTTCTTGCCTCCAGATTCTAAGTAGTTAAAATGTATTTATATTCCATTAGAATATCTTTCAGAGTATCAGTCTCATTATATATCTATCTTAGTCTCACCAATTTTTATCTTAATTAGCAACCTAAAAATTTGATTATTTCAAATATACTCAACTATCTTTTTGGCTCTTGGATATTGAAAAAGTCTAATCAAGATGAAAGATCTGGTTAGAAAAATAATTCTCAAACTAATATACAATTATATATATTATTTTATTGATATGCTTTTTTATTCAGTCTACAAATTTAATTAAAAAATTCTTAATTGCCATTTGCTGTTGTAGCTCCTGGGCGTTAAAAAATGGGACAAAATGCTACTGTTAGTAATTCGAAATCTGGTAAAATATACAAAATCATAAACAACTAGCTCTAATAAAATGTGATGAATGCTGTATCAGAACAATCATGACACTAAACATCAAGAATAGTTTAATGTCTTCATGTAGTTCAGAGACTTCTGAGAGTACAGTTGAAGCAAGGGAGAAAGTCTGGTCAGGATGAAGAAAATGTATGAGCATAAATGAAGGATCCATAAATGTTTAAGAAGTTTCTGGGAGAAAATACATAGCAAGGTGTGTTGAAGTTTGAAAATGAGAAGAGCTAAAGGAAGAATATTACTCTGGAAAAAATATTCGAAGGAATTGCGCCTCAGAGGGTTTGAGTAACCCATGTTGCCTGGGAAGTACTCCCTGTCAGAATCCCATGACACTCTTGATAAATGGTGTTTTTTCAGGGTTTTCTCTGGAGTAAATATTGAGCTATGATTCAAATTTTGGTCTTCTGAATAAGTCACAGGAGCAAGAATGATCTGTGTTTGAACTCTAATTATTCTATAACCTTGGATTTTTTTTTTTTACTTTTCTCACATCTAATTTTTCCATCAGAAAATGTGGATAACAGAAAGCTTGAACTGTTCGTATGGAAATTAAATAGAATAAATTTCTATTGCCTCATACAATGACTAACCCACAGAGTTGTTTTTACAAATGAAAGAAATAAAAAAGTTAGATTATGTGTCTCATTCAAAATCCATTAAAACACAGCTCTTAACATTTTCACACTAATGCTTTAATCTGCTTTTGGCATTTTCCTGAAGGAAGAATTAGCAAATTTCAACAGGCACAAGAATTAATACTTAACATAACTGAGAGAAGCAAGCAAAGTTTAAATAGTTATGATTATATTTTATGTATAGTAGGGACTGCAAAAAACTGGGGATATCATGACGAATCTAAAGAGACATCCAATGTCAGGTCCAAGTTCAAGTGAAATGGTGTCCTGTTGGAATATGGGATCGTTATTTTTCAAGAGAATCTAGAAATATGGATTTCTTTAAAACATATTTTGAATGCTTTTGTTCAGCCGTAATCCTGTGCCTTGTGTACCCTCTGCATCAACAAGACTTCAAATCCATGGCTATTCTAACCAGTGCTAAAGGAGGCTTTTGTTTGTTTGTCTATTTGTTTGTTTTAATTTCTATGCCAAGCTATAGAAGCTTTTCTTGATTTCACCAGTCTTTTCACTGCTGTTGCTTATGTGAATGACCTGCTCTATAAATGGCCTGCAAGAGAGCTCAAATAACTTTGGGAGAATGTGCATTGCTGACATGTCTTATCCACAGATATCCAAAGGATAAAGCAGGTGGTCGAACTGAGTTATCTTCCTTGAGGTGTCTCTGTCATTCCATAGATAATGAAAAAAGTAGAGTCCAGGGAAAATGGTCATTTTGCATACTAATTAGTCTCTGGGATAACAAATGAGATGAGATAATTTGCTCCCTTTTCAGCATTATAAACTTTCTGTGCTTTAGGCATTGGGTGACCTGATTAGGTAGGACCACAGCTATAGAACACAGTAATAAAATGAAGGAGAAAGGAAGAAAGATTTTCCAAGAGGCAGACTTCTGTAGAGAAAGCCCTCAGAGGCATGCAGGAAAACAAATTAATTTTTCATCTGGGACAACGCAGCTTCCTCCTGGGCCAGAACTTGACTCCATTCAGGTGAGATAGTTGTGTGCCATCGTTTGGCTTCTCATGCCCATGACTGTCCTCTGACTTCTGTCATCCTCCACACTTTTCTTCCTCTCCTGTTTATTTTCTCAATACATGGAGGTCATCAGATATAATAAAAGTTTAATCCAAATGTCTCTTTAGAAAAAGGCCACTGTGAAACAGGAACAGGAATTATTAGGGGAGGTGATTATGACACCATATGTTTGGACACTACTGGTGAGCACTTAAGTTTGTGTATTTGCTCCATTGTCCCCACTTATTGCTGGAAGCCTGCTCAATGAGGGTGGGGTGGGAAGAGCATCTGTTTAGCATTTAGAGACCTTGGTTGAATGAGGGTAACAAAGGGACATTAGGAAACTGTTAACTTCTTTCAAGGTTGAGCTCTTTATCTCTAAAATCTACTAACTCTGTTATCATTGTATTGCTTTCAGGATTAAAGTAGTTAATTTAGGTAAAATCACTAGCAGATATTATTCAACAAATGGTATATCTCTATGATTGTTTTTTCCCCCTGAATATTGTTTTGACATTGTTGACTCCATCTTACTTCTAACCTCCAAGGTGTCCTTCTTCATTTCTGGTTCTAGCTTAAACTAAATTCGGGAGGAATTTTGTTTGTAGTTTAACCTTAAAGGAAGGATGATAATAACCCTTCCCAAAAACCACTCCTTCCATATTTGGGACCAAAACTGCCATTGTAGTACTAATGAAAGCCCATAATGTTAGGATTATGAGAGGGGCCTGGATTCTGCTAAGATATAGGTTTAGTTACATGATAAGCAGCCATTATTCTGAAGGTCATAAGACTTGTAACTTCCCCAATTACTTATAGGTAAAAATAGATAAAAATCACTTTTGTTGACCCTCATATTGGGCTGACTCAGCACACAAGGACCACTTTCCACACCCCTGTGATTTCACCCCAACCAATCAGTGGTATGCATTCCCTAGTCCCTGCCTGCCAAATTATTCTTAAAAATTCCCAGTCTCCAAATTTTGGGGGAGACTGATTTGAGTAAAAAATTCCAGTTTTCCACTTACATATACTGTATATATGTGTGTGTGTGTGTGTGTGTGTGTGTGTGTGTATAATACGCATACTATATATGATATATATATTATATATATGTATGTGGATTTATAAAAGACAAAAATAATAAACAAGCCTGGACCATGCAAAAGCTACTCAAGAGCTTATAGCCTAGATCAATACAAAAAGATAATCATAAAAAAGTCTGCCTGAATTCACAGTTATTGCAGTTGTTAAATTTTGCTCTGAGGGTTCTAAGATGAAAAGTGAAGATATGATCACTAAAACATTCTTTTAGTATCACAATTGAATAAACGTTCTAATTCTTCTTAAGTAGCAAAATTTAGAATTTTGCTGTAAATCTTTCTAAATAAAATGTCCTCTATTGAGGCCTTAATACTGCTTACAACGTAGACAGGTGATGTATAACTCTATTTAAAATTCATGTCCAATGGAATCACCTCATATCCAACTATCTCTCTTTACATTGTTTACCTATCAGAGAATCTCAGGCCAGGTTCGATATGTGGATTATTTCAGGTCCGGCTACATTAGATTATCTCCTTATCAGTATTTGGGGAAAAAAACTAATGATTGTTTACCCCTCAGGTGTAATGTTACACCTGAATAACATTTGGGAGAGGGGGGCAAAAATAAAACAGAAAAAATACCCCAAATATTCTTCAGTGTTTGATATGCAGTTACTTAATGCCACTTTGCACTTCATCATTTGATATGTGAACATTCAGCTTTAGGGATAACTATTGCTGACCTTTGGGCATAAAGGTTTTATTTTTTTAATGTGTGGTTAGAAAATGCTGTGACAATCTGCACCTGATTCATAGACCTGTAATTTCACAGAATATATTATTCTGAATTTGGATTTAAATTAGTAAAGAAGAATTTCATTAAACATTTATTCCAAAAAGTTAACAATGTCAAGCAGTGGTGCAGACTATTTAAACTAAAATATAACATGATTACTGAGGCACTCATTTGTATGGTTTATTACACCTACATCTAGTATTGTTATGTCTTCCTGAAAAGCACAGGCCTGGAACAAAACTGATGCAGACAAAAAGAAAAGAAAGGAAGGAACAATTGGAACCGTTCTGCTTTTACAGAGTCAGTAAAAGGGAAAAACATAAAAGACTTCAATTCTTTATGCTGAGCTCCTTTTAAGTAGTTATTCTTGATGCTCTAAATGAAAAATAAAATTCATGAAATAAATAAATAAATACATAAATATTCAACCAGAGGAGAGCTCAAATATTCACAAGATAAGTAAAGCAGCAAATCAGAGGGATGATTCTTCCTTATCAGTGGGAATAACACCATTCTGCCTTTTTGGGTTTTTCCTTTCAATGTCTTGTAATAAAGAAAACCCATTTCAGTGAAGTGAAATTAACAACTACTGAACACCATAGCCTTGAATTTGATTCTAAGACATTTTTAAAGCCATAATATTCTGCTTAACATGATACTAAAACTTACTGCCTCATTTTTAAAAGGTAGTTTGCTTTTCAAGGGAAAATAATTGCTCTACGCAAAGAAACCATACCTTGGTTTCTGCAGAATAAGGCAATTTCTCTCTGTATGAATTAATACCTATACGTTACATATTTCTTTTTGCCAAATAAACATCCGCATTCTACATACAAAAGCATTTCTGCAAAGAATATAGTGAAAACGCTCTTCTATCTTTGGTTCCCAAGAGGAAAAAAAGAGAAAAGGATACAAGTTTTGTTCTCATTGTTCATTAAAATTCCATGCCTCATTCACGTATTTCCTCAGTCTTCATTCCTTCTATTGAGGCTTTTCATCATACTAGTCAAATGGAATCTTTTCCTTCTTCAAAATTCCATGTATTTTCCATCTGATTATTTCAAATAACTTTTTTATGCCACTAATCATTATTTCTATAAGCATCGTTTAACCTTGGAGAAGTAAATCTCTTAAAGGCAAAGACCAAGTCTACCCTATACTAAGAGTTCCTTGTGAATGCCAGGTGCAGAGATGACCAGTGTATTCATACTGATGCAAGAAAAACCTCCCAATAGTCTCTCCCCTACCGAGGTGTGAAAAGAGTTTTGTATTCAAAATGATAGTAACAAACTATCTCTAATCGGAGTGGCACCTGTGTCTCTGTAGTGCCTGCCCTGTCCTGACTAATGCCAACTATAGGAAATGCTTAATTATCTTTAAACACAGATGCTTTCATATCTCCTATGTGTTTATAAATGACACAAAAGCATTCACTTTTTCTGATTAACAGGGAATCTTCCTTCTCCCAATAAAATCTTAAGTCAACTCTAACCTTTACTGATTACAGTAAGTCAACCATTACTCTAACTGCTTTAGATGCTGCTACTAGGTGCCATTTAGAAGACTGGTTCTACACAATTTACTATGCCCTCTGTTTCGATAATAATATTTAAGTACAAATTCCTCCTGGCAACATTATGTTTACTCCTGCTGGGCTTCAAGTTCATAGCTCTTTGATATACTCAGTATTTTCTTCAACACCATTCCAAGTTCAACCTTTATTCTAATTTCATTCCAACCAGCCATTTCTCAATAATCCTTTCTGCTTAGCATAGGTACCAACTAAAATTTTTCTCTTATTAAGTTCTTTTTTCAGACTCTTGTTATCTTTTTCTCCCTGCATATCAACTATAGGTCATGCTGTATATAAAGACAGCTGTTTATACCAACAGCTTTCTTTTTTTAATTTTTATTTTATTATTATTATACGTTTAAGTTTTAGGGTACATGTGCACAATGTGCAGGTTAGTTACATATGTATACATGTGCCATGCTGGTGTGCTGCACCCATTAACTCGTCATTTAGCATTAGGTAAATCTCCTAATGCTATCCCTCCCCCCTTCCTCCACCCCACAACAGTCCCCAGAGTGTGATGTTCCCCTTCCTGTGTCCATGTATTCTCATTGTTCAATTCCCGCCTATGAGTGAGAACATGCGGTGTTTGGTTTTTTGTCCTTGCGATAGTTTACTGAGAATGATGATTTCCAGTTTCATCCATGTCCCTACAAAGGACATGAACTCATCATTTTTATGGCTGCATAGTATTCCATTGTATATATGTGCCACATTTTCTTAATCCAGTCTATCATTGTTGGACATTTGGGTTGGTTCCAAGTCTTTGCTGTTGTGAATAGTGCCGCAATATACCAACTGCTTTCTGTAACACGGAGTCTCAGGGTAGAAGGATTGGGATCTTGATCTCGTCTGGAAGTCCTGGTGCTGGTGCTCCTTATGTAAACTGGTCTATTTCCACTCTACAGCATGTATACTCAAGGATCTCAAGAATGGCAGTATTGTCCAAGCCACAGAAAATCAGTTACATCCTTCCACCCAAGCAACTATTTACCTATTTATCTTATATTTGCCTAATGAAAAAGAATAGGTTCTCTAAAGGATTCCTCCCATAATCATAAAAACATGCTTCCAGGTGATTGCTGTTCTCCACCTGTTCACATAGAAGTAACAAGCATAATTATTATTTACCTTTAATCATAAAGAGTAGTATTAGAAATGTAATCCTCCATAATGCCCAGTGTACAAAAACAGCACAAAGATTAACAATGGGACTTACGTAAAAAGTATATGTGACATAGAAGAGGCAATGTAATTTCTCCATTATTATCAAAAGAATAATTGTGCTTCTAATCTGTCTCTGGTACTCCTTGTGTGATCCACTGCAACTAGCCCTTTGGATGCTTTAGTTTCCAGATCACTCATGTAGAGAATCCCAATATAAATACATAGAACATGTATTTATGATATGTTGAATACATGTTTATTTTAAATTATTATTTGTCAGTGACACGAAGTTTTTTCTTCTTAATGAACAAAATAGATTGGTTGAAAAGATAGTCAAATATACCACTGAATGTCAAACAAATTATAAAATGATGATTACAACAGAATTATAGGTAAAGTAAAATGGATACATCAGAAATTAGAGTTTAGCTTAGGAAATCAGCATTTTGACCAAATTTTAGATCCGGTAAGCAGCAGACCTAGAGTTTGTCTTTCTGAGTCCAACTCCTGATTCAGAAAATCCCCTGATTCAGTATCAGGGGTTGGACTCAGAAAGACTTAACTGAAAACTCTAGGTCTGTTCAGGTTTGCAATCCATAACAACTGCATGAAGATCAAATAGGGTATCACTTATGACAGGAACTGGTAAAGTAAAAAGCATTTTTAACATCTCATCTGTAAATGTTACTAATTATAATAATTTTGATACATTTAGTGTCTCTCATAGCTCCATTATGTACCCTGATCTTCATGTTGCTAGGGGAAAAATGTGCTGACTTTTTTGCAATGTAGAGATAAAGGCATGGCTTTGGAGTAGATTGCTAGCTATTTAAGCTCTCTGAGCTTTAATGACCTCATCTGCAAAAACCTGTGCCACATTCAGAGAGAAATTAAATGAAAAAGTGAATGCATCCTATTTGCTCAAACTTGCCACTCCTAGAAAGGTCAACTATTTCTCCTTAAGAGGAAATGTCCCTCTAAGTAAATTTTGCAGAATATTAGTACCAGCAAAGATTTTACTGATAATCTAATTCCTTATTTCTTTTTTAGAAGTGAAAGATGAAGCCCACTAATTTGATGTGACTTTCCAAAGATTATACACACATATGTAAGAAGTTCTAACATCTTTGAGATCCCTTTCTGTGCCCAGAGTAAGGTTGCAATTCTTAATGACAATTCTGAACTGACTTTTAGGGAATTCACCCAAAACCACACCTGAAATTGAGGCAGGGTGAAATATTTCATTAATATCAACTCTACTCCTTTCAGTATAAATGGTACTGCATATACACCTACTATTGTTCTAAGACACTGGTTAGTGATGCTGAGAAAGTTAAAAAGTAGGGCAGAACAAAAACACATTTTATAAAACAAGTAATTTGTGAAAAATTATCTTAAATACATTTCTCTTCATAAAGTTTATGCTTCACCTCGCTATATATAAATTAGAAAATTATGTTTTGACAAATATCTTCATTTACCAGAAGACCAAGTAGCTCATTTCATCAATATATTTCATTATACATTAATTTTAATTAAGTCAGGCCAAATCCATACTTAAGCCTTTCTTTATGTTCAAGCTTAAGGTAGGAAGCACTAAGAGACCGAAATAAGAACTTATGTGCAGTAGAACTCCTAGAAGAAAGGCAATTTATTTTAGTTAACTTTTAAATTGATTATTAAGTTTGCCTTTTATGGGTTTATGTCACTTTTCAGTGGAAATATTTAGGAAATCTTTTCTTTGTTTTGGCAAAATCTTCAAAATGGTTCTTTTGTTACACAAACATAAAGCAAATAGGAATGCAACTAATGTAGAAATACAGGAAGTAGATAGGCATTTTGTCAATTAAGCTTTTAATAACTAAATAGGGGGGTGATAAAATTATTCAATGATATGCAGAGCACCAGTTGTTCATAGGTTAGCTAAGTTTTGCAAACTCTAGAAATATTTTAGGAGAAAAGGGTCTAAAACCCTACTGTCTTTCCCTGTGATAATATGTATGATCACTTTCATGCTTGAACCTAGCTATGTCTGAGGCTTAGAGTATATACTTGGGAAAATTCATTTCCTTCATCTGTGTCTCTGGACTTTACTATTGCATGATCTCCAACATGTAATGATACTTTCAGTACCAAGATCCTCTGACCCTACTCATTTGGATTCTCACATAAGGCTTAATTCTAACTTGACAGCTTTGGCACATATTTCTGAATTTTAATATTTTGTGTTAAAAATGTTCAGATTCATAATAAATTCTCTGCTAACCATGGGTTCTTACCTATCCCTTTAAGCTTTTCTTGAGTCTCCTTAATAAAACCACCATATGCTACATCTTCAAGCTAGAACTTCCAACCCTTCAGTGTGACACGGACCTCATTAAAAATGAAAACTTACCAGCAACTCAGCAGTGAGAATATAGCACCTCTATACAGTTTTTTTTTTTTTAAGTTTCCTTCTCTTGACATGGGAACCAGTCAAGATTAATCTTTAAAATATTTCAAGAGAGCATTTAATTCCGTGGATTTTTTGACAAAAAAGGAAGCAGCTGAGGCAAACAATGTAAGTAGAGAGTTTATTTGGACCAAGCTTGAGGGCTGCAACCCAGGAGCATAGATTCTATTTATCCTGAATATACACTCAAATCAGCAACGTAATAAGTGTTGCTTGTAAACAATTAGGGAAGTAAAGGGAAAGAAGAGGCAGTTCCTGAGTTGTTTACCAAAAATTTACATTAAAATAACATAAGCTATTTATAGGTTGTACATTGTTCTTTGTGTTACAAATTCTAGGAACATGAAGATAATGGGCGAGGCAGCTAGTCAGGGGCACAAGGACTAAACTTTTCCTAGGCATAGTGTGGCATCATATACATACTCATGTCTCTCTGGCCCTGCACACCTTGCAGACTTCAGACTGCTCGGAGCTATTTTCCTTTCCTCATTTCTCCTGTTTATAAAAAATCTTCCCATGGAAGCAGTGATGATCAATCTCTTAGGCCTTCATCCCTTGGCACTGGGAAGGCTCATTCTTGGATAATCCTCAGTCAAGTCATTGATTTCTATAACTGTCATTTCTTGTTAAGTCATCTCCAGTCTTCAGAATTTCATGCTTTTGGTTTTCTCAGAAGAAGAAAAACTGATAAATACATAGTAAAAAACCTGTTTCATTGGGGATTCAGTCCAAATTATTGGAAAATGACAAAAACTCAAAAACAGTGGTCAGGGCTGGAATCTAATAACAGGTATGCTATAATTTTTCTCTGAACCATAATTTTTCTCTCTCCAGTTTCCCATTTACACCTAAGACAAATCTTAGTAGGACCAATTTACTTCCAAAATAAGTTTTAGTGTTGTACTGAGCCTGATTATTTTCAAAAAACACAACAAGAATAGCGATTACCATATAGGCTCTTTTAAATTGGCTTTGCTGAAACTTTCTTAAGGAATTTCAGATTAGGCTTTTATAAGTCTCCAGGCTAGGAAGCCAAGTCAAAGATTCACAATTAGAATGTGCCTGTAATACCTGTACAAATTGAATAAACTTCTCCCTTCTCAAGGTCCCCAAGATATCTTGAGTTTCCTGGGCCTGTTGGATATTGACATTCTTTACTTACTGCAAGGTCAGAATTTTTGAAAGGAACTATGTAGACAAAGTACCAGGTCAATCTCTCTGAGGACTTTTTATTGACTCTATAAAGTCAATCTTAATTTTTTAAAGCAGTCTGATAATATCCAAAAATATGCCATTTTGGTCATAGCCTTAGTATAATAATCAGTGTATCTTATTTTATGGTTACCATAAAATAAGATTATTAATAAATGGATTTTAAATTTTGGAGAAATAAGGTATAGAGAATGTTGTTCACAAATGTTATATTTCACCCAATTCTGTAAGCTATAAACAGCTCAAAAAAGTTTCATTTACTCTGCAAAACAAATATAAAAAGAATCAGCAATGTTTTAAACACAAAGTCCTAAAAAGCATTTCAGTCTTCTTTTTCTATCAGTTCAGTCCCACATAATAAATTCTCATTCTGCTTGATGTTGAGTTAGAAATCTTCATGAACACATCAGTTTATGGGAGTTCTTAAAGTCTTTACTTAGTCTAATAATACAATCTCCAAAGTTATTAGAAACCTGTATTCAAGAGTACTTGTCAGGGTTCATTCTCATGAATTGTCTTAAAAAAAAAAAAAGCAAATTTTGGACTGTTGTCAATTGTAAACCACTTTCTGAGAAGAATCCAAGTAAAACAATAATTTTCTATGAATGACAAAAGACTTAGACTAACCATGGTTAAAAACACAATTGACAAGGAAATTCTGTGGCGAATGACAGTGTAACATAATAACCATATTTGTGTCTGACAACATATGTTAACACATCATAATTTTAGGAATATCATACAATTTTGAAAGACAATAATACAATATATCTCCTCTAGAGATATACTATATTATTTTATTATTATTATTACTACTATTATTTGTGGTATCAAAAATAGTGAAAAAAGGATCAGAAGTGAAAAGAAACAAAAGAATAAGTCTTATAAGAGCCAATTTGGGGGCATGTTAAGCTTTCTAAAAGGCAAATGATGTTTTACATTTTTCTCAGCAAAAATTATGCCAACAAGATAGGAAGTAACCAGAGGGATCAAACACATTTAAAAAGAGTTTCAGTCAACGGAAAAAAATCCCCCAAAACAGGATCCAAAAGAAGAAAATGCAGAAAGCCCCTTTTATTCTTATTTTTAAAATTATAGCCTAAATGTCAGCTTTTAGTTAAGCTGACTTCTGACCATAGAGCTCTAAGAAAGAATCTTTTTAAATTTCTTATTACCAGATTTAATTCAAGACAAACAAACTACTCTGATTCAGTTTGTGTGGTGCAAAAACCAGCTTTTTTTTCCAATTGTGTGCACAAAGAATTATTTTCAACATAGCAAAGGATTCTTATTTTGGTTACTGCTGTTTATGATCGTCCCAGTGAAATGGCCTCATTGTGGAGTAACACCCAAGATCTGTTGTCTCACAGACACAGAAATCTAGGATGCAGATGCATAAAGTGTCAGGTTGAGAGTGGAAGTTTAATAGGCAAAAGAAAGAGAAGAGCTCTCTGTTGCAGACAGGGGTCCAGAAAAATGGGTTGCCGGATCCATGGTGAAATGCAAGGGGTTTTATAGATGCCTGGTGAGGAGGCAGTGTTTGATTTACACAGGGTGTGAAACATTGGTTGGACCAGGTGTGCCACTTGCATAGGTCATGAAAAACTGGTTGGGACTAGATGTGCCGTGTGCATAGGGTATGAATTTCTGGCCACCCCTACCATAATCTTTTATTATGCAGGCGGGTCTTCTGCCTGAGCTGTGCCATGTTGCCCGTTTCTTTACTCTACACATGGTAACAAGAAAAGGGAAGATGGAGCCTCCGTGTTGGACATGCCTGGCCCCCAGGTGGCCCTTTTCTATTGGTGCCTCTGCCAGCATTCGCCCGTGCAAGCTTCCTGCTTGATTATCTATGTTTGCAGCTCTATTTTTCAGGCTGCTCTTTGTTAGAAAAGCAATGATTTGGGGGGCTGCTTTTTGTTAGAAGGGAAGCTCTGCCAAGAACTCTGTTGCCCTCACTATCTGCCTAAATAATTTCTGCCTTCTGTATCACCAGGTTAGGTGGGTCCACTTTCCTAGGCCTTTACAAGAGGATACCCCACGAGTGTTATACATAAATCCAGCTGGTGTTTCTAAAAGGAATACTCTAATTTTGATGCTTGACTTCCCATAATTTAGGAACTTTTCAAAAGTGTCAAGCCTGGGAATGTATTTAGGGTGAAAGTGTAACTTATCTCAGACTGTCTCTAACTTCCAGGGAGCAATAGTGTGCTCAGTGTATGAGGACCAGACTTTCATAGTGTACCTGTTTGGAAGAGCAAAAAGAGGGAACACTTTTCGGTTAGAAACTAACAGGAATTGGTCTCAAATAAAAGGATAGGTCTGAATTTTTAAGCAGAAGAAACAGTTTTAATCTTAAAAGTAGGCCATATAAAACAAAACCATCCGTGTCTAACTGCCAATCCTTTGACCTGAACCTCTGCTGTGAGACAGAGGCAGAAAAACCTTGACCTAAGCCTCCAGTCCTGAGGCAGAGGTGGAAGAACCTTGATCTGAACCTCTCCTGTGAGACACAGCAGCAAAAAGACATTTTCTACAGAGCTCTTTACTTGGAGCTTGTGTCCAAAGACAGAGACCAAAGCCCTCTCTTAAAGAAAAGAGACAGTTTGAAAAACAGCCAAATAAAGTCTATATTTCAACCAAGGAGTGGGAGGTCCTAATTCTGGAGAACTTACCCAGAACACCCAGTGGGACTTCTGAAGATGCAGAGTTCGTGCTGGTATCAAGCACTGCTTTCAGGCAGAAACACCGCACCTGGTGGTGAGAATGAGTCACTCTGAATCCTGCTGACGATGCCAGATATGCCTATCTCAAAGGAACCTGCTGAGCTAAAATTAATCTATTACTAAGCAGAGTTTACTTGGGCCAAGTTTGAGGGCTGCAGCCCAAGAGCATAGATTCTATTTGTCCTGAATATACACTCTGATTAGCAACAGTAACAAGTGGATTTTAAAGGGAAAGAAAGAGTCAGTTCCTGAGGTTTTTACCGAGGATTTACATTAAAATAATATAAGCCATTGATTGGCTCAGCATTGTTCTTTGTATCATAAATTCTAAGAACATGAAGGTATTGAGTGAGGCAGTCAGGAACAAAATGACTTTAAACAATTTCCCCTAGGCATGGGTGTGGGGTGTGAGCATGACTGAATCCCATACCCACGTCTCTCTGGGTCTGCATACTTTGCAGATCTCAGACTGCTCTCAGCTATTTTCCTTTTCTCAAGTTTCACATTCTCAGTGTAGAATATTTTTGTCACAGGCTATTTTATATGTGGACATACAGAATAGGCGAAGGAACTTTTTAATACAATAAAAAATACACACAATGAAACTGGTAGTATGTATTTAACAAAAATCATATGGAAAATTAAGGTCATTTTAATAAATAAGTGACTTTGAGATGGGGGAGGGAATTCATGGGGTCTTATAAAGCCTGTAACATCCTAATGAGTTTGTCGCTTTGTTTTGGTTGCCTAATATCCATAAAACTCTCATAAATTTAAAAATCTATATATTAAAAATGTTTAATGAAGCAAAGGATGCAGAAAAGATTTTATTCTGTTACAGTCAGAAAAAGATGTCTTAGGCAGCTCAGGCTGCTATATCAAATACCATAGACTGGGTAGTTTAAACAACAATAATTTCATTTCTCACAGTTCTGGAGGTTAGAAGTCCAAGATGAACTCTGGAGGTTAGAAGCCCAGCAGGATCAGATTCTCTTCCTGGATTCTATCTGGCTGCCTTTTCATTGTCCTTACATGGTGGAGACAGTGATCAAGCTCTCTGGTGTCTCTTCTTATAAGGGCAACAATCTCATCATTAGGGCCCCACCCTTACAACCTCATCTACCAAAGGCTCTATCTCTGAATACTATCACATTTGGGGATTACAGCATCAACATATACATTTTTAGTGGACATAATTGAGTCCATAGTAGAGTGGCAATTTTAATTAAGCAAAAAATGCAGAGGAGACTATCTGTTACACTCAAAAAAGGGATTAATCCAGCATTCACTCCACAACAAACACAAAGTATGAAAAGTTGATGAATAAAGCATCCACACGTGAAAATTTTCAGTTTTCTTTTTTAAAGTTAAATGTAAAATCAGAAGTGAAACCAAGTTACAATTGTGGTGAACCCTGGAAGTAGCTCTGTTAATACCTGGGGAAAACCAGCTTGTTACTCCCAACTCATAGATTTATAGAGAAATAAATTATGGCTTAGAGAGATGTAACCCTGTTGAGATAAATAATGAGTTAGCAGCCAAGCTAGAGAAAGGATATAGCCCTCCGCGTTCCCACTGCTTTTCCCACCTCACTTTCCTAATAAGCCACTTACAAAACTGGATTCATGTGAAAATATATCCACTTGTTCTTCATTTTGATGTACTTCATAGTCAATGTCTTTCCTAATGATGTCAATCTAATTGAAAAGTTAAAAAAAAGAAAGCCAATATATAGGTGACTAATTTTATTGTTTTAATCCATGTTCTATATTCAAGATAAATGATAAATTGTGACATGCCTTCAGCTGTGCTGCAATGTCATTAATAAAAACGAAAGGAAGAGACAGAATAATAGGGTTGAAGACTCATAGATGTCTTATAGCAGTTAAGAAATGCTATTTTTAAACAACATTATATTGGCTCTACTGTCCTTAAATGTGTAAATTAAATCTTCCTGAAAACAGTTCATAGTAGACAAATGTTACAGGTAAATGCCATTCAGCGCTTAATCACTATTGGCAGATACGAGGTGTAACAGAGTCATACTGACACAGTAAATCAATGAGTAGTAATATTAATATGGAAATTCTTTGGTATTAATGACTTCAGTACCAAATAAGTCTAGAATTTATTTTCTCCCAGTATGCAGAATAAGAATTTGAAATGATTTCACACACACACACACACACACACACACACACACACACACACACATATATATATTTGGTATGTGCTAGCATGGTTTACAGTGAAGACATTGACAGGGTGAAAGAAAAAGGAAGGGTTTAAAGATGATACTGTATTTTTTTTCACATTAAGTAGGAAACAAGAATGGTTCAAAATTGGTCAACATAGTAGATATTGAATGGAATATAAATCAATGGAATTGTGGTAGAGTGAAAAAACGGCCACATTTTTTTCCCATCCATGTAGGTACGTTCTTCCCAATGTGACTTTGCGACTCCTCAAAAAAGAGGTGAAGTTTTTCTCTCCATCCTTAGAATCTCGGCATGGCCTTGCAAATTGCTTTGGTCAGAGGGCATTAGCAAGTATGATACAAGTAAAAACTTGAAAAGTGTTTGCTTACTGAGGGTTGGCCTCTTTTCCTACTGGGAACCCAGGAACTACTGTAGCAGGATGAGCCACAGAGAAAACTCCTCAGACACCGAGTTAAAGAAGGAAGGGGTTTATTTGGCCAGGGGCATCGGCAAGACTCCTGTCTCAAGAGCCGAGCTCCCTGAGTGAGCAATTCTTGTCCCTTTTAAGGGCTCACAACTCTCAGGGGGTGCGTGTGAGAGGGTCGTGCTCCATTGAGCAAGCAGGGGGTACGTGACTGGGGGCTGCGTGCACCGGTAATTAGATCGGAACGAAACAGGATAGGGATCTTCACAGTGCTTTTCTATACAATGTCTGTAATCTGTAGATAACATAACTGATTAGGTCAGGGGTCGATCTTTAACTACCAGGCCCAGGGTGTGGCGCTGGGCTGTCTGCTTGTGGATTTCATTTCTGCCTTTTAGTTTTTACTTTTTCTTTCTTTGGAGGCAGAAATTGGGCATAAGACAATATGAGGGGTGGTCTCCTCCCTTATTCTCCCTATTTGAGACTCTCACTCAATAGTGGGAGTTCTCACTTTCATATTTACTACCCATGTCTTCTTGCAAGACAGATCGATAGTGATTCATATAGTACACTTGTGCTGAAGCATTTTGGTGAACTAAGGTAGCAATGAAGCTTTTTATCATTTGAAGAAGTACAGGTAGCAAACAAGGGAGCAGTAAGTAGCTTCCTATTACTATTATAACTCTTATTATAAGAGTTTTAAATCCTCTTAGCGCTGGGAACCATTTTCTAAACACGGCCCCAGCATCAAATCCATGCCACACTTGCACGGGCAAATGTGCCAGTTTTGTCATATCTCTAACTATGTCTTCAACTACTTGCCCTTGATTATCTATGTGTAGGCAGCAATTAGTAAGGTCAAATTTCCTACAGACCTCTCCTTCAGCTGCTAGCAAGTGGTCAAGAACTAATCTATTTTGATAGATAGCATTTCTCATCTGAGTTTCTTGCCAGGCCAGAATAGTCAAGGCTCTGCCCGTTTTATTAGTGATTATTTTTAAGACAGCTTGTAACCATATGATTCGGTTGATCATGTAAATGGGGGTCCGGTATCCCCACGAGCCGTCTTGTGCCCAAGTAGCAGGCCCATAATATTGTATGATTCTCTCAGGGGGCCATTTATCATTTTTTCAATTTTTTATAGTTATGCTTCTCTATTCACGGGAAGCATAGACAGGGAAGCCAGGAGTTCACCTGTTTTTATGGGCAGTAGGAAGAAAGATGGTTTAATCATGCCAGTAACACAACTACCTGCCTACTGGTCAGGTAAGTTGGTGTAAGCTCTATGCTGACATATCCAGTATAATCCAGTGGGGGCTGTCCAGTCCCGGTGGGACTCTGGGTGGGTCCACACGGTTTGCAACTTTGGGAATTTACTAAATGGATTTCTCTCTGTGTGATTCAAACTCCACCAAGTGATTGTTTTTGTGGTACCATTGTACAGTTTCTGTCTCAGACAACTAAGTCATCCTATGGGGTGAGTGAATTCTTTTCCTTCTCTAGCTATGCAATATTGTCCAATAATTGAGGCTTTTAGGACCCAGAAATTATCAGGGTGATTCTTTTGAGCCAGGAATCCCTCAGGAATTGGGTCTGTATGTACTAATTCTTGGGCTTCCCATGGCCATTGATCTCCTATTACAGTTCCTCCACATACATAACGTGAAGTGACATTGAGAGACTGGGCTACGTGCTCGGCTAATTGCAAAAACAAATTTCTTGTTTTTCCTGGAATTTCTGGTACTGACACATTTAGTTCATCATAGAAAGTTTGAGACGTTGGCTCTGGAGAGCGTTTGTAAACTTCTCCTCGAACCAAGATACTTACTCGAGGATCCAGTCTGGCCCCGTCGATTCCTAAGATCACACGCTTCTCTTTTTCCCAGCGAGGTTCAAGGGGATGGGTTATTACTAGCTCTAAGGGGTTACATTGTCCCTTAGTAGAGGAAGGGCCATTTTTTTCCTTTCTGAAGGTGGACTGGATCCTTTTCATTTTTTTTAAATCCAAGTGGCCTAAATGACACAAGACCAGTATTTACATTTATTTCCACACAGTCCTAATTTATGACAGATGTATTTATTTTCTGCCATATAGCCTCTTTTCTAATTAAGAGAACCACACCTTATTTCTAACTTATTACTATTAATGACAGCACAGGCATCAAATTTTAAGGTGACTTGTTTGGGCACCCTTTTTTCTTCTGTTTTGGCTAAAACTTTACTCATATAGTTTATGAGCCCCCATCAGTCCTCAGTCCTTAATCTTATTTTAAAAACTGTGGTTATGGGAGGCTCAGATGGGTCATAACACACATCAGGTTGGTTATTTCCTGGGCTACCTACCTTGTATAGAATAACATTATACAAACAAGTTCTTTTTAGAGTTCCAGTACACTTACAATAACCATAAAATACTAGGACCATAGCAACCTTTTGTCCTACCTCACTGACTTGATGTATACACTGGGAACAGTCCTCAGTCTGAGGAAGGTCAGTTGAAGTCCCTACTGTAAAAGTCCAAATTTTAAGGAAAATGAGTCCTGCGATGAGTTTCCTCATGCTTTGGCCTTGCGTGGACCAGTCAGCTTCCGGGTGTGACTGGAGTAGGGCTTGGCATCTTCTTCAGAGTCACTTTGCAGGGGTTGGCAAAGCTGCTCCCATCCATGTACTGCTCACATTCTACTGATGTTTAAGGATGGTCTTGGAGGTTGGGCCTGCTAGAATAAACTGAGTCCAACACCTCTACACAGTTATGTTTAACTGGGCTCTCTGATCCCAGGAGCAAGGTGCTGGGGTTTAGGGTGTTGCAAACTTCAGTGGTTATGTGGGGATTTTCACATAGCAAGCTTTGGTACTTGGTTAATCTAGCATTTGTTAACCAATGATGTCCTTTAGTAGTCACTGAAGTTACCACAGCATGGGGGTCCTTTATATTCAGGTTTTGCCTAAGGGTTAGTTTATCTGCTTCTTGTGCTAACAGGGCCGTTGCTGCTAGGGCCTTTAGACCTGGGGGCCAGCCTTTGGAAACCCTGTCTAGTTGTTTTGAGAGATAGGCCACTGGCCTTGGCCAGGGCCCCACAGTCTGGGTTAAAACTCCAACTGCCATTTTTCCTCTTTCTGACACATAGAGTGTAAAGAGTTTTGTCAGGTCAGGTAGCCTCAGGGCTGGGGCCGACAAGAGTTTTTCCTTTAACTCATGAAAAGCTCGTTGCTCTTGGTTGTAATAGATGTAGTTTATCTAATCTACATTTTTATTAACTGTCACCCACCAAAATGTTGACTCAAATCCTGCAGCTATTTGATTTCAAGCTTTAAATTGATCTGGTATTCCTTGTGGGACTCCAATTGCATCTAAATAGACATGAGAGTCAAAAGACCCCTAAGGGGCTTCTCTCGCTTTATGATGTCTTATTTTTTTTTTCTTCTGGTTGATGAAATGCCAGGGCGAAAGGGATAGCCAATTGGATTAAAGTACAAGTGCCACTCCAGTTATTCGGCAGAGTGCCCAGTAAAGGTCCACCCCAATAGCACCACACATCCACTCAGGGATGAACTAGGGCTGACTGATGGATAAGCTCTTGAAAATTCTTAAGCTCGCTGCATCCTTTCAGGTCTCCAAGGAATGCTGTTTCCTCCCTGTCGTGAGAGACACGAAGTGAACTTAGTGTTGGGAGACGGAGGATGGATGGCCCTCTGGGGCTGACCCGCAGGGTGTCGGACTTTGGGATACAGCAGAGAGAGCTTGGCATGACTTATTACTTCAGGCTGTAGAATCCTGGAAAAGAGCTACCATGCAGCCCACACCTGGTCGACTGGAGGACCACCTTAGTGGAAGGGGGACAATCAGGGTCTCTGGCCTGCCATGTGCACAAGCATAACAATTGCTTTTGTTTAATATGCAGATGGACTATTTGATCCATTTTAACCAGGCATTTGCATCTTGGTATCCTGTCTTAATTGCTGAAGTTTGTTTTAAGTCTTCAACTTCTATGATCCTCTGGTAAAATGAATGTATGCTTTTAGGAAATTACAAAAACCGGCTGGGGCAGTCCATCCTTGCTCTTTAGTGGTCCACAGAACGTTGGACCAACTATGGCAACTACATTGGGGGGCAAGACTCCTGGTTGGCACTGGGGTCTTTATCGAAATCTCCCTGGATTCAATGGTCCTAGTTTACCAATTCCCAGTCTGAGGAGAGTCAGGAGGGACAGAAGTACTTTTCTGAAGTAGAGAGCTGTCTTTGACTTGGCAAGTCCCCACAGGGTATAACAAGACAATCATTAAATGCAGTAGTTTGAGGCAAAATTGACTTGGTTATGTTAATAACTAGATGGTCAGCAATAGAACGAGGAAAGAAGAAAGAGTAATAGAATAGATGAAAAGAGTTACATTTTTCTTAGCTTTAGTTTGGTAGGGTTTTCCCCTGGGACTATGGCCCACGACTCTGGAGGGGGTGGCACTTTCTTGACTTGGGTGTGATGAGTCCATCTTTTTTTTTTTTTTTTTTTTTTTTGCTGTACGAACAGCAGTCTTGGTGGTTAGCAGCACAGGGTAGGGTCCTTCCCAGGCTGGCTCGAGTTTTTCTTCTTTCTACCCTTTGATGGGAACGTGATCTTTAGGCTGGTGCTGGTTTACTGGAAATTCTAGGGGTGGTACATGTGCTAAAAGACTTAGTTTTTGAGAGAAAGGAAAGTGGAAGATAAACCAAGTATATGATTTCTAAGAAATTAACCTTTTGTTTTAAATGTAGGGACTTTGGCAGTGGACTTTATAGGCCTTAGTGCCTTTTTACTGATAAATTTCCTTTAGCACCTATTTTTATTAGTATTTAGACCAAAGAAAGCTAAACACTATTTTATATTTAGTAATGCTTTTTGTATGATTTTTATACCAGATAAGCTAAATTTTATCTTTATATTAGTGTGTTATTAATGTTAAACCTAATTTTAATAAAACCTTGTAGACATATTTATCTAATTTTTAATGTTTGACTATAAGGTAAGATTTTATAGACTCTTTTTAACCTTTTATACTTTTTGCTAAAGAGCAGGTTGGTGCTTTAAGAAAAACCTGTTATGCTTTTACTTTAATGTCCAGTTCACAGAAAAACTGGATGATACATCTTTAACTTTAGCTAATATGTTTACACACAGAATTTTCTTTACAATTAACATTTTAAAACTTGCTTAAACCTTCAAAACAATATTTTTTTTAACTTTTTAATGTAGGTGAAAATGTACAATCTTATGCCTCCTTATAATCCTTTTACCAAAGGTATATTTTACTTTCCTTATACATCTTGTACATAAACTGTTGTTTTTTTTTTCAATAGTTTTACATTTAGGAGGCCTAGTTACTTTTAAATTACACAACGTATTTTGCATAAATTCTTTTTTTAACACACTTTTTTTAATAACCTTTTTTTTCTTTCACAACTTTTACAGGCAATTTTTCGACCTGCCTTAACTTTCTGACTTATTACATACATTTCTTTCTTTAAACAACCAGTTAATTTATTTCAGGACAAGAATTTACCATATAACATTCTTTTTATATAAATTCTGCCCCCTCCCCTTTTTTTCTCTCTCTCTTTTTTTTTTTTTCGAAGATGATAACCATTCTTTTCCAAAGCAAACCTTTTTTTTTATGTCTGTGGACTAGACTGTCTAAGTCTGCAAGAATAGAAGTTACTATAATACATGTTACACTGTTAACTTTTAGCAAACTTTACTTTCATTGAAAACCTTGTAAGTTTGGGATTTTAATTATCCTTTGCTATTAATAAGACCTTGTTTTGTCCAAATTAGAATTGGTATACATGGCTTTTTTTTTTTTCAATTACCCGGGAGGAACCATCGATCATCCTGTCCTGGAGGGAGTTCCTCCTAGGTCTGATAAGACCTTTTATGGTAATTAAGATTTAGATCCCCTGTTACGAAACCTGCTGGGTTAAGGGAATTTTCAGTGGTTAATGTTAAATCATTTTTCTTTCTTTCTTTCTCTCTTTGACTTTGTCTCTCTCTCACTTTCCTTTTGCCTCTGTCTCTTTCTCTTTCTCTCTGCCTCTCTCTCTCTCTCTCTCTCTCTCTCCTTGACTCCCTCTTTGTCTGTCTCTTCCTCTCTGTCTCTTTCCTTTCTCTCTCTCTGCTGGTCTTTCCTTGCCTCTGCCAGCCGCTTATTCTGCTGTTCTCTCAACCACGGTGTGTTGGGGGCGGGGGGTCTAAAACCAGCTGTAACCAAGTGTCTATGAACGGGAGCTGGTCTGGGTGCCCTGGCTTACCGGTTACCTTCTGCCATACCTTTGAAACAGGAGACGTGTCCAGGCTTCCTTCTAATGGCCAACCTACCTCTAATGCTGGCCAGTCTTACACAAAGTTTTAAGTGTTCCTGGTGTCATAGTACTCCATAGTCTCCTTTAAATCCTTTTTTTGAAATTTTTCAACATAGTTCCTAGTGGGGTGGGCTTACTTTGTACCTCACCCATGTTTCCTCGAGACAAAACATCATGCTCACACCACACGTGCACCACAAAACAAAGAATGGGTAAAAAGGGCACACACGCACTTTTGTAGTTTACACCAAACCAAAATCAAAACCAAAATCAGAGTATCCGGAAATCCAAGCCAGGTCAAAACCAAAACCAAAGTATCAAGCAATCCAAGTCAAGTCAAAAACAAAAACCAAAGGCCGGTACAGGCACACCGTGGGTGATCAGGCCACGCTTCCACTCAAATGGAGTGGGCAAGTTCCCAAGACCGGTCCTGTCAAGTAATTCAAACCAAGTCAAAACCAAAACCAAAGTGCCGATAAAGGCATGTCGTGGGTGATCAGGCCATGCTTCCACTCAAATGGAGTGGGCAAGTTTCAAAGACTAGTCTTACCAAGTTTTAGATGTCCAGACTCCAAGTGCCTGCTCCTTCATGGTGTTCAGCCACTGTGTTGATCCTCCACGGTAGCCTGCCACACACTGCTCTGGCGAGGCGTCCAACCGGGGCAAATGCGTACCCGGGAGCGCTCTCAGGATCTGCGTCTCTCAGGCTGGTCGGAGTCCCCAGCAGGCATGTTCCACAGGGCAGGCTTAAGCCGCCTAAGGAGCTGCCTCAACCATCCACCAATCACCTCACTTCCCAGTCAGGGAACCAAGAAATGTAGCAGGACGAGCCACAGACAAAACTCCTCAGACACCCAGTTAAAGAAGGAAGGGGTTTATTTGGCTGGGGGCATCGGCAAGACTCCTGTCTCAAGAGCCAAGCTCCCTGAGTGAGCAATTCCTGTCCCTTTTAAAGGCTCACAACTCTAAGGGGGTGCGCGTGAGAGGGTCGTCATCGATTGAGCAAGCAGGAGGTACATGATTGGGGGCTGCGCGTGAGAGGGTGGTCATCGATTGAGCAAGCAGGAGGTACGTGACTGGGGGCTGCATGCACTGGTAATTAGATTGGAACAAAGCAGGATAGGGATGTTCACAGTGCTTTTCTATACAATGTAATCTGTAGATAACATAACCAATTAGGTCAGGGGTTGATCTTTAACTACCAGACCCAGGGTGTGGCGCCGGGCTGTCTGCTTGTGGATTTCATTTCTGCCTTTTAGTTTTTACTTTTTCTTTCTTTGGAGGCAGAAATTGGGCATAAGACAATGTGAGGGGTGGTCTCCTCCCTTACTACCATTTATGAACTATGGGCTTTCCATTGAAGAGCCATGTAAAGAGTCAGGGAACCCTGGCCAACACCCTGCTACTTATGACACATGTGAGCAAAGCCCTGCTAGACTGGCCCACTAGACTGCCTCAACAGAGCTGCCATCTGACTGCAGCTGCACAAGTCAGCTCCCAGGAAACAAGTAGGAAATCTGCTTGGAGTTACATATACGGTATAATGGTACAGTCTTCAAGACTATATGGGCTTAATATAATTATAAATATTTAAATAATTGAAGGAAATAGAGAGTCCAAAAATAGCCCATCAAATATACGGCCAATTTATATTTGAATTGTTTCAAAGGCAATTCAATTGAATCTGATATGTTTCAACAATGGTGCTGGTAGAATACACATGAGGAAATAAGCCTTGTTCCACACACACAAAAAAACCTAAAAATGTAAATGGAAAATGGAAAAGTATAACATTTCTAGAAGAAAAAGCAAAAGAAAATCTTTGTGATATTGACTTAGGTAACAGTTGGATACTACATCAGAAGATGAAATATAAAATAATAAATTATAAATTAAGCTGCATCAAAATTAAACCTTTTGCACTTCAAATGTCAGTACTATAAAAATGAAAAGGCAAACCACAGGCTGAGAGAAAAATATGTGAAATATATATCTGACAAAGGCTTTATATCTACAATATATAAAGAACTCTTACAACTAAATAATAAAACAATCTTTTTTTAATGGCCAAAAATATTTGCAGTCACACCAAAAATAATTAGTACATGATATATGATTCTTTATATAAAACTTTAAAAGCTGCAAACAAATCAATACTTAAAGTAGGTTAGAAGTTTTCTGGTAATAACAAGATGGAATAATGAGGATGAGCTGCAAAGGGACATGAAGAAACTATTGGGCATCATGTATATGTTCATTATGATAATTTTGGTATTGATATTCCAGGTGTAAATAGATCACAGCTCTCATAAAACTGTATACTTTGGTATGTGTACTTTATTTTATATGTATATATAAAATATATATTTAATAGATGTTATATCTAAATTATTTTGGTCAAATTGCAGAAAATTAAAAAATATATTTATCTGACACATAATATATCCTATGTGTTGAAGATATAAAAGCAAGTTAATTAAATATAAGCTTTCCCTCAAAAGGTTGTATCTATAATAGCATACTACCTAGCCCGGTAATAAGCACACTGAAAAGACTACCTGTTTTTGAAAGTCTGACCCATAAAGTGAGTGGTGAAACAAGGAAGCAAGCAAAGGAAGAAATAATAATAAATAAATAAATTTAGTTTTGCTTAGTTCTCATTTAAACTTTACCAACATGTACATTGTTCTTCAAAAATACAGAAAGTGATTTATACGAAAATTATATTGTGAATCCTAGGGCAACCACAAAGCCAGGGTAAAACAAAAGAAAGCAAACTAACCAAACAGAAGACAGTAATAAAGAAAGTGATTTTAAAAAGTATAAATGAAAGCTAATAATTGGGTAAAATATACTCAATCCAAATGCAGGCAGAGTGCAAAGTGGTCAAAGGACATTTGAAGCAAACAGAAAACAGGTAGCAAAATAGAGGTTTTAGTCCAAAAATAATAATAAATGAGTAATTCTTTAATCATCTAATTATATGCAGAACATAAACCTTGACACACACACACACACAGCATATATAAAAATTAGCTCAAATTGATCATACACCTAAATGCATTACCTAAATCTATAAATTTTCCAGAGTAATATCTAGAAGAAATTTTTTAACCTTGGTTTAGGCAAAAAAATTCTTAGAAATCACACACATAAACACACACACACACACACAAACACACACAAATAAGAATTGACAAATTTGACTTTAACACATTAAAAACTTCTGCTATTCAAAAAATTCAGTCTTAAGAAAATAAAAAGATGAGTGATGCACTGGGGAAAATATTTAAAAACTATAACCAATAAATGATATGTATATGGAATGTATAAATAATATTCAAAACTCAACAATAAAAAAGGGCAAAACTTTGAAGAGCATCTCTCTATATATACATATATATGTAAATTTTATATAGAAAATAAGTATATAAATACATGCTTAACATCAGTCTTTCATAAAATGTAAATTAAAATCACAAAGCGATGCTACTGCCCATCTGTTTGAATAGTGTATTTGTTTCCTAAGGCTGCCATAACAAATGGCCTCACATGGGATGGATTAAAACAACAGAAATGTATTATTTCAGAGTTCTGGAGGCCAAGAGTGCAAACTCCCCTCTGCAGGCTTTCAGGTAGAATCCATGTCATGTCACCTTCTGACTTCAGGTGGTTTTGGCAATTCTTGGTGTCCTTGGCTTGTAAATGCATTAGTGCCATCTCTGCCTCCATCTACACAGGGTCACTCTCCCTGTGTGTCTCTGTCGACTACCCCTTATTTTCGTGTATTAGGGCTTGTCAGATTTTAGTACCCAACCTATTCCAAATTGAACTCATCTTGAGAATCTTATGTTAATTTCATCTGCACCCTGATTCCAAATAAGTTCTAATTCTGAAGTCTTGGGGACATGTGGCTTTGGGGGATTGTAACTGAACCCACTACATAGTTAAAATAAGTGTTGTGTTTTCTTGTGCGTGTGACACAATTGGGTCCTGATGATGATAGAGACAAACTGTATTGTTTATGCATCATTCATGAACATGGGACATGTTACAGTCACTTCAGAAAATAATTTATTATGATGTTAAACATATAGTTAACATTTGCACTAGCAATGCCACTTTTAAGGTATTTATCTGAAAAAAATAAAAATTTGTATATACACAAAATCTGTTATTTGAAATTTCACAATAAGGCTTTGTTCCTAATTACTCCAAACTGAAAATAAACTAAATGTTTTTAGACTGGTAATATACCACATAGTGCATCACACAACAGAATACTTCTCAACGATAAAAAAAACTAGTGGTATATGTAACACATAGAAAAATCTCAAACACATAGTGCTAAATGAAGGAAGCTAGGCTCAGAAAACCACACATTGGATGATTCCACATACATGAATTTTTGGAAAAGGCAGAACTAAAGAAAATGAAAATATCTCAGTGGTTATTAAGTTGCCAGACACATGGTGTGAGGGTAAGTGTTAACTACAAAAGGACATGGGGGAAAAAAAGGGCATGGGAGAATCTTTGGGAGTGATGCATATCTTGATAATGGGGTTATATATCCTCAATAAATCTGATAAAAATATTGAAGGCATGGTCTCATTGAATTTGATCACTATGCCAATTGAATTAAATAGGAATTTATAGCTTTGTCTCTAATATCTTAAGAATAAATATTCATATATGTTACTTAAATTCAGGATTTTAAAAATTACAAATCCCACAGGCTTACAATGATTTCACGCTGCTCCTAAAGTGCAATATAGGGTAAGTGACACACTGGAAGTTAGACACACAAGGGCAAGAATAACTATTCATCCAAGGCCAAGGTCTCGGTAAATAAATAAAAGAAAAAGTCACATTGTGCCTCAACAGTCTGAATCACGGGAGGTATTCATTGGAGAGAAAATAAGGAAGCAAACATCATCAGGTGCTCTTCATCTGAATAGAAGAATATCAGTACGATGTTCTGATTATATAAAGTTGTTTGTTTCCCCTTACACTCACAAAAACATTTTTATTTTGCGCTGCACATGTTAACCCTGACGCCATTCCTCATACCCCCATTAAATAAATGGACTTTGGATTCCAAACTCAGTCCAAATGGCTACAGAGTGAACAATTTAGTCACCACGGCTGTTGAACATTATAAAGAGATAGCCCCTTCGATCTCCTTCTAATCTAAAAAATTCATTCCAAGCGTAGTTTTCATATAACTGGAGGACAGTTGTTTGAGGAGGGGAGGAGGATTGGAAACAGTTTGTTTTCTCTTCCCTCGTTCCTCTCAGTGGATTCAGTGGATAAAGAGCAGGCACACATTACAATAAACATTTTTATGGTCCCCAACATTAGGCATATAAATCCTACCTGTCTTCACACACTTACACACTAAAACTCCCACAGAAAGGGGGAAAATTAGAAAAGGGGTGATATAATTTGACTCTGTGTCACCACCCAAATCTCATCTTGAATTGTAATCCCCGTAATTTCTCACCTGGCAAGAGTGGGACCAGGTGGAGACAATTGGATCATGGGGGCAGTTTTCCCCATGCTCTTCTCGTGATAATGATTGAGTCTCATGGGATCTGATGATTCTATAAGTGTCTGGCTTTTCTCCTACTTGCACTCACTCCATCCTGCCACCCTGCGAGGAAGGTGCCTGCTTCTTCTTTGCCTTCCGCCGTGAGTGTGAGTCTCCTGAGGCCTCCCCAGCAATGTGGAACTGTGAGTCAATTAATACTTCTTTCCTTTATAAATTACCCAGTTTCGGGTATTTCTTCATAGCAGTGTGAGAACGAACTAATACAAGGGGCCACTGGCCATGCTTGGTCCAGGTCCCGTGGACCTCTCTTTCGCACTGGTGTGCCTTCTTATCTAGTAAGCTAAAATATGCATTGAGCAAACAGGATCAGAGGCAAAGCCACATGTGCAGGCAAGAAATATTTCCTTGGCATGCTCTTTAAAACACACCCTGCCTACAAAACATAGATTATCTTTTCTCTGCCTTTGTTCCCACATGGAAATTTCAACTGGACTGAGCTCCACTGCCCTGCAAATGTCCAGCCCATTTCAGATGGAAAATCATCAGAATCCTGATGTTGGATTCTAGTGTATAACAATATCTTTCAATACAGCTTCATCTGCAACAGTTTTCTGTTGGACATAAATATCTTCCTCAATCTATTCTGACATTTGAGAAGGAAAATTATCACCCTTAAAGCTCATTTAAGTGAATATGTATCAAAACGAAAGCAAGAGCACATTTCTTAAAGAAAAATTATAAGCCATACTCCACTTAGCTTATTTTCTTTCCTAACAGCATGGAGCTTTGAGTAAAACTTATCTGAGTGGCTAAGACAATCTTGGAATAGGTGGATAATGTAGCTATTTCATTTGTATTCGAGTAAAAATGAGACAGATGATTACCGAGAAAAAAGGTCAATGTAAGAGTACTTTAGTCAGTTTAACCAAATCCATAAAATCATCGATTCATGAAATCATGAATCATTTTATAGTATTATACTTTTGATAGGCAGATGCAGTTTAGTAGGTAAGAGTCAGAAAGAGTGAACTTTAGAACCTATTGGCCTTTCTCAATCCTCCATACATCTAGTGCTTTTATTCTCCCACAACATGTAATGCCTAAACATTCCAGAATGCAGAAAGTCACCCGTTACAAGACCTGTTAGTGTGTTCAGTAAGATGGCCAATCTCATTCTTAATTTCCCCATTTGTGAGAGGGGAAATATAATTTAAAAAAATCACAGTGTTGTATTAAATATGATAATATAAAATACCACAATCATGTGTATAGGTAACTATACAAGTTGGTACTTAATAAAGTATGTCTTCTAAAAAGTAGTAAGACTATTCGAATTCCATTGTTTTCATTGGCCTAATTTAGTGAATGTCTGGGAATTCATCTTGATACCTCTGGGTGCCTGCTGTGCCAACCATCCTTCTTTTACCTTTAGTTTCTAAAAAGATCTAGCCCTCAAGCAAAAGAAGGTCTATGCTATGATAAGCCTTCGGATGCTACATTTGTAAGATCCGTTTAAAGAGTGCATGAAACAGCTCTCTACCCTTAAAAGAATAGAATTTATACAGCTGCCTGCATTTAATGGATCCACAAGGCAGGCTGAAGTGGAGCCTGCTGAGAGCAGGCTGATGAGGGATCATTGGTGATTTAGTGCTCAGCAGGTACATGCCAACCACTGCAATCTGTTTCTGCTCAGATCTAGCTCATTAACCTCTTATTGTCCCAAAGGGAAGGGAAGACATTGTGAGAAATAATTGAAAGGAGAGTGGACTCAAAGGAAAATGGAATTGCTGTTGGACAATAAGGAGCAAGGGAAGGAAATTGTGAATGGATATAAACAGAAAAAAAATAGAGACCAAGAGATGACTTAGTGGGTGTGTATTCAGTCTATATACTCTGCCTCTGTTGTTCACTACATGGGTGGCCTTAGAATATCATGTAAACTATGTGAGCCTCAGTTTCCCCTTATATAAAAGTGGAAATAGGACTGATCCTGTCTGGATGATAAGTTGGTTATGTGAAACTCTAGACACAATTTCTAGAACTGCAGATATGTGTCATGCGTATGTCAGAGGATGTCAATGAGAATTAAGGAAAGCTTCTTGACGGAGTGAAGACGGTTTAATAAAAAGAATATGAGCTTTGGAGTAAGAGAGATCTGGACTTGATTCACATTCATAAAATGATGTAATATCTATGTAGCAGGGTTGTTGTAAGCATTAGCGCTGATACATGTAGACCACCTATTACTATGCATAGGACAGTCTTATTTTAATCATATTACCTCTTACTGAAAATTGTAAAACATAAAAGTCTTTTAAAAGACAAAATCAAACCTTCTATTTTTCCTGGCACTTTGAAAGGTTTTAGAAGACATTCGCTTCCATTCCTTCACATCCATCTGTCCGTTATGTATCTCCCAACATTCTTACATGATACATATGCAAAGAAATAGCATGGTTTACATATAAAGCAATTAATGTCTAAGAGGCAAATTAATGAATATCTAGTAGCAGGGCAAAAATTGAAAGTCAAGTGTATCTCACTGCAAAGCCTACTCTCTTTTCACCTATACAGGTTTCCCATTCTGCTTTTGTGTGAATGAGAAATAAAAGCCATTTCTTTTTTGTTAACAAACCACCCCAAAATACCACTTTGTATCAGAAAAATGACATGCCTAATTGTCTGGAACTCTTATATGCAAAGGCTGTGGCAACTATTCCTTAATCTTCTGAAAAAAGTGGATGTATGAAGAGTAGTTTCTAATAAATGACAGGAAGTATAAATGTAACTGAGAAGAAGTGATAGATTCTAGGAAAACTTTTGAAAGTCTTATGGAAGGAGGGCCTTGACAGGTGAGAGTTCAGTCATAGCCTTATGGTGGAGACACATATACGGCTAAAAAGCAAAGCAATCTCTGAGAACTGAACATTTATTAATTAATAGGGGTCTCAATCTTGTCCATCAGAATCACCTTTGAAGCTTTTTCAAAATGCTTTAGCTCAGGGTGAACCTTTGCTTTTTGGCAAGTAGAAACTGCTCATCATTCTAACAAAGGGACCCAGGCTCTCCATGCCTTCATTTGGAGACCACTGCCGCAGTCCAAGAGGCAGAGAAGACAGACAGAGAGAATGTGGCCCAACATGCACTGGCTCCAAAATCCCTGGGATAAAAAATAACAATGACAACAACAAACACCAAAAAACTGTCCATCAGCCAAAGGCAGTCACAGGGCCAAGTTCAACTTCACAAGGCAGTTTAGTTTGTTCAATTCTTGGCTTCACAGGAAGCAGTTTCAAATATTTGTGAACAATATTCCACATGATCACAGCTAATATGTAACCATATTATTTCCGATATTATTCCACTTTTCCTAGGGCTGCTTATTTTTTTCCATGGAAAAGACAATGGAATTCTGAAGGAAAAGGAGTGACTTTGAATAGAAAATGAATAATTTCTTTTGTAGTTATACAATTGCGTTGAGTAACTTTACAGAGAAAACAGGTGATAACTTTTATGGTTTCCTGTGATTCTTAATTAACGTCAGCCTTAGAGTTAAAGCCATAATGAAAAGACATGAATTCGTTTTTGCAGGCAATAAGCATTTTGTTGGCAAATAGTATTCCTGAATCAGTATTTTCCTCAGAATATAGACTTGTTTCTGCTAATAATGTTTCTATTTAATGGACAGAAGATGACAACTAAACAAGAAAGTCCAATTATTTTTGTAATGAATTTTAATATCTATTGGCACATACTTTTTGTTTTGTTTTGTTCTGAGGGATTAGAAACTGAGTGAGTGACCTTTAAGTTGCGGATAACCTTTTTTATTCTCAGTGTCATGGAAAATGAAAAATTTTTAAGCAAGCATAGCTTACAATGTAGTTTTGAACAATGGATTAATAAACACAGGATCATCTCCAGGAGGTAATACTGTTACCTGGCACATACCACAATAAGGGAAAAGACCTAGGAGCTGACACAAATTCTCTCAAGCCTCTGTAATGTACTTGAAAATAACACTGGGGCTTATTGAGCAAATTGGAGAACTAATCAATCAAAAAGCAGACTCACCAATAGAAACTTAAACATGGAAAGGTTAGAATGTAGGTAGATACTGCCTGTTAAATTTTCAGTTCAGCACAGTATGGTATTGTTCCCAGCAATAAAAAGTGTGTAATATACGGGCAAAGCTGAATATTCGAGACCAGCCTGACCAACATGGTGAAACCCCATCTCTACTAAAAATACAAAAAAAAAAAAAAAACATTAGCCAGGCATGGTGGCAGGTGCCTGTAATCCCAGCTACTTGGGAGGCTGAAGCAGGAAAATTGCTTGATCTCTGGAGGCAGAGGTTGCAGTGAGCCAAGACGGCGCCGTTGCACTCCACCCTGGGCAACAAGAATGAAACTCTGTCTCAAAAAAGAAAAAGAAAATGCTGAATGTGGAAATGACTTCCTGCCTTACGTCTACCACCAGCATTCACTTGATTCAAGCAAATCTCTACCCATTTCTGGACCTTGTTCGCTTAACTCTAAACTGACTCTCACATTTTGTCCAGCTCTGAGATCAATGAATCTGAAAATGCCGAGGAAGGTATATCTTCAAGTTTTCACCAAGATAAGAAATGCAGACAGTTGGAATATCTTACTGTATTAGTTTGTTTTCTGTTGCTTATAACAGAAAACCTTCAACAGAGTAATTTATAAAGAAAATAAATCTATTTCTTATAGTTATGAAGGCTGGGAAATCCATGGTTAACAGTATGTATCTGGTGAGAGCCTACTTGCTAGTGAGGACTTTGCAGCATTCAGAGGTTCAGAGGTGGTACAAGGTATCACATGGTGAGCGTACTGAGCATACTCACGTGCATGCCCAGAGCTCTCTTCTGAAAAAGCCACCAGTTTCACTCCCACGATAATCCATTAATCCACGAATAGATTAATGCATCCATGAGGGCTCTCTGTCATGATTCAGTCACCTCTTAAAGGCACTACCTTTCAACAGTGCCACACTGAGGATTAAATTCTCAACATAGGAAATATGGAGAAGACATTCAAATAATAGCACTTACATATACATGTCAAATTTCTCCTCGCTAAATGGCACTTTTCTAGAGCACTTGTTTGCAGGCAAAATAGGGAAGGCTACAGGCAAGGTTATAGCACAGTGAGAGTCTAGCCCAATTATATTTTCAAAAGAATGGCAAGTTAGGTTCATGGTACCCCTGCATGGACTCCACGGGAGATGGGGATACTGTGTAGAGTTATATGGGCCACCATTTATTGACATAGTCTGGATAAAATTGATGTGTAATACACACACACACACACACAAATGAGTAGTACATGAAAGAGTAGTTTCAATCAAAGCAGAACATGGTTAAATATGTTAAATATTGTATCAGTTCTGTAGTGAAGAGGAATTGGAAAATTATGTATTTTGTATCTTTTAGTTTATATATATCATGTATGTTTTTATATTTAAATGTATATTTTAGTCTTTTGTTCATAATCTCATTCAGATATTTTAATTCTTGGGTGTATGGAAAGTGAATTGAGACATAATTGGCAGCATACATCAAGATCCTAGAGATCCAGTTAATAGAGCATTCACTAATAAATAATTTTTAAAAATTCCTTTTAGTCTGAATAAGCCACTTATTATACCAGTGCTTCTAAACTAGGGGCAGTTTTATCCTCCAGGGACCATGTGGCAATATCTAGAGGGAGTTCTTTTTTTTTTCACTTTTCCTCAAAATTCAACTTCATGGAGAGGGTTTTGTTGTCACTTCCGGGAGTGTGCTATTGGCACCTGGCTGGTGGAGGCCAGAGATGTTGCTAAATATCCTGGATTACTCAGGGCAGCCCCCACAACAAAGAATTATATGTCCTAAAGTGACACTACTACTGCTGTTGAGAAACCTGCATTGTGGTTTCACACATGTCTTTTTAGTTTCCTTCCAATACCATATGAGACCAAGAGTGGGGACTATATCCCTTGCTTTGCAGATTGGCAAATTGATTAGCAGACAAGTTTCTGTATTTATTCAAAGTCATACAACTAGGTAGTGGCAGATCCAGTGGCTTTTGTCTAGTAAGTTGGGCATCTCTCAGGACATCACCAAATATATTCATTCAAAAATAGGTTGCAAATGCTACTGAGCAGTGCATAGACATTGCTTATATATATGTATATATTATATGTATATATTTGTATATATTATATGTATATATAGTTCCATGACTGGGGAGGCTTAGAAGTCCCACAATCTACAATCAGCAAGCTAGAGACCCAAAAAAGCTGGTGGTATGAATTCCAGTCCTGATATAATGGCCTGATAACCAGTAGAGTGGCTCATAAAGTTCCAGTTTGAAGCCAGAATCATGTCCCTGCTTAAGCAGTCAGGTGGTGTATTAGTTTGTTTTCACATTGCTGTAATGATACTACCTGAGACTGGGTAACTTATAAATAAAAGAGGCTTAATTGACTTACAGTTCCACATGGCTGAGTAGGCCTCAGGAAACTTACCATCACGGTGAAAGGCAAAAGGGAAGCAAGCACCTTCTTCAGAAGGCAGCAGGAGAGATAGAGCGGTGGGGGTGATATGGTTAGGCTTTGTGTCCCCATCCAAGTCTTATCTTGAATTGTAATTTCCATAATCCATGTGTCCAGGGAGGGACCGGGTGAGAGGTGAATGGATTATGGGAGAAGTTTCCCCCTTGCTGAGATCTGATGGTTTTTTAAGGGGCTCTTTCCCCTTCACTCATGTGCTCTCTCTCACCTGCCACCATAAAAGATGTGCCTTTGCTTCTCTCTTGCCTTCTGCCATGATTTGTAAGTTTCCTGAGGCTTCCCCCACCATGTAGACCTGTGAGTCAATTAAACCTCTTTCCTTTAAAAATTATCCAGTCTCAGGCATGTCTTTGTAGCAATGTGAGAACAGAATAATACAGGGAAGAACGGCCAAACACTTTTAAACTGTCAGATCTTGTGAGATCTCACTCACTGTCATGAGAACAATATGGGGGAAACCAACCCCTATGATCCAATCACCTCCCACCAGTTCCCTCCCATGACACATGGGGATTACAATTCTAGGTGAAATTCAGGTGGGGATACAGAGCCAAATCATATCAGGTGGAGAGAATGAACTCCATTTCCCTGTCTCTTGTTCTATTCAGGCCCTAAATGGATAATTTCCACCCACATTATTTTACCAACTTAAATGCTAATCTCTTCCAGAAATATCCTCACAGACACATCCAGTAATAATGTTTAACCAAATATCTGGATACCCGATGGCCCAGTCAAGTTGACATATAGCATTAAACATTCACTGCTCGTAGGTATTTCAATGGAATCACAGAAGACTCACATGAAATTAGAAAACTGTAGAAAGAGCATTAGATTGATATTCAAAATATTAAAAATGTATCTGTTAATGTGGCATGGTCCAGCATAAGATCAACTGGCAGAGACTGACCATGCTGTCTCAGTAGATCTCTATCATCAGAGATGATAATTTCTGAACTCGAGACTTGGGCTCACACCCATGGTTATGTAGCTGGAGTGGAATCATAATTATGGACACATGTTCTGCTGATGATTTCACTGGTTAAGGTGCAGACATTCTGGAACTCAAGATAGATCTATGTTGGAGATAATATAGCTTAACCACTAAATATGACACTGAGGTCAGGGCAGGTTTCTGTGACTCACTCATGACCCAATGTGACAGTGACAGAAAGATCGTTATTCCTCACAGTTTAGGAGCCACAGAGGTCTAGGAATGTCACCTGTAGTCAATTCCTGCAATTGTCATGAGAATGCATAAGCAGTGGAGCTAGGAGGAATCTGTAGTCTATTCAAACCTATTGTGCTAAGACTGCCAGAATTCTGCATGAAAATTTTTAGTTTACTCTAGATCACAACAAGGTGACAACTACAAAGAATTTTAGCTGTGGAGATAAATTCCAGAGACCAATATTTGCAGAATCTACTTCAAGGTATCCTATTTTCTGATAATCCTCAAGTGGCCCTATTTGAGTTACAAGGAATAAGTTCTAGATAAATGTACATAAAATGGTGGTGTTTAAAAAATTGGACCCTCAGTTTGACAAGTGAGGGCTTGAAGTCATAGTATGAATATAGAAAGACATAGGACCTTATACTGTATTCACAGAATGGTGAGGCCAAGATTTTTAGATTATACTCAGAAACTCAGCTTAGAATGCATTTCTTATGAAACCGTTTATCCACCATTAGTGTTCTTTTGAAATCTAATTGTAGACTTTAATGTCAATGGAAATGAAAAAAATCACAGTCACTCTAACATGGAACGATAAGATGGAGTAATAAAAAGAGGAAACAATCATGCCAAGAGAGTTTCAGTGGTGAGTTCTACCAAACATTTAAGAAAGAAATGATAACAATTAAGTGCAAACTCTTCCAAAAAATAGAAGCAGAAGGAATATTTTAAAATAAAATATACAAGGTCAGCATTACTTTAATATCAAAACCAGTCAAAGATATTACAAGAAAGTAAAAGTCCAGGCCAGTATATCTCATGAACTTAACCCTCAACAAAATATCAGAGAACAGAATTAAACAATGTATTTAAAAAGACATTACACCCAAATGGGTTTTATGCTACACATGCAAGGCTTGTTCAACATTCAAAAAACAATTAAGATTATACACTGTTTTAACAGGCTAAAGAAGAAGAATCATGATCATATCAACAGATGCAGAAAGAACACTTGACAAAATTCAACACTTATTCAAGACAAACATTTTCAGTAAAGTAGGAATAGAGGGAAACTTCCTTATCTTGATAAAGCACATCTACAAAAATGTACAGTTAACATTATTCTTAATGGTGAGAAACTGGATGCTTTTTCTCTAAAGTCAGGAACAAGTCAAGGATGTCCTATCTTATCACTCTTACTAAACATCATAGTGGAAATTCTAGCTAATGAAAAACAAGGAAAGGAAATTAAAAAATAATTGGGATATTTATTCTAAAGTAACATGCTTTTCTATGTAGAAAATCTCAAAGAATCAACAAAGAACTGTCACTAACAAGTGATTATGGCATGACTGCAGAACACAAAATTAATAGTTAAATTCAATTGCTTTCCTATATATAAACAATGAACAATTAGAATTTGAAATAAAAAACACACAACCATTTACATGAACACCAAAATTTTGAAAACTTAGGTATGGATTGAAAGTATAAGATCTGTATGAGGAAGATTACAAAGCTCTGATGAAAAAAAATTACAGAAATAAATACGGAAATATTTTGTGTTCATGGATAGGGAAATGTATTCTTTATCTTAATTGCTGATTAGTACTAAGTACAATTAAGATCAGTAAACATCTTGTGTACTATTAAGATGTCAGTTTTCTTCCAACTTGATCTATAGTTTCAATGCACTACAAATCAAACCACTAGCAAATTAGTTTGTGGATATCAACAAATTGATTCTAAAAGTATAGGAAAGGCAAAATGCCCAGAATAGCCATTTTGATATTGAGAACAAGAACCAAGTCAGAGGACTGAATTATGTTACTTTAGCACTTACTATGAAACTACAATAATTAAGGCAATTTGTACTAGTAAAAGAATACACAAGTAGATTAACAGAACAAAATAGCCCAGAAATAGACCAACACAAATACAATTAACTGACTGTAACAAAGGCAAAAAAAAATTCAATGGAGAAAAAAAAATCTTTTCAGCAAATAGTGCTAGAACAAGTAGACAACTAGACATCCATATCCTCTGCAGAAAATCTATATACACACATCTTGCACTTTTCACAAAAGTTAACCCCAAATGGATCATAGGCCCAAATGTAAAATGCAAAACCATAAACTTTCAAGGAAATAGCATGAGAAAATCTAGGTGACTTTGAGTTTAGTGTTGACTTTTTGGATACAACACCAAAAATACAATCCATGACTGAATAAATTGATAAGTAGGGCTTTATTAAATTAAAAAATGATCATTCTGCAAAAGACATTGTTAAGGAAATAAAAAGGCTACCCACAACTGGGAGAAAATACTTGCAAAACAAATAGCTGATAAAGGACTTGTTTCCAAAATATAAAAGGAACTCTTAAACATCAAAAATAAAATCAAAAAGCTTAATTTAAAAATGGGCAAATGATCTGAACAGGCATTTCACCAAAGAAGATATGCAAAAGGAAAATAAACATATGGAAAGATGCTGAACATCATATGTCATTCAGGAATTTCAAATGAAAACAACAATAAAATACTACACATCTATTAGAATGGCTAAAATCTAAAACACAACACCAAATGTTGATAAGAATATGGAGCAACCAGGGCAGTTAATTGCTGCTGGGAATGAAAAATATACAACCACTTTGGAAGACAGTTTAGCAGTTCCTTACAAAGCTAAACATACTCATGCCATAAAATTCAGCATTCACATTCCTAGGTATTTAAGTAAGTTGAAAATGTCCGTATAAAAACCTTATGTCCTTATAAAAGCCTGAACACAGATGTTTATAGCAGCTTTATTTATAATTGGTAAAAACTGGAAGCAACCAAGATATCTTTCAATATGTGGATGGATAAACAAACTGTGGTACATGCATACGATGGAATTTTTTTTGGTGATAAAAAGAAATGAGCTGGTCAGGCGTGGTGGCTCATGCCTGTAATCCCAGCTCTTTGGGAGGTCGAGGCAGGTGGATCACCTGAGGTCAGGAGTTCAAGACCAGCCCAGCAAAGATAGTGAAACCCCGTCTCTACCAAAAATACAAAAATGAGCCAGGTGTGGTGGCAGACACCTGTAATCCCAGCTACTCAGGAGGCTGAGGCAGAGAACTGCTTGAACCTGAAAGGCTGAGGTTGCAGTGAGCCAAGACAGCGCCAGTGCACTACAGCCTAGGTGACAGAGTAAGACTCCATCTAAAAAAAAAAAAAAAAAAAGCAACAAAGACATGAAAACCATGAAAAACTTTCAGTGCATATTAGTAACAAACAGATCTCACTGCTAGGAACTTTCTCTCTGTGGAAACGAGCAAGCCTAAAAGTCACTACAGGATGTCCTGGTTAAGTAAAAGAAGCCAGCCTAAGATGGCTAAAAGGACTACATACCGTATGATTTTATCTCTGTGACAATCTGGTAAAGGCAAAGTTGTGGACACAGCGAAATGTTCAGTGGTTGGTAGGGGTTTGGGGGAAGGGAGGGAGAAATGAACAGATGGAAAATAGGGGATTTGTGGAATAACAAAACTATTTTGGTATGGTACTGTAATAGTAGGTACATGGCATCATGTATCTGTCAAAACCAATAGAACTGTAAAAAACACAGAATAAACCCTAGTGTGAACTGTAGTCTCTAGTTAATAATTATATATCAATATTTGTCCACCAATTCTAACAAATGTGCCAAAGAAGATGCTAATAATAGGGAAATTGTGGCTGGGATGAGAGAGAAAAGATAGTATATGAGAACCCTCTGTACTTTTTACTTAATTTTCCCATAAACTTAAAACTACTTTAATAAAGCCTATCAGTAAAAAAAAAAAAAAAAAAAAAAAAAAAAAAAAAAAAAGCTTTAAACACAAAAAACATCAGAGATTAGAATTTATTCACTATAATCATAAGGTCACAAAATAAATATTGCATGTTAAATGTAAGAATTCTGTTTCTAGATGTTCATCGGGTAAAGGAAAGGTCTTTTAAAAATATGTGTTATGTCTGCATCCTGACAAGTGTGTGGCACTAGAGACCCCAAATAATTTAGCTACATGCTCTAGAAGCAGTTCTAGCTGAATGTGTCCATATTATTTCCTTGCTATTGCAAACGAGGATTTCTCCATGGGCGTTGTGAGTCTCTTCTATCCTTGTTCAAATACATAGGGATTAAAATTTTAGACTCATCCAAAATCCACTCTCTAGAACACAGGTGAACACATCAGGCTATTCTAATTCCACTCCGTCCACTTCAATCACATCTGAACAATTTGTTTCCTGTCAAACGAGAATGTAGCTCGTATTTGGTTATTTTTATCTTCCTCCATACTGCTTCTGAAAACATCCCTTATTCCCTACCATTGTACTTACTTTTCTCACTTTTTATTGTGAAATATTATCAAACATGGGGTATTGTATTTTATTCTAGAAACTAGAAAATAGCCAGATTTCAATTTGCTGAGCTGCAAATAACTCACTTTAAGACTTTGATCAGAGAACTCTGTCCTCCTCAGTGTGCCCAGCTATATGATAAGGGTTGGGGGAATATTAATTCTGCAGCACTGTATGTATTCTGTGATAATTATCACTGTCATGTTTTTAAATGTAAATAGTAGCAATAATAATTATGATAAAGAAGCAAAAAAAAGAAGAATGGCTGACATGCAATGTGTGTCTCCCACATACTATGGGACACACAAATTGTTTTGTAAACCATGCCAGGCTTATTCTGTATACTCTCAACTATCGCTCATAGCCAGTCATTAGCCCCTCTTATATGGAATGCATTACAAGGTTTTAAAATTTCTTTCAACATAGCACTTACGTATTTTGAGACTAGAGCCAAAGTGGAAACAAAGAATAAACAAGCCTTCTGTCTTCTAGGTTGTATGCTGTTCCTCATCCTTTTAGAAAAACTTCTATGAGTTTCTGATAAATAAACTTCTTAATTAGTTTCATTTTCGGGAAAAAAATTAAGTCAGAAGAAAAACCCCAGCATCTATTTTGAACAAACCAAGAAGTATTTGCATATTTGTCAAAATAATACTCATTGATTTGAAACAACAACAAAACTGATTATTTCCTTCAGTTTTAACTATATAAATTCTTCCAGGTACAGCCATTTTGATCATTTCAATAACAAACATCTTAAGTGCTTATACAGTAATAGGCACAGTCACCGACAGCTGCTGAAGAGGTTTCAAACCTCTTTGGGCAGATTCAAGCACTTGCTGCTTAGAGAGGAAAATGGAAATGGATTATCCATTGTGCAGAGAAGAAGGTATTATTTCATTCTCAGTGTCCCCTGGAGTCCTCAGCATATTACTCTATAAGCACTTCATACATAATAACATGTGAGTTATACAGAGCAGTGATGTCACAAAAATAAATATAAGCTGTAAAGGATCACTGTGGTTGACCAAATTATTTTCGCAATTCCTCACTCCCTTGACACAGGGTAAGAATTCACATGCTTGCTATAGTTCAATTGTGGGCAGAGTATGCTTTCTACGTCCTTAATCTTGATCTTGGCTGGGTGACTTGTTTTGGCCAATGTGATGTTGTAGTGCATATGATGAGAGCAGAGGCTTGACATTTGCTTATACTTTTGGACTTTCACTGTAGGGCTCCAGTGACCAGTTATGGGAAGAACTTTCTCCAGATAGTTGTGACTACTTTCATCTAGGACCCAAAGTGAATACAAATTAAGTTAGCATAACCCAACCCAGAGCTAGGATCTCAGAGTAGTGGAAGCCTCAACTTGTAGCAGAGGATAACAGCTCAGACTGCATTGGGAAATCCAGTTAAACTGCTAGACGCTAAGCATAAAAATACATTTTTTTATTTTGCCACCAAGATTGTGTGTTTCTTTGTCATGCAGCAGAGGCTGACTATTACAGTCCAGTATTCTAATGAAGGCAGCATATAAAAATAACTACAAAGCTATGCATTTAGTAATACAGTTAACATAGTTACAATGTACTAGAGTAGCATGGAGAAATAAGTGATTATTTACAGAAGAACAAAGAAAAGTTTTCCAAATAGTTATCAATAGAGATGAGCTCACCAGCAAAATGGGAGAAAAAAAGAAATTTCAGGAATTTTACAAATACACTAGCAGAGAGTACACAGAGAAATAATCTAAGAGAAAAATTAGTTATAATTTTAATGTATTACCTTCTTTATCTTCCATGCCTACCATGCATGACTGTAATGAATTTATATGTACAAGCCTGTGTCTTTACTTAGAAAAATGTTTTCATAAATACTCTTCACTCATCAATATTACTATTTTAAATATATACTTTAATTTTCGGCCTGTGAATACGGTATCATTTGTGCAACAATTTCCTCATAGATGATTTTAATATTGTTTCCAGTCCATCTCTATTACAAATAAGACGATGATTATTACTAGCATACATCTTTTGATTTATCTTTGGAAATGTAAATATTAAAACAATCCAATTTAAAAACAGGCAAAGGACCTGAATAGACATTTTACAAAAGAGGACACGATGGCCAATAGGGATATGAAAAAAAATCTCAACATCACTAACCATTAGGGAAATGTAAATTAAAACCACAATGAAACATCGTCTGGCTCCTGTTAGAATGGCTATCATCAAAAAGACAAAAGATAACAAATGTTGGTGAGGATGTGGAGAAAAGGGACCCCTTGCACACTGTTGATGAGAATGTAAATTGGTATAGCTATTATGGAAAACAATATGGAGGTTCCTCAAAATATTAAAAATAGAATTACCAAATGATCCAGCAATCCAACCATTGTGTATCTATCAAAGAAAATGATATCAGTATGTGAAAGAGATATCTTCATTCCCATGTTTGTTACAGCACTATTCACCATAGCCAAGCTATAAAATCAATCTATGTCCCCATCAATAGATAAAGAAAATGCAAATATGCACAATGGAATACTATTCAGTCATAAAACGATATCCTATCATTTGCAGCAATATGGATGGAAATGGCGATCATTCTGTTGAGTCAAATAAAGCACAGAAAGACAAATACTGTCTGTTTTCACTCATATCTAAAAAGGTTGATCTCATAGACATAGAGTAGAATGGTGGTTAGCAGAGTTTGGGTTGGTTGAGGGGAGAGGATATCTTAGTCAAAGGAGACAAAATTACAGTTAGATAACAGGAATAAGTTTGAAAGACATATCATACAGCACAGCAACTACAGTTAATAAAAATACATTATATTCTTGAAAAATGCTTTACAAAATTCTAAAAGAGTGGATTTTAAATATTCTCACTACAAAAATGATGACCATGTATGGTAGTGCATATTTTAATTAGCTAGAATTAACTATTCCACGACATATATGCAAGCACACCTCAGAGATATTGCAGGGTTAGTTCCTAAAGCAAATAAAGCGAACACCAAAATAAATCAAGTTGCATAAATTGTTTGGTTCCCCAGTACATATGAAAGTTATTTTATACTATATTGTAGCCTGCTGAGTGTGAAATAGCATTAGGTATTAAAAAATATATGTGCTTTCACTGAAATGTACATTATTGCCAAAAACGTGCTAATGATTATCTGAGCCTTTAGCAACCTGTAATCTTTTTGCTGGTGGAGGGCCTTGTCTTGATGTTGTCGGCTGTTGGCTAATCAGGGTGGTGGTTGCGGGAAGGCTGGTGTGGCTGGGACAGTTTCTTAAAATAAGACAACAATAAAGTTTGCTCCATGAATTTGACTCGTCTTCCATGAAAGATTTATATGTGGCATACTAGGCTGTTTGAGAACATTTTACACAAAGTAGAGCTTCTTTAAAAATCGAAGTCAATTCTCTCAAACTCTGCCACTGCTAAACTTATGTAATATTCTAAATCCTTTTGTTTTTGCTTTGAGGAAAGGTTTTGTTCTGTCACCCAGGCGGAAGTGCAGTGCTGTGAGCAAAGCTCACTGCAGCCTTGAATTCCCTGGCTCAAGTGATCCTTCCACCTCACCCTCCTGAGTAGCTGGGACTACAGGCCTGTGTTACCATGCTTGACTAATTTTTTAATTTTTTGTAGAGACCGGCCTCCCTTTGTTGCTCATGCTGGTTTCAAACTCCTGAGCTCAAGTGATCCTTCTGCCTTGGCCTCCAAAAGTGTTGGGATTACAGGAGTGAGCCACAACACCTGGCCTTCTATATCTTTTATTGTCATTCAAACAGTGTTCACAGCATCTTCAGCAGTAGATTCTAGTCCAAGAAACCATTCTCTTTGCTCATGCATAAGAAAAAACTCCTTATACTATCCATTGAAGTTTTATCATGAAATTGCAGCAATTCAGTCTTCTCAGGCTCTACCTCTAATTCTAATTTTCTTGCTATTACTACATCTGAAGTTACTTCCCCCACTGAAGTTTTAAACCCCTCAAATTCATTCAGTAGAGTTGGAATCAGCTTCTTCCAAACATCTGTTAATGTTGGTATTTTGGCCTTATCCCATGAATCATGAATGTTCTCAATAGCATCTACAATGGCAAATCCTTTCCAGGAGGTTTTTAATTTTCTTTGCCCAGAGCCATTAGAGGAATCGCTATCTATGGCAGCTATAGCCTTACAAAATATATTTCTCAAATAATAAGACTTGAAAGTGAAAGTTACTCCTTGATCCATGGGCTGCAGAATGGATATTTTGTTATTAGACAGAGAAACAACTTAATCTCCTTGTACATCTTTATCAGAGGTCTTGGGTGACTAGGTGTATTCTCAGTCAGTGATTTTACCTTGAAAGGAAGCTTTTTTTCAAAGCAGTAAGTCTCAACAGTGAGCTTAAAATGTCCAGTAAACCATGCAGTAAACAGATGTGCTGTCATCCAGGCTTTGTTGTTTCATTTACAGAGCACAGGCAGAGTAGATTTAGCATAATTCTTAAGGGTCTTAGGATTTCAGAATGGTAAACCAGAATTGGCTGCCATTCTCACTAGTTGCATTAGCCCCTAACATAAGAGTTAGCCTGTTATTTGAAGCTTTGAAGCCAGGCATTGACTTCTTTCTAGGTATGAAAATTTTAGATGGAATCTCCTGCCATTATAATGCTATTTTGTCTACTTTGAAAATCTGTTCTTTAGTGTAGCTACTGTCATCAATTATCTTAGCTAGATCTTCTGGATACCTTGTTGCAACTTCTACATCAGCATTTCATGTTTCACCTTGCACTTTTATGTTTCATGATATAGCTTCTTTCTTTCTTTCTTTCTTTTATTTATTTAGAGATGGAGTTTTGCTCTTGTTGCCCAGGCTGGAGTGCAATGGCGTGATCTCGGCTCACCACAACCTCCGCCTCCCGAGTTCAAGCGATTCTCCTACCTCAGCCTCCCGAGTAGCTTGGATTACAGGCATGAGCCATCAAGCCTGGCTAATTTTTTGTATTTTTAGTAGAGACAGGATTTCTCCATGGTGGTTAGGCTGGCCTCGAACTCCCAACCTCAGGTGATCCACCCACCTCGGCCTCCCTAAGTGCTGGGATTACAGGCATGAGCCACCGCGCCTGGCCTCTTTCTTTAAGCGTTATGAGCCCACCTCTGCTAACTTCAGATTTTTCTCTGCAGCTTCCTCACCTCTCTCAGCCGTCGCAGAATTGAAGAGAGTTAGAGTCTTGACCTGAATTAGGCTTTGGCTTGAGCGAATCTTGTGGGTGCTTTGATCTTCTATCTGTACCACTGAAGCATTCTCCATATAAGCAATAGGTTTCTTTACTTTTCTTGTCATCCATGTGTTCAGGGGAGTGGCTCTTTTAATTTCCTTCAAGACCTTTTTCTTTGCATTCACAACTTGGCTGTTTGGTACAAGAGGCCCACCATTTGGCCTGTCTTGGCTTTCAACATGCCTTCCTCAGTAAGCTTAATCATTTCTAGCTTTTGACTAGAAGTGGGAGACATGCAATTCTTCTTCTCACTTAAACATTTATAGGCCATTGTAGGGTTATTAATTGGCCCAAAGTTAATATTTTTCTATCTAAGCGAATAGGGATGACAAGGAGAGGGAGAGAGATGGGGGAATGGCCAGTGAGTGGAGCGGTCAGAACACACACCATTTATAGATTGTTTGCTGTCTTAAATGGGAGCAGCTTTTGGTGCCCCAAAGTATTTACAATGGTAACCTGAAAGATGATCAATCACAGATCACCATAACAGATATAATAATGGGTAAAAAGTTTGAAATATTGTAAGAATTACCAAAATGTGGCAGAGATACAACATGAGTACATGCTGTTGAAAAAATGATGCTGCCAATGGACTACCTCAATGCAGGGCTGCTACAAACCTTTACTTTGTAAAAAATGCAATAACTGCAAAGTACAATAAAGCAAAGTGCAGTAAGACAAGATTGGCCTGTGTACTTCAAGATATCAAGTTATACACAATAAATACATTTAATTTGACCTGTCAACTTAAAATAAATAAACAAATGTGAAAATAGGAAATGTCAATATTTAAAAGGCAATATTCATAAAAATTTGTCAAAAGATTCTCTTTTAGGTGCTCTTTCTACAAAAAAAGTAACTGGAGAGTTATAGATAGGTTAAATTACTTGACTATTGTAATCATTTCAAAACATCTTAATACACAATAATAATGAAAGCAAGAAAGAAAAGAAAATGGAGATGAATTATTTTGAGGGGAAAAACAGAAAACGAAGTAAATATGGTAGAGCTGCATTTATTAAGAGTAAAATGAACTAGAATTTGTTGAGCATCTATTTTATGCTCAACATCTTGTTGACAGCATGTGATCACAAATGTACTTTTCAACAACCTTCCTGGTAGAAAATATTCACAGATATGCAGACTGGTGGCTTCAAAGGGAGACACAGCTACTAATTGGCCACACTGGATCTAACACCCAGGCCTCTCTGACTTCCAAACACATTATCTTTCCACTATACCACACTGAAGTCTTGTGATACCAAAATTCTTATCTCATTTAATAATATTCTCAACTTTTTTCACTGTTAAATTGGATAAAGCATGTGTGATTACATATAATGTTTTCTACCTGTTCTGACAAGAATAAATTATTTATAGCATGCAAAAATTATTGGAAAAACATCTTAAAATATCTTTCATGGAGTTAATAATTAAAAGCACTGTGGCATTTAAGATTTCTCAAGAGGAACCTTGGGAGTCTGATAAAAAGCCAAAAAATCTTCTCTTTTTTCTGTCTTCAAGGTTTCTAACACTTGATAATGTAGGCTCCTCTGCATTTTAAAGAACAGAATTTTTTGTTCAACAATGAGGCAGAGCACCTTGTAAGAAATTAGTGTAATGGGGGTCATAGCCTGCATTTTTTTTCTGTCACCAACAACTTAAGTGTCAATGTTCTCTGTTCCTGTGGCTGCCTGCCTAGGTTTTGAGCACCCAGACATCTGATTCTTAATGCTTATTATTTTAATTTCCCTCTTACATTATTCTAAATCCTTAGTGCATGTACATATGTACATTGATACACACATTTTGAGAGACGGCTTCTCTATATTGTTGAAAATAAGAAAGTAAAACTAACCTTAAAATAAGCTATGGCTTCCCATTTCTTGCAGGGTTAAGTCCAAAAACTTAGCATGGAATATATGGCTCTTCAAATATTGAAGCCTTTTTGTTTTATTTCTTAGAGCTCCTCCTTCTCCCTATTCTGCATATGATGCTTAATTGTAACTGAACTATTGCTATTTCCCCACATGTGCCACACCTGCCTCAACCTTGCTTTTGATTAGCCTTGAAAACTCTTTTCCAAATCTCCTTGGTGTCATAAATACCTTAATGTTGTTCAAAAACCAGCATAGATCTCACCAGGGACTTCCCCACCCCTCTATTATTCCAGGGTTAAATATTGTCATTTTGCATTATTTTAATAGCAGGTGGACAGTTTCCTAAGGAACCCAGCCAACATCAGAGAAGCTAATTTGCAGAAGGCATATGTTGCCAATGAACCAGATGTTGATTCTTATTAATTTAACAAAAATAGGTTTTAAGGAAACAACAGTCTTGAACATATACAATGAAAAGAAATATACTTTTCTTATGTGTGTATGTTTGAAGTAAACCCTCATACATTTTTGTGTGACTAAGTCATACTAACAAAATCAAATGTCATAATTTCATGTCTTTTATATATTTTTATGTGATCTTAGAATGATAAATTTGATGAGATCCTTAAGTCTAGCTACCTCTTCTTTGCCAACATTATAACCATTTTACATGGGAGAAAATGCCCATGAGGTCAGGTAAATGAAGTATTTTGCCAAATGATCATACAATTGTGAAATTATACAAAAGGCTCAGAATATAAATCTTCTGAGCCCCCTGTCTAGTGTTCACTCTGGCCTATCAACTATATGAATGGGTATAATATGCAAAAATATAAATTTACCCATTGTGCATTACCCAAAGTTAGCCAGACTGGAGGCTAAGGGCACAGTATATCAGATGATCGGGTCTTCCCAAGACACCAATGGCAAGCTGGAGGCTTTCCCAAAACCACTCTCAGTTTTGATAATTCAGCAGAAATTTCAGTAGACTCACAGAACTCACTGCAAGCTATAACACTCACAGTTACATTTACTTCAGGCAAAGGACACACATTAGAAAGAAAGGCATAAGGTAGAATATGGCAGGGGCCTAAAGCAGAGTTTCTGCTTGTCATCACGCTGTGGAGTCGTGGATGGCATTGCTGCCTCCCAGCCACAATGTGTTACAATATCCAGAGATTATTTCCAGTCAGAGAAGCCCACACATGCTACAGTATTCAGAGCTTTTACTGGGCCTCTATTATGTAGGTAAGCACAATTACTTTAATTATTGCTTATGTGGTTGAATTTAGTCTTCAGCATCTCCCTTCGCCATAGGTTGGGCTGATACCTTGTGGGCTAAAGTCCCAACCTTTAATCACCTGGTTAGTCTTTCTGGTCTAGCCAGCCTCCTAGCCCTAAGATTGTTGCATGTGGTCCCGGGGTTTACTCAATGAGTCACTTTTTAAGCATAAACTATGAGGTGTGGTTAAGGGGCCCGTCATGGGTAACAAAGACACTCTTATGACTCAGGAAAATTCAAACTTATAGAGGTTACCTCCCAGGAGTTAGAGTCCAAATTTCTTACTATAAATACACAGGATCAGATGATGTGTTAAGCTGTTCTTGTGTAGCTATAAAGAATTACCCATGACTGGGTAATTTATAAAGAAAAGAAGTTTAACTGGCTCACAGTTCTGCAGGATTTACAGGAATCCTTGGTGCTGGCATCTGCTTGCTCTAGTGAAGCCTCAGGGAGTTTTCAATCATGGTGGAAGGCAAAGCAGGAGTAGGCACTTCACATGGCAAAAGCAGGAGCAAGAGAAAGTGGGGTGAGAGTGGGTGCCACGCACTTTTAAAATGACCAGATCCTATGAGAACTTTCTATTACAAAGACAGTACCAAGCCATGAAGGATCCACCCCCATGATCCAAACACTTTCTCCCAGACCCCACCTCCAGCATTGGGAGTTATGATTCAACATGAGATTCGGGCAGAGACAAATATACAAACTATATCAGATGCACAATATATATGCATCAATAATAATAACGCATCATCCAAATATATAACCTTGACATGTGATTTTTAAAAGTTATATATTTCATTTATGTGTAAATGTAAACATATTCTATCATTGCAATTCTCTATAGATAGAACATGGTTACTAATGTCCTCAATATAAGATAATGGGGAGGAAAAATTGTATTCTACTCCCTATGTTTCCTCTATTAACATGATGATAACATGATATTTTAACGGAAGCAGAAAGTCCTCCATTAAAATGACATTTCTGTGCTCTCTCAGGCACTTTTTCAGCACTCCTAGGTGAGAAAGGGTGACTTCTTGATTATTGAGTGTGATTGAAGCAGATGGACATGCCTGGCTCAGACCCTTCCAAGCTAATTCTTAGATTCTGCCTAACCCCCAAAAGTATGAAATTTCTACTTTTCTAGAGACAGGCTTCCATGAGTAAGGTGGTCACACATTCTGCTTTGCCCAGATAAGTCAAAGTTTGTCCTTTCCTGGAGCCTCATCCAATTTAGAATGTGTACTGATTTTTTTTCTTATAAAGTTGTATTATTAACAGCTTCAGGAAAATAAGTGACTATATGTTTGACAGACCAAAACTTGTCTTTTTTCTAGCTTCTGTCGTAATCTTACCTATTAGTGTCAGAAGTAAATTCTAAGTGAACAGAGCTCTCATTTAGCACATGGATAAATCAGAGTTGACCAGTGAGCAAGCTTCTCTCTTGAGTAGCCTTTCTCAATGTCAGTACCTCTGGCCTCCCTTTAAAGTACACCACACAGGAGTATATTCAGACATAAACAGCTACAGACAGCCAATTCCTTCTAGTCTTTGAATAACGGGAGAAGTAGTTAATGCTGCTATCCCCACAAGCTACCTCTTGTATCAGAAAATGGGGCCACAGAACTTCTAGTAAGCTGTGAGATGTACAAATTACATCAGGATACCTTAGTGAAAATTTTAAAAACTTACAGTTTAGATGGAATAAGTGTGGAAAATAGAAACTGAGAAATCTAACCATAGATAAAGAGAAGATGGCAATCCTTTTGCTACAGAGGTAAATCACAATTATTCATTTTGTTATATTACTTGATAATTTAATAATAAATTCTACCATTGATGAGTTTTTAAAAATGTACAGTTAATGAAAACTTTAGTACTAAAAGTCCACATTTATAAACATTGCTGATTGTGCTGTGGACTAAGCTCTGGTTTTTCAGCTCTAAAATTAATTTATATACTTTGCTTTAGGATGCTGGGGCTGAGATTATATAAACTATATTTCTTCTTTGTCACATGGCTTGCTGTCAGTTTCTGAACATAGGTGGCCTACTGAGAGACTAACAGGTAGGAGAAGAGAAAAGGGGAATTCTTTATTCTTTGTTCTAATGTTTTTCTGTCTCAGAACCAGGTTCATCATACCCTCTAGGCTGAAACTAACACCAGGTGTCAACCCATTTTCAGAGGCCTGAGTTTCATTTCTGAGAGAACCCTCCAACAAGTTGTTTTTTTCTGGGTCCCCACATTATATGGGTACCACACCCTTTTTCCAATTCTGTGCAATCCTTTCTGTAAGACTCTAAATTCTAATAACCCCAACTTCTTCCTTCTGTTTCCCAAGAAATTAGGGATGATAGCAGTTTTTTGAAGTTACAAGCCACCTTCTGTCAGTATTCCTTTCTTTTTATTTCTGTACTCTAAAACCTGTCTAACCAACTGTCTGTGTTTATTTTCTCAGTTAAAATAACTGGTATTGATTTTTTTTATTGGAGTCTTAGTGTGTAATTTTCACAAAATGTCTATCAGTATTTATCATCTAATGTGGTAAACCCAGAAGATACGAATCACAATAGCAGTTACTGTGAGAGAGGAGCAAGCAGATAGCCAAGAGGAGAGTTGTGTATTTTCAAATTAATTTTTAATTCAATTTTTGCACATATATGAAGTGGTAACAAATAGCTGTTAAAATTTTGGCTTTATTAGCAGAAGAAAAACTTCATAAATAATGCTCATTTATAACATGTAATCAATAATATATACAATCAGATTAATTCCAATATTGTTCAGATATTTTATACAATTCATGAAATCAAAATCTTTGGAAGCTAATTTTATTAAACATGAAACAAGCAGAAATATTGTGAGTGTTATAGAATATCTTGCTTAAAAGTCCAATTTTTTTTTTTTTTTTTGCTTAGAGTATTTTAAATACATGTTTTGAGGTGGTGGAGATCATAGCAAAACCAATATTCCATTTTCATTAAATTAAGAATTCTGTTGGGAAACATGTATTTGAATTTGGTTTTGGGAAACATAAAATTCTCAATTGTGTCCAAGCAAGGTGTGATGTACTGCCAATTAAAATATAGAGGTGGGGAGCAAGGCAGCAGAATAGGACTCGCCTGCAATCATCCCCCCACAGAAACATCAATTAGAAGAAGTGTCCATGCACAAGAATACATTCACAAGACCTGAAGAAACCAGGTCAGAGACCATAGTACCTGGTTGTTGCATAACAGTAAGAAAAGACACACTGAAGAAGGTAAGAAGAGTATTTTTACATTACCTGTATCACCCCTCCACAATCTGAGGCAGTGCAGTGTGGAGAGAGATTCTCTCTGCTCAAAGAAAAGATAGACAAATGATCACAGGATTTTGCCTCAAATCATTACACTTGGCCCATCACAGTAAAACTCAGCACTGGACAGATCCCCATAGCTCCATATTCTAGGCTGGTACCTGTGGCCTGATCCTGTATACCTGCCCTGGTGCTGGTGGGATAACACAGCTCTAAGCATTATGCTTGCTGGGAGAACTAAATTTCTGGTCTACAACACTTTTAGGCTGACGTGAGTGGCCTCAGGAGCCAGAAAGCCCTCATTATCAGGCAGGCCTCAGAGGTCCCAGACTTATGGTATGCCCCAGCTCCATACTTACCATAGCAAGGCCTAGGCTTCTGGAACACCATACCGGCCACAGCTGCTCTGTACTTCTGACATATGACAGAATTGTGTCTGCTGCAGGGCTTTTCCAGAGAAAGCCAGCCTGTGAAGACTAAAATGAAAATCTACATTTTCAAATCCATAGACATTGATGAACTACCAAAAAGATCAAGAATAATCAGGGAAATATTACATCATCAAATGGACAAAATAAGGTGCCAGTGACTGATTCTAAAGAAATGAAGATGTATGCACTTCCTGACAAATAATTCAAAATAACTTTAAGGAAGCTAAGTAAACTTCAAGAAAATACAAAGAAAAAACTCAATGAACTAAGAAATCAATCAGAAGATGAAATTTAATACAGAAATTCAAATAATAATTAAAAACCCCAGGAATTCTGGAGATAAAATTGACAATGAATGAAATTTTAAAAAGCAAGGAAGAGCATCAGTAGCAGAAATAATCAGGCAGAAGAAGGAATCTGTGAACTCAAAGATGGGTTATTTGAAAATATACACTCAAAAGAGAAAAAAGAGACAAAGAATGAAAAAGAATAAAGAAAACATATAGGATTTTTGAGACTGCCTCCAAAGAAGGACTGTTTGAATCAAAGGAATTTGAAAGAAGAGAAAGGTAGAAAGTGATATCCCAGTACATGAAAGTCAAAAGGTTCCCACCAGATTCCATCTAAATAGGACCATCCCCAAACAAACAATAATAAAACTGTCAAAATTCAAATGAAGAGAGAATCCTGAAAGTAGTAAGAAAAAAGAAGCAAATGACGTATAAAGAATTACCTATACAGATAGCAGCAGACTTCTTGGCAGAAACCTTCATGTGGAGAAAGTGTGATATTTAAAATGCCAAGTGAAAATATAAAACAAAAACACAGCCAACCAAGAAAACTGTACCCAGCAAATCTGTCCTTCAGAAATTCAGGAATGAGGCAAAGACTTCTCCGAACAAAAGGTGAAGAACATCACCACCAAATATGCCTACAAGAAATACTAAAGGTAGTTCTTCAAGCTGAAAGAAAAGAATGCTAATGAGTAAGACAAACACATCTAAAAGTATAAAACTCACTAGTAAAAGTACATATAGAGTCTAATTTAGAATACCATTATGTGTGCAAATTACTTGTATTTTTAGTATGAATGTAAGAATAATTTGTTAAGGGATATGCAATATAAAATGATGTAAACTGTGACATCAAAAATTTGAAATGTGGGGTGGGATGAATTGGAATAAAAGTGTAGAGTTTTGTGTGTATGTATATGTATGTGGCTAAAGTTGTTACAATCAGCTTAAAATAACCTGTTATAGGCTGGGGGCTGTGGCTTACGCCTGTAATCCCAGCACTTTGGGAGGCCGGACTGGGCGAATCATGAGGTCAGGAGATCAAAACCATCCTGGCCAACATGGTGAAACCCAGTCTTCACTAAAAATACAAAAATTAGCCTGGCATGGCAGTGAGCACCTGTAGTCCCAGATACTTGGGAGGCTGAGGCAGGAGAATTGCTTGAACCTGGGAGGCAGAGGCTGCAGTGACCCGAGATCATGCCACTCCACTCCAGCCTGGGTGACAGAGAGAGACTCTGTCTTAAATAATAAATAAATACCTGTTGTAACTATAAGATATTTTGTAAGCTTCATGGCAACCACAAAGCAAAAACCTTTAGTAAATAGACACACACAAAAAAGAAAAGAAACAATAAAAACATATGACCAGTGATAATTAGCCAAAAAGGAAGACAGCAAGAAAGGAAGAGATAAGCAAAAGATCTGCAAAACAAGTAGAAAACAATCCACAAAATGGCAGTAATAAACCCTGGTCTATCAATAATTGCCTTGAATGTAAATGAACTAAATTCTCCAATAAAATAATATAGAATCCCTGAATGGAAACAAACAAAAAGCAAGACCCAACTATAAGCTGCTCCAAGAGACGCACTTCTCCTGAAAGAACTCACATACTGAAAGCAAAGGCATAAAAAAGATATTCCATGCAAATAGAAACCATAAGAGAGCAGGAGTGGCTATATTTAAATAGGATAAAATAGACTTTAAATCAAAGTTTGTAAAAGAAGACAAACAGATCATTATATAATAAGTACTCAATTCAGTAAGAGGGTATAACAATCATATATATGTGCCCAACACTGGAGTAGCTAGATATATAATGCAAATATTAATAGATCTAAAGTGAGACTACAATACAGTAACAATAAAAAAATTAACAACACATTTTCAGAAATAGACAAATCATCCAGACAGAAAATCAATAAGGAAACATCATACTTAAACTACACGCTCAATCAAATGGATTGTCAAATAAGACATACTTACAGAACAATCCATTCAACTGATTCAAATTACCCATTCTTCTCAATGGCAAATAAAATTTTCTCCAGTATAGAAAATACTTTAGGTTACAAAACAAGTCTTTAAAAATTTAAGAAAATTGAAATCATATTCAGTACCTTTTCTGATGATAATGGTGTAAAACTAATATCACTAACAGTAGGAACTTCAGAAAATTCATAAATACATGGAAATTAAGCAATGTGTTCTTGAATAACAAATGATTCAATGAAGAAACTAAATGGTAAATTTTGAAAGTTCTTGAGACAATTAAAAATGGAAACACAGCATACCAAAACCTATGGGATTCAGCAAAAGTGGATCTAAGAGGGAAATTTATAGCACTAATTAAAAGATAAGAGCTCAGTCAATGCATGAGATTTAATTTTGAACTTCTATATTTGAGGTTTTGAGTATTACAACATGGAGAAAAGATCTTAGAATGAGCTTCTAATTTTAATTGGATAAATATATATTATGCATAAGAATTAGATATAATTTAGGAAGGCCTGCAATGTTATAACATTTAAATTGAGTTATGGATTATAAATAGAATAATACACAAGTAAAGCATATTTGATAAGGGTTTTCTTGCAAAATGTCTTAGAATGAAAACAAATACTTTATAAAACTATTATTAATAAAATGCCTATATGAATAAAAGTAGAAATGGAAGTACTCATCATTCATCAAAATTTGCCCTCATTTTTTCAGGTATCTCAGCAAGTGCAGAGATAAAATTATTTTTTTAATCGAGGTCTACATAAGGCAGTCAGTAGAAGATAGCACAAAATTCAGTAATCTGTCACCATAAATTAAACCTTGCTGAAGATTTCTGGTTTATTTTTAAAATCATTAAAATTAATAACATGATAAAACATGTTTTTCAGAAAATAGTGCAACAATGACTTGGTATTAGAAACAAATATAGATAAGAAATTGATTATAAGTATATGAATATATATTGCATTATTTTATTTTTTATTTTTTTGAGACAGAGTTTTGCTCTTGTCACCCAGGCTGGAGTGCTATGGCGAGATCTCGGCTCGCTGCAACCTTTGCCTCCCGGGTTCAAGTGATTCTCCTGCCTCAGCCTCCCAAGTATCTGGGATTACAGGCGCCCACCACCATGCCCAGCTAATTTTTGTATTTTTAGTATTGACAAGTTTTCACCATGTTGTCCAGGCTGGTCTCAAATTGCTGACCTCAGGTGATCCACCCACCTTGGCCTCCCAAAGTCCTGGGGATTATAGGCATGAACCACTGTGCCCAGCTCATTTTGATTTTTTTATGTTTACATATTCACTATGATATTTTAAACTTTTTCATTTAAGGTAATACTTGTTTCTATATCTTTATCTTTCTATATGATATTTTACTTCTTAGAGTGGCTTTTAAATGGAATTATTATGCAGATCCACTAGTATAATTAAATCAATAACACGTACAGTTTTAAAATATTTTTTGATTTCTCTACATTCTTAAATGTTTTCTAGTTTGCACAATAAATTGCGTATTACTTTTCTCCTTTGAGAAAACTTCTGTTGTCCAGCTCGACCTGGGTGAGCAAGTCATTTTAAGAATGAATTACTTGAAAAGCTTACTTTTCTATTATATCTAAAGTTATATTCCAATATGCTTGACTGCACTGTATGTCTTGCAAATAATTCTGAATTTAAGTAGAAACAAAAAGTACCATTTACTTGTTTCTTTAAATCCCCAAACAGATAATATTAGTATTAACTGAACAAATTAAAATTTAGAATGAAATTATGCTAACTTTTCGTTTGGATAGACTTATCTGCATTGGGTATCTAATGATGAGAATATTGCTTGAGGACAGAATGATGTCTGCAAGATGGTGGAATAAGAAGCTCCAGACATCATTTTTTACAGAGACACTGACCTAAAAATAATATACGATCCAAAAATCCTTTAATGAGAACTGCAAAAATTAGACAAGAATTCAAAGTATACCAGATGAGTACAAAGAAAATGGAATAGCTTAAAGAAAGGCGTTGCTTTTTACCTATGATAACCTTTCCCTAAAGCTGGCACAGCTCAGTGTAATTGGGAGAAAATGTTCAACTTGTGATTTCTTGTTTGAAAGGGAAAGAGAAAAGTGAAATGTACATCCAATATTCTCAATTTGTGAAGGGCTGCCAGAGAAATTGGTTTCTGTCTTATATGACTCAGAGTATTGATGGAGAATCAGCATACTTTGGGCTGCTTAGAACAAAGGGGAGCTTGGTAGTTTGTTTGTTACAACAACAGAGAACCTGCAATACCCCAGACAGGCACCATAGGGAGGAATCGATTATTAGCTTCTTAAAAACACAGTGGCAAATTTCTCTAACTGGGAAATTGCACATGTGAGCCCAGAGAAGATGCATACCCAGGAAAGGTTTGAGAAATCTTCACGGTCTCACATTGTTGTGCAGGCTGGTCTTGAACTCTTGGCCTAAAGTGATCCTTCCACCTTGGCCTCCAGAAGTGTTGGGATTACAGGTAGTAGCCACAATGCTTAGCCACAGCACATTTTTGAAAAAATATGGGTCAAACATAAAGTCATAATGAAAATTAGAAAATATTTTGAGACAAAGGGAAATACCAAAACATATGGGCTGCAGCAAAAACCATAGTGAGAGGAAAGTTTATAGCTGTAATGCTTACACTAAAAAAGCAGAAAGATTTCTAGTTCTAGATCCCTGAGGAATCGCCACACTGACTTCCACAATGGTTGAACTAGTTTACAGTCCCACCAACAGTGTAAAAGTGTTCCTATTTCTCCACATCCTCTCCAGCACCTGTTGTTTCCTGACTTTTTAATGATTGCCATTCTAACTGGTGTGAGATGATATCTCATAGTGGTTTTGACTTGCATTTCTCTGATGGCCAGTGATGATGAGCATTTTTTCATGTGTTTTTTGGCTGCATAAATGTCTTCTTTTGAGAAGTGTCTGTTCATGTCCTTCGCCCACTTTTTGATGGGGTTGTTTGTATTTTTCTTGTAAATTTGTTTGAGTTCATTGTAGATTCTGGATATTAGCCCTTTGTCAGATGATCTAGAACTAGAAATACCATTTGACCCAGCCATCCCATTACTGGGTATATACCCAAAGGACTAGAAATCATGCTGCTATAAAGACACATGCACACGTATGTTTATTGCGGCATTATTCACAATAGCAAAGACTTGGAACCAACCCAAATGTCCAACAATGATAGACTGGATTAAGAAAATGTGGCACATATACACCATGGAATACTATGCAGCCATAAAAAAGGATGAGTTCATGTCCTTTGTAGGGACATGGATGAAATTGGAAATCGTCATTCTCAGTAAACTATCGCAAGAACAAAAAACCAAACACCGCATATTCTCACTCATAGGTGGGAATTGAACAATGAGATCACATGGACACATGAAGGGGAATATCACACTCTGGGGACTGTGGTGGGGTGGGGGGAGCGGGGAGGGATAGCATTGGGAGATATACCTAAGGCTAGATGACGAGTTAGTGGGTGCAGCACACCAGCATGGCACATGTATACATATGTAACTAACCTGCACAATATGCACATGTACCCTAAAACTTAAAGTATAATAAAAAAAAAATTAGAACATAAAAAAAAAAAAGAAAGATTTCAAGTCAACTATCTATGCACATGAAGAAACCGGAAAAGTAAAACAAACTAAAACCAAAAATAGCAGATGAAAATAATTGTAAGGATTAAAACTAAAATGAAGTAAAATGAGGAATAGAAAATCAATGCAAAAAAACAACAAAATTAAGAGTTAAATTTTAAAGATCAACAAAATTGGTTAACCTTTAAAATCTACACTGAAAAAGGAAAAAGAACAGAGAAAAAAGAACAGAAACACAAAAGAAAGAGGAAATGTCACACCCGATGTCATATAAATGAAAAGCATTATAAGCAACTTCTATGAGCAATTATACATCAAGAAATTGGAGAACAAAAAGAAATAGATAAGTTCCTAGGAACATACAACATACTAAGACTGAATTTTTAAGAAATAAGAAAATATGAGTAGACCTATAACTAGTAAGCTTATTGAATCGCTAATCAAAAAATTACTAGCAAAGGAGAACCCAGTACCAGGTGGCTTTGCTGGAAAATTTTACCCGACTTTTAAAGAAGAATTAACATCTTAAATATATACACCTCACACCCATTAGGATGGCTACTATTAAAAATAATAATAATAACAAGTGTTGACAAGGATGTCAAGAAATTGAAGCCCTTGTTTACCATTGGTGTGCATGTAAAATGGTACACAGGTATGGAAAACATTATGGAGGTTCCTTAAAAAAGTAAAAATAGAATTACTATATGATAAAACAATCCCATTTCTGGGTATATATACAATAGAATTGAAAACAGTATCTTTAAGAAATGTTGGCGTACTAATGTTCGTTGTAGCATTATCCACAATAGCAAAGATGTGGAACCTGAATGTCTGTGACAGATGGGTAAAGAAATGTGGTGAACCCATACAGTGGAATATTATTCAGCCTTAAATAAAGAAAAAAATCCTGTTATAGACCACAATGTGAATGAACATTAAGGACATAATGTTAAGTAAAATAAAGCAGTCAGAAAAAATGTTAAGTAAAATAAGCCTGTCATCATACTGCATGATTCCAATTATATGAGGTATTTGAAGTAGTCAAACTCAGATTAGAATGGTGGTTGGCAGGGGATGGGGAAAATAGAGAGTTGCTTTTCAATGGGTATGGAATTTCAATTTTGCAAGATGAAAAAGTTCTAGAGATCTGTTGCACATCAAGGTGTATGTAACTTAACAGTACTGCATTGTATACTTACAAATATTTTAAATGACAAACTTAATGTATTTTTTTAAAATGAAAATAAAAATAGCACAGGTCGAGAAACATTATTGCTAGCTTGTTCCAAGAAATATTTGCTGAGCCCCCAAACACAAACTCGTAATGATTTGTAAGAGAAAGCTCCAGAAACTAACCCTAAGATCACACACCTGACCATAAGGCCAAGCAGCAGGCAGCATGCCAAAGAGCCATCTACAGAGCTTCTGCTGCACTTTGTTATCTTTTTAAGAAATGCCTGTTTTTTAAAAACACAATTTTACATGCTTTTAATTAGCCACATTACTTGTTTTTTCATTTCATAGAAATGAGAAACAGCTGAAAACATACTGATGCATGTTAATTATAACAATAAATATTAATAACTGAGAGCAGCTAAGTGCCATAGCACAAAACAGGAGAGAGGAAAAGAAGAAATGTAAAGAAGAGTATCTCTTAAGAAAAAAAAAAAATCTGTAAGGACCAATACTCCATCACATACCAACTGAATTTTTGTGCTACATAAAAATTTTTGTAAGCATGTAAAATGACTTTTTCAAATTATATTTTGCTGCCATTAAAACTTCTTAATCATATGTTAAAATTTTTTGGAGATTTCTAAAAAGTATTAACATAGAAAACATTATTTGGCAAGATGTAGTTATTTAAAAAATAGCTACAGTATATTAAAGCAGAAAAATGTCAAATGATGCAACTCTGTTGGAAAGGCATGAAGAACTCTCAGGTGAATTAGAAAAGTCCTCATATTATATAAGCAAGTACTAAGGATCAAAAGGATAACTACTTGCTATGAAGTGGGAAAAACTAGACTAAAAGCCAGTAATCTTAAAATACATCACTATGCAAAATATATTTTTAGGCACATTGAACTCTTCGGGGGCTTAATATAAACATTTGACTTAAAGTGTGTTTTTTTTCCTCATAGGATCCCTGAATCAAATATGTATTAAGCCCATCATAACAGAGCTATTTGAAACTTAGGCCTCCTGAAACTACAGAGGAGAGGGATCAATTTGCTGCAACATTTTTGTACAAATCATTGGACATTTTAAACACTGGAATTGCAATCCATTTTTACCATGATTATCTCCTTCAGAAAAGATTTTTCACCATTTGCTGCTGAGAAAAACGAAGGCCACAAAAAATGTCATAGTAGGTGATAATGTCTTTGATATCATTTTTTGGCCTCAAGGAAAGTCATTTCATCTTCCTAGCTATTGGGCAGGGAATCTATTCAGCCAAGTATATAAGCCACCTAGAAAGTGCAACTATTAACTATTGTCGAATCAGTAAAGATTCATTTGTCATCCCTGAGAAAGTTTTGCCTTTCTCAGGAAGAAGCAAAGAAACATTACTTAGGATGCTTTTGGCAGCAAATAAAAGAATTCAACACTCAACGGTCTGTAATTGAAATAATGACTTAATGTGTCTCATTTCAACAATTTCAGAGTTAGAACAGTGGCTCCTACATTCAAGTTCGAAATCAGTATAACTGATGAGTGCCTATTTATATGAGAAGTGTCAGGCTACAGACTTCCTGGAACTATACTGGAAGTCAGCTACTGTCTAAATTCAGCACACAGAACATTTCCCAAAAGTTATTGCATGGCATAGAATAGGTCCTTTCATGTGTGTATGTGTGTGTGTGTGTGTTTGTGGTAAGTTCATCAATAAATGGGCCATTGACATTGGGTTCAATCTAACTCTCCCACCTTTTATGTTATTATCTTGTTGAATTACTCAACTTGAATACTAAAAACAGGATTAATGATATCTATTCAGTGTTGCTTTTGGGACAATTGCCTTTGAGCTAAGTACTGTGTAGTCATGAGTTGACTTTTTCTTCTAACTCTCCAAAATCAGTAGTGATTGTTTATCACTGTCATATAGATGAGGAGACTAAACCTCAGAGAGATTAAGTCACTCATGCAAAATCACTGCTTTGATTTGAATCTTTGCTTAGTGAGAGGAAAAATGCTTTGTCTGTAGGCAAAGTTAAATATTGAAGATTATTTAGATACATACAGTTAGAGATTCATAGTTTTCAAAGCCAAAAATTGTTTTGATAATCTTAATTTCACTTGCTATTATCACACTTTAATCATCTTTAGATTAAGCTGAAACTGAATGTATAGATCAAATTAAAGGCAAGTGACATCTTTACAGAATTGAATCTTGCAATTTGTAATTTTCAAATGTGTTGTTTATTTTGTTAGAATTTCCCTAGATATATGATTTTTTAATAGTATTGTTAACATTGCACTTTTAAATGCATTTCTAATTGTTTAGGGGTGTGTGTGTGTGTGTGTGTGTGTGTGTGTGTGTATCACACAATATACACTTAGAATTATCCACATTTTAGCCCACAACTTCAACATAGAATTCCTTCAATTTTATCTACAGTTTTTCCAACCACAGTATTTATTTGAAGAAGTACCAACTTTTTTTCATTTAGGTAGAAATTAGGCCAAAATTCTTTGAAAATTCTGAACCCTTTTCTTTCTCTCATACCTCATATTTAATTCATCAACAAATTCTAGCAACTCTACATTCAAAGGGTATTCTGAGTGCAAATCTTTCTAGTTACCTTCTGTATACTCAATTTATTTAAGCCATCATCATTTCTCATCTGAATTATTACAATAAACTCCCACAAATCTCCCTGAATATACTCTTGTTTCCCCATATCCTGGTTTCCTCATTGCTGGAGAGCAACACATTTAAAACATTAACTTGGGCATAATATGCCTGCATCTCAAATATTCCTCTGATTTTCATCTTACTTGCAGGAATATATACAATGTTTACAACAGTTTACCTAACCTTAAAAGACCGGGCCGCCTGCTGCACTCTGACGTCCTCTTATGCACACACACATTCTAAGTACTGTTCTGTCTTTCTCTTCCTCTCTCTCTTTCTGAGTTGCTTTTCCTCCAGATTGACCTATATTTTGCCATTATTCTTTCAGATCTCTTCAAAAACATCGCCTTTTTAGAGAGGTATTGATCCTCGACTAGCCTTAGTGACTCAGTTGTAACTGGTAGAATGAAGTAAATGTTACCTGTGTAACTTGTGAGTACAGGTCAGATTAGACCATGTCATTTCTTCATGATTTCTTTGGTTACATGGGATGCTCTGAAGGAAGCTAGCTGCTATTTAAGAAGTGTGAGTAAGTCTGAGTACCTGAAATCACTGTCCTGGAGAGTCATGTGCAGGTCTCCGGCAGAGAACCACAGATGAGCTCTCAGCTGGTGATCAGCATCAACTGCTAGGTAGTGAGGGATGTTAAAGGCTCCAAAGTAAGAACTGCCCAGCCAAGCTCTTTGGAATTCCTGACCTGCCAAAACACAAGCAAATAAAATTATTGCTGTTTTAAGGCTTTGACATGTGACTATAAAGACCCTTTATATAACTTCGGAGTTTTAAGATGGTGACTCATGGGGCCCTTTCTTAGAGACAAAATGCTTTTCTAATGATCATGTGTATGTGGCTCCCAGACAATCCCTTTTAAACAATAGAGAGTCTAAGAATCTAAAGGGATCACAACAGAGAAAGGAATCTCTCAGAGATTTGTCACTGTGGCTTTATGTCTAAAAGGAGTAAATTTTAATAAAATTTATAAAAATTTTCACAAAGTTTGTAAGCAAATTGTACTAGTGAAAACCTCAACAGTATTAGTTGAAAGAAATAGAGACAATAAAGTGTACAAAGGGTCCTTAGACCTTAGTCTCTACACAGGAAGGTGTCCAGGAAGGCTATCCACTACCAACACATGTCCTATCTTATGGGAAAGGAAGGATGACCTAGAGAACAGAACCAAGGCTAAAGGGCATAACCAAGAACCATGGAGAACAACCCCAGGGGGAATATATTATTGCATTAAAAGAAATTTGCCAAAAGGCAAAGTGAGATCCCCATCAGTATGCTGCAGACTTCCTGCTTACAGCAAAATGCTGTATTTGGTACATGTATTTGCTAAGGACAAATGTGAGACGCCTGTGTTGGCACAGACATGCATGTTAGATGCATGTGTGTGTTAGTCTTTTACCATTCTGTTTTCTAGGAGTTGATCGCTATTTATCACACTGTCAGAATTGTGTTATAATCAAACCTTCTCAGGATGGTTTCCTAGAATTTTATTTGATCCTTCCTTTTTATTGAAATGCAAGACATTTGATTTTTATCCTCATTCAGAGAGTACAGAAATAGTCTCATGCCAAAATATTTCCCAAATATATATTTAATCAATCTTTTAGTGGCTCCTATGTTCAAGTTTGAAATCGGTATAACTGATGAGTGCCTATTTATATGAGAAGTGTCAGGCTACAGACTTCCTGGAACGATACTGGAAGTCAGCTACTGTCTAAATTCAGCACACAGAACATTTCCCAAAAGTTATTGCATGGCATAGAATAGGTCCTTTCATGTGTGAGTGTGTGGTAAGTTCATCAATAAATGGGCCATTGACATTGGGTTCAATCTAACTCTCCCACCTCTTATGTTATTATCTTGTGGAATTACTCAACTTGAATACTAAAAACAGGATTAATGATATCTATTCAGTGTTGCTTTTGGGACAATTGCCTTTGAGCTAAGTACTGTGTAGTCATGAGCTGACTTTTTCTTCTAACTCTCCAAAATCAGTAGTGATTATTTATCACTGTCATATAGATGAGGAGACTAAACCTCAGAGAGATTGTCACTCATGCAAAAATCACTGCTATGATTTGAATCTTTGCTTAGTGAGAGGAAAAATGCTTTGTCTGTAGGCAAAGTTAAATATTGAAGATTATTTAGATACATACAGTTAGAGATTCATAGTTTTCAAAGCCAAAAATTGTTTTGGAGTATCTTCTAAATTTTACATTTCTACAATACAGCATGTTGAATTGGGAAATAAATTCATAGCTTCCAGGTACCCTGTATTCTCTGGATTTTCTCCTGTCTCATTGTCACTCCTTTTAATTTCCTTTGCTAGTTCTTTTTGAATAATAAATTTTTGGAGTGCTCTAGTACATAGTTTTGGGAACTCATATCTCTTTTTATTCCACACTCAATAAGTCAAATTCGTGGTGATCTCATCCAGCATCATGTCATTAAATACCACCTCTACATGATAAATCCTCTATTTATGTCTCCAACCTGGATTCCTTCCTGAAACTCCAGACTTTATTTTCAACTGCCCAATGAACATGAGTGTAAGTAACTTTGACTGCAGAGCAAGGCTAAGATTTGTTTGGCAAGGTCATTGGAGAGTCCTCAAGTCAAAGTCCAGTCACTCATCAGAAAATTGCTTCAACTTCCAGAAATGAGCCTGCCTTTGTATCCCTACCATGTTCAGTCATGGGCTAGGCAGTTTTTGGGACACATGACCTCAGCTGAGACTCACTGATGGATTTGAGAATACTCCTGGCTGTCAAGAGATCTCAGAGGTACACTCTTATGGTGGACACACACTGTGATCTATCACTTCGGTCCAGGTCACTGTCCTTTCTCAATAGGATTTCTGGAATAAAACGTACTGTTCTTATCTATCTGCTTTTTCTTCACTTTAGCCTTTTCTCAACACAACTTCCACTGTATTCCTTTCAAGATATAAGTCATATCTTGTCACTGTCAACTCAAACCTTCTAATGGTCTCCCATTTTTGACCAGACCACAAAGCCATCATAACGGACTGCGGGTCTCTACATGAATTGGCAGGTGCTTCCTCTCTGACCTCTCACTCACTACAGCCCTAGCCTCCCTGCTATTTTTCAAACATGTCAGGTATGCTCTAGTCTTCAAGCCTCTGCACTCACTGCAGTCTCTGCTCAGAGTTTGTCCCCACCCCTGCTCTTAAATTTACAATCTCCTGCCAATTGTATTTATTTATTTATATTTCAAATTTTGCCTAAAGGAATGGAGCCATATTGGGCCAGGGTTCTTATCCATTAATTGCTGCATTTTTAGAGCAAGATACAGAATAAGTGCTCAGAATATATTTTTTGCATTTATAAACAGTGACAAATCCAAGGACTTCTGTGGCAGTCAGATGGGGATTGAAATTTCAGTTTACACAACAACTAACATTTTCCTCTGAAGAAATGAATTACCACTGTACCTCAGCTTCCTCAGCCGTAAAATAATAGATCAATTCAGTACAGAAATCACCACATATATGTTGCAGGTATCAAATAATTACACTTTTTTTATAATCTTTTAGTAGTTCCAAAAATCCCACTTGTTACAGTTCTCATCCAACTAGATTGGAAACTATCATTCTTCTACTCCAGACTCAATCCTTGCAGGTGATGACTAGATTGCAACACAGATCTGAACATTCACACTCAGAGGTACTTTGTTTATAGCTTTCTTGAGGGATTACAAATCACTTTTCCTCATTGCCCAAAAATATTCAAAAGGGTATAAATTAATGAATAAAGGATTTTTATTAATATGGGTTTGAAAACTGGCTTTGCCTCAGTGGGTATATAAACAGAAAAAGTATTTTGCACCTCTCAGGTTCCCTTCCCTCCCTCCCTCCCTCCCTTCCTTCCTCCCTCCCTTCCTTCCCTCCTTCCTTTCCTTCTTTCCTTCTTTCTCTTTCTTTCCTTTCTTTCCTTATTTATTTTTCTTCATTATTTTATTTTATTTTTAGATGGAGTCTCACTCTGTTGCCCAGGCTGGAGTGCAGTGGCATGATTGTGGCTCACTGCAGCCTCCACCTCCTGTGCTCCCAGCTCAGCCTCCTGAGTAGCTGGGACTACAGGCACACATGGCTAATTTTTGTATTTTCTTTTTTTCTTTTTTTTTTTCTTTTTTTTTTTTTTTTTTGCAGAGACAGAATTTCATTATGTTGCCCAGGCTGGTCTCAAACTCCTTGGCTGAAACTATCTGCCCACTTTGGCCTCCTAAAATGCTGGGATTACATGTGTGAGCCACCACCCCTGTCCTCAGGCTAAATTCATTCATTCATAAAATAATGATAATGATACTTCTATCTCTAAGGGGTTCTGGTATAAGATTCATAAGAAGTCTAAGTTAGGTTTATATCAAGTAGCCAGTACCCCTAAAGATGTCACTTTACCTGAAGGTGGCAGAAAGTCAGTGATTCTTGATAAAGGAATGAAGGTATGAGATCATTTCCATATACTTGAAGGATGCAGGTTCTTATTCAGCACAGTATTGGTCTCCAGCATATCATTGCTCTTAAAATTGCTAATGAAATGAAATGTTTGTATTCCAAAGTCAGTGTATCATAATACTGTGCTGACTGAAGAATAAGATAAAGTCATCAACAAATAAGGTCATCTGAGCATAGAACACATTTATTCCCCAATTTCCCTCCATGAGACACACTTCTCCTGACCTGTGATGTCCTATGTCAATATGATGTATTGGATGAATTATTTTCTATGTAATGCTAGGGAAAAAACATGTCTTTTCTTTATTGACCTTGATATATCTCATTTCTAGAATGATGAGCGCCAGAGTTGCAAAAGATCTGATCATGACCTAGCTCTGTCTTACTACAGGGGATTTTTTTTAGTTGCATCATCTCATAATTTGCCCCCTAGAGTCTACTCTAGCTGAGCTTTGAGTTCTGTGCTGAGCTTTGACTTCTGCAGAGTGCAGACTTATCTCTGCTCCTTATAGTAATTTGCAGCCAAGGACAGAGATCTGTAAATAATCCGTTTATGAAAACAGACCAATGTGTAATTTGGTTGAAAATGTGCCCAAGTGTATTTTTAAAAATATGCTGCTTTATAACAAAGTATAAAGTATAATTGGTTATATTTTGCCATAATAATTTCTTGCATAATTATCAATTACATTATTCACACACTGAATTGTCAGTCTTTCATTCTAGTGAAATAAGCATTGCATAAGCAAACGCTGAGATTATAGAATAGCTATTTATTTAGAGAAGTGAAAACATCAAGCTCCTTATAAATATTTTTTCCATAAAGTATGTTAGTGAATTCAACAAAAGCAATTATAATAAAAAATGCCCTCTTTTGGTAGGATGGTTGTAGAATTTATCACCCAAACTTAAATATATTTGAAAATTAAAAGGTGATATAGTTAACAACTACCCCAAGACATCAGCAAAAACCGAATTAGAGAAGATCAGCTTGTTTATCATTCAGTTTAAACTCTTTCATTGTGATACATTGTTTCTATGCAAACAGGTTTTAGACCCATCCTTTCTGAAACATCATACAAAGTATGGGATTAAATGAGTGTCTATGGAGTAGACACTGCTTGGCTGGACATTACAGTCCTTTGGGGAACACGGAGTGTAGCCCTGAGAGGAAGTACACAGGTATAGAAAAGATTACTTTTGAGAGGGGTACTTAATTTTAACATGGAGACAGACTAGATCATCTGTAGGCACTTCCAGAGCAATACATTTGAAAAGATGAATAAACAACAAAACATTCTCTTCACTGCATGACTAAGTTTTCAAGAAAGGAAAATAAATCCCCCGGCCTAAAAATATTAACTGAATGCAAGGAGGTGAGTGGATGCTAGCTTGGCTGCCCTGAGGATGAATTTTCATCTTTGGACCTAAAATACTTGCATTTTCAAAGGTATGAGGAATGAGGATATAAGAATGACCGCAGGTTCCCTTGAAGTAGGAGTGTAACTGACCCCCTTACCAGTTCACCTCTAAGGTGATTGTCCTCCACTGGGTGTAGTAATGGCACACTAGTAGGTGTTTGTACTTTAATGTGGATGTTTTCTGGTTGTGACAAGGAATGGGGGGACACCATAGTAATTTAGAAAATTGATTATTTTTTAAAATGTAAAAATAATAGATTATGGTACAATATAAAAAATATTTGTTTAAAGAAACTAAATATTTCTTAAATTCTACTTGAAAATTCAATTGCATATCAATGATGGGGAACAATTAGAAAAGAAATCTCCCCATATTTCATATAAACATTTTTCACAATACTAGTATTATCATCTTTAACGAAAAAATAAAAGTATGAAGTATTGAGTCATGAAAAATTATTAAACTTTGGCAGAAGCAAACAATTTTGAAAACATATGATAAGGTATGACTTTCTTTTTACAACATCAAGATCTTATTATGAATACAATTTCTTAAATCATATAGTAAAAAATAAAAATATTCTGAATTCTGCTAACCCTCAGAAATTGTGAGTCAAAGGACTATAGAAATTAGCATATATTATCTTCAGCCTCTTTGATATAATTTGTAAAGATGAAACATCTGTGGGAATAAATAGCTCATCTGAAAGCACAGAATGAGATCTTTAATAATATTCTGTACTCACTGAAGTGCATTGTTTTCTGCTTCTCCTTTTGGTTAACTTCATAATCCTCTCTGTGAATTATGTGGTAAATTTAATCACTAGAGAAGGATAGGTGGAATTAAAATTGGCATAGCGTTTGTGGTTACACAGACCTTGAATGAAACTTCAGCTTCTCAATATCTGTCTGACTGAGGGCAAGTACTTAACCTGTCAGAGACCACATATCTATTACTCATGTTTTAAAGAAAGATAAGGGTTCCTATCTTACAGGATGGATGTAAGAATTAATAATAAATGCAAAGCCTCTAGGATAAAATAAGTTTTCAAAAAGGGTAGCTCTTATTACAACTGTACATCAGAATCACCTGTGGTATATTTTACGATTCAAACATACAATGTCTAAGGATGTGGCACATGACCAAAACTATAGGTATTTACAGATAGCAACAGAGATATTCCCATTTGTACTACATTAGGAAGAGCTGTGCGATGCTTTTGGCTTTTCCCATATCCTTCCCAAGCCTCACACTTTGTAAAAGCTTCTTCATGTTGTTTTCAAAAGTACCTCAGATTAAGATATGGTTTATTTCATGACTACATTGTTGAGAACTTTCATATGCTAGATTTCAGAAAATATTCAAAATAATTCTAATAGATTTTCAACCTTGTGTTACAGGTGATTAGATTAGCTTTAGTGAGATAAAATGATGACTTTTCTAAGGTGACAAGTAGTAAGTGCAGTGGCAAAATTTAAAGCCAGGGCTCTATGATTCACAGTCTAACTTTCTTTCAATACCCAGTTCAAATGTCTCCAGCTTTTACATTCTTTGAAAAGGCAGACTTTTTGTTCCTACTTTCAGCTGTCCTGGCATATTTTACATATCTTCATTATCACACTTTTCATTTTAATCTGTACTTTCCTATTGGCATGTTTCTCTAATTTACCAAATGTTGAGTGCCACAGGGAAGGAACTGTGTTATTTATTGATCTGTAACCACATACTGTATATGCTCACTTCCAACTTCCAACTATATATTCATTTTATTAGGTTGGTGCAAAAGTAATTGTGGTTTTGCCATTGAGAGTAATGGCATTACTTTCAATGTTTAGCAATGTTTCTGTTGCTATCTGTAAATGCCATTACTTCCAATGGCAAAAACTGCAATTACTTTGGTACCAACCTAATATTTATTTTTGTTATGTTTCTTTGGGCACTTTTTTCCAGTTTGTTCTTGCTTTTCTGGAACTTGATTACTTTAAAGAATATACACCAATTGTTTTATGGACTGTCCCTTGGGTGGATTTGATGTTTTCATATGGTTAGATTCAGATTAGGCAAGCTCTTCAGTGTCTAGACTTGGTCAGAGTTAGGAGTGATTAAGGTATGGCTGGATCTGTAGGCAAAGGACCCAGCACTTGAGTGGGGCAAACTTAGCCAAAGACTCATGTCCTTATTGACATTTGGCCTCACTAGACGTGGGGCATCAGCATTTCTTCCAAGTCACCTCATGTTTCCACATGACACTATTATCTTTTATGTAGCCCAGCCTAGTGAACAGCTTTCACATGGTCTCAACTTTGACTAAATTTTGAGACTGTATTATTGTATTAGTCAAGGTTCTCTAGAGAAGCAAAACCAATAAGATGTGTCTTATATACATATATCTATGTAATATAAAAATCATATACGTACATATATATTTTTATTATATATATGTATATATTTTTGGACTTATGCCAAAAAAGTGTATGTGTGTATATATATATTTTATAAAATATAAACCTTTCACATATTTCATATATATATATTTTATGAACTATATGTATATAGTTCATATATATATTTGTATAATTTTTGGACTTAGCAAGCCTCCACAATGTCATAAACAAATGTCTTTTTTTATTTTATTATTATTATACTTTAAGTTTTAGGGTACATGTGCACGACGTGCAGGTTTGTTACATATGTATACATGTGTCATGTTGGTGTGCTGCACCCATTAACTCGTCATTTAGCATTAGGTATATCTCCTAATGCTATCCGTCCCCCGTCCCTCCACCCCACAACAGTCCCTGGAGTGTGATGTTCCCCTTCCTGTGTCCATGTGTTCTCATTGTTCAATTCCCACCTATGGGTGAGAACATGCGGTGTTTGGTTTTTTTTCCTTGTGATAGTTTGCTGAGAATGACGGTTTCCAGTTTCATCCATGTCCCTACAAAGGATATGAACTCTTCATTTTTTATGGCTGCATAGTATTCCATGGTGTATATGTGCCACATTTTCTTTATCCAGTCTATCGTTGTTGGACATTTGGGTTGGTTCCAAGTCTTTGCTATTGTGAATAGTGCCGCAATAAACATACGTGTGCATGTGTCTTTATAGCAGCATGATTTATAATCCTTTGGGTATATACCCAATAATGGGATGGCTGGGTCAAATGGTATTTCTAGTTCTAGATCCCTGAGGAATCACCACACTGACTTCCACAATGGTTGAACTAGTTTACAGTCCCACCAACAGTGTAAAAGTGTTCCTGTTTCTCCACATCCTTTCCAGCACCTGTTGTTTCCTGACTTTTTAATGATTGCCATTCTAACTGGTGTGAGATGGTATCTCATTGTGGTTTTGATTTGCATTTCTCTGATGGCCAGTGATGATGAGCATTTTTTCATGTGTCTTTTGGCTGCATAAATGTCTTCTTTTGAGAAGTGTCTGCTCATATCCTTCGCCCACTTTTTGATGGGGTTGTTTTTTTCTTGTAAATCTGTCTGAGTTCATTATAGATTCTGGATATTAGCCCTTTCTCAGTTGAGTAGGTTGCGAAAATTTTCTCCCATTTTGTAGGTTGCCTGTTCACTCTGATGGTAGTTTCTTTTGCTGTGCAGAAGCTCTTTAAACCTTTCGGCTGGCATGGTGGCTCATGCCTGTAATCCCTGCACTTGGGGAGGCTGAGGCAGGTGGATCACCTGAGGTCAGGAGTTGGAGACCACCCTTGCCAACATGGAGAAATCCCGTCTCTACTACAGATAGAAAAATTAGCCGAGCGTGGTGGCGGGAGTCTGTAATCCTAGCTACGTGGGAGGCTAAGGCAGGAGAACTGCTTGCATGCGGAGTTTGCAGTGAGCCTAGATGGCGCCATTGCACTCCAGTCTTAGCGACAGAGAGCAAGACTCCGTCTCAAAAAAAAAAAAACCAAACCTTTCATATAGATATAGATATATTTCATGAAATATAAACCTTTCATATATATTTTTCATATATATTTTATGAACTATATCTATATGAAAGGTTTATTTTCATATGTAAGCCTTTGGGAGAGGCCGGCGTGCTGGAGATTCAGTCAGCTCCAATGTTATCCATGAAGTCAGAGAGCTAGCTGAATTATTTCTTGCTGGGGGAGGTCAGTCGTTTGTTCCATTCAGACCTTCACCTGATTGGATAAGGCCAATCTATACCATGGAAGGTAATCTGCTTTACTCAAAGTCCACCAATTGAAATATGAATCTCATTCAAAAGCACCCTTACAAAAACATTAACAATAGTGTTTGAACAACTATATGAGTATTTTGGCCCAGTCAATTTAACACAGAAAGTTAAACATCACAGTTATCTAGTCATGAAATTGTCTGTAGCCTTGCAGGTGTCACAAGGCTGATTCTTTTTTTCTGGTGAGCCTGTCTGTTTCTTGTTGCCACTGTAAAATAAGTACAGTCGGAGGCTGTTAGAGCTGGAAATGTGTTGAGAAATTATGCTATGCTACATTTTACAGGTAATATTAAATATTTTACATGTAATATTTCACGGCTATGCTATATTAATATATATGTAATATTTATGTACATATATGTAACAATATATGGAATATTTTGCAACTATGCTATATTTTACAGGTGAAGGACATGAGGATCAGATAGGAGTATGGCATTCTCAATGTAAACACTGCATGTTGTTGTGGGGTGGGGGAAGGGGGGAGGGATAGCATTTGGAGATATACCTAATGTTAAATGACGAGTTACTGGGTGCAGCACCACACCAACATGGCACATGTATACATATGTAACTAACCTGCACGTTGTGCACATGTACCCTAAAACTTAAAGTATAAAAAAAAAAGATACAGCGAAGTATCCTGACACTTAGGGTATTCTTGTTATCTCTGTCATTTTCCAAATCTTCCATTTATATACTGAAAAAAATAAATGCTATTGCTAGGGGCCTAAAGACATAGATTATGGTGGTTTGCAACAAGGATAAAATTTATTTGAAAGTTTATGTTCCACATCAAAAATCAATACAAAATTTTAATCTCTACTACAATGTATGTGTATATTTGTTTAATTTAAATATCTGTGGTGATTAATTTTATGTGTCCATTTATGTGGGCCATGGTGCCCAGATATGTGGTCAAACATGAATCTGAATGTTTGAGGGTGTTTTGGGATGAGATTAACATTTCAATCAGGGGACTATGAGTAAAGCAGATTGCCCTCCATAATGTGCATTAATTCTGCAGCCAACAGCTCCTGGGCTAGAACTACAATATTGGCCCTCTCCTGCGTCTCCAGTCTGAGAGACTTTGGACTTGAACTATAACGTCGGCTCGTCTCTCAGTCTCCAGCCTGCTGGACCATTCTGCAGAACTTGCCAGCATCCATAATCAGAAAGGACAATTCCTTAACATTAATCAATATATTTCTCTCAGATACAGATAGATAGACTAGATAGATAAATGGTAGATAGATAGATAGATAGTAGATACATAGAAAGATAGATGGTAGATACATAGAAAGATAGATGACAGATAAATAGACCGATAGATGATAGATACATAAATAGATAGATGATAGATACATAGACAGGTAGATGATAGATACATAGAGGTAGATAGGGACACATATTGCGTACTAGTGTATTATTGGCTCTCTTTTCTCTGAAGAACCCTGACTGATATAAGGTCATAAAATAAAAATTTCTCCAAATCTCAGGAAAAAAAAATGTAATCTACTAAGAACTTGACTTGCTTCAAAGGCATGTTCTATGAAGAATAAACCTCTGCTTTCTGCCAACATATAGACTCTGCATTCTCCTTTTTATTGCAAGACATAGCCACAGAAGCCCTTTCTCTCACAGAAGAGGAATTTCCACAGCCCTCAATTAAGATAGGGTCTACAATATAATGTTTTAAAAATGCTATGCTTATCCTGGAAATAACAGAATTTAAAAGTGATGAGTCAGCACTGGAATTCTAGGAACAGGATGCACAGCTACCATAGATCCAACAGAGCTGGTGGCAGCAGCTGACTCAATGCAGACCCAGGAATATCCAGTAAAGCCAAACAGGGTGAAAAGAAAGCCTGAAAGGCTATACTCAAAATCAGCACAGTCATTCTCTGGAAATCTGATAAAATCCACTCTGTTTTCACAAAGCCGTATGTCTACAGGAGTCCAGCTTCAGATACCTGTATAGCTTTTGGAGAATCCAAAATCGACTAGCAGCTTCTGAGAAAAATCAAATATCAGAATTAGTTTGTCATAAGCGTTCAAGCAAAAACTTACACTCCAACTGCACAAGAGCAGAGAGAAGAGAAAGAGGTTAATTAGAAATGGAAGGAAATAAAACTGACCACAGCATACAAAAATGTGTACAGAGTGAAAGTGATCTGGGCTCTGGAGAACAACAGCAAAATAATTGTAAATGCTATTAGGCAATGAGCAATTGTATCATTTGAAGATCTGGACTCTTTGGAGTCTCCAGTGAGTAACTGTGGTCCCAAAAGAGTAAGTGATAGTGTTTCTAACAATTTATGAAGTTGTAGCTTTTTTTTTAAATTAAAAAACAGAAACCAACCAAAAAAAAAAAAACCCACAAAAATAAGTCACACTGGATTTCCTCATTAACCACATAGTTATATGCATAGGGATATCCAAATTATCTGGTCAACAGAAAGTTTGAGCAGAATGATTTCTTCAGTGTTTTTTGCTATGAATGTATTTTGGGTAAAAAGAATTAAGATGCCTGGAATCTGGCTGCTCAGGAAAGGTAAAAATGGTAGCATTTCTAATTGCATCTTAGTCATTTGATTATACATCAAACTTGATTGAGGCAATCAATTTCTAAAAAATCATGAAAATTAATTCAACTAATTGTTCTAGTAGAATTTAATACCAAATTGTAATTTTCAGCTTTAATCAAGCATCCTTGGGTTCCAGTGAAAATAGTTTATTGAATGATTCTTTTAAATGCAGTTCTATTTAGCTGTTTGAAGCCTATTCATTAAAACACAAAGTCTCTAATTATTGTGTTCTTAAAACCATATTCATACCATTTTATGATTTGATACAGCCTTTTTGCAAAGAGGCACACACAAGAAAATTATAATACAATGGATTAAGAAATTTCCCTGTTTTTCTATTTTACCAAGTGTGTTTCAAGGCATTAAAAGAACAATATTTAACAAATGACTCACAGAGACTCATATATGTGTTTCCTCAAATATATAATAAAAGGTGAAGGTTTAATATCATTTAATTCCCTAATAATGGATCAAATCCTCAGCATCACCAACATTGTATCGAATCTTTGTGCTTTGAATAAGATAGTGAAATAATGTCGTTATGGCAATTACAAATAAAGTGATTCATGTAATTATTCTGTAATAATATAATTGTTGCCATGTAGACTATTGACCATAAAAAACATTAAGTAATTGTAGGGTTATTTATGGCCTGAAAATTGTCTGACAATTATACTAGAAGTAATAGTAGCATGAAATTTATAGCTTGTTCCTTGATTTTTAAATGTAAAATGTATCTTTTTAATTATAGACCTAGGCACCTAACGTCTAGCCACATAATTATATCAGGTGCTTCACACAGAATGCAAAAATTGGGTACAATCCAGTGAAGAAATATATTCTTCTATTGAATTGTAAGTTCTTGAAAAATTAGTTATTTTTTTAAATTGGTTATGTCACTTCAATTCCACATTTTTAATATTAGAAAGTTTAGTTTAGATAATTATGTGATATTATTTTCTATGAGACTTTCAGTCACGTGTGTGTGCGCGTGCGCATGTGTTTCAATAGATAGCACTTCCTTTGTTCTTTAAAAACATTAACAAGGAAGCTGGCACCATGTTTGATAAAATTGTAAGAACTTGGCACACTTGATATACCTCATTCCTTGCACCAATATGAAAATTTACCTTCTGAGAATGAGAGATACTATTCTTGGAAGATTGGTTGAGAAGAGTAGTTAGCACTCATGGTTTATATTCATCAGAGATAAAGATTGAAACTGAGAAACCCACTGCTCCCTACCCCATCACTCTCAGCCTCACCACCACCATCATCCTTGAAGTCCACAGTTCCAATCTGACCTTGTTCAGTGAGCCACCAATGCAACATGCAGACACCCAGCTCACCTGAGACTTCCACATTCTAGTCCCTATAAAGTACTGTACATCTTTATTCCCTTCTCTTTTCTTACCTCTTCCAAGACACAAGACCTTTCCTCAAAATTCTTTTTACTTAATCATGAGAAAAAAAAGGCCTCTAACTTCAATCCATTTTAGGAATATTCTTTAGTTTTTGTTCTAAGGGAAAGATGGCTTTTCCCTGAGGACCATAATTGCCCTGCCAGTCTCTACAGTGGCAGCTGTTTTTAGTCTCTCTCATCCTGTCATCCCTATCATCTCTCTCCCTGAAAGTTGTCTTCTTATGCCAGCTGTTTATAAACCACTGCTTCTTTCCTTGCTCCCAGCCCCCACTCCCTTCACCTTCAATCTGATATTAGTTTCTTGTCCATTGCCTTGCATTGCTGCTGATTTGTACCAACTATTAGGACAGTTCTGTCTTCTGGATCACTGTCATTCTTAACAAAATGACCCATGTTTTGGTTATTGATCTCAACATATACATAAACAATTCTTCCAAAACTGCGGCTTCTCAGCTCCCAGAATCATTTTCTTCCAATATTTCTGTCTTCTACCTTACACAAGCCAATCATTTGCAGTATGATACTTTCATTTCTAAAGAAATATGTCTTTTTGTGATAACTCCCCTGAATAATAGTACCAAGTTTATTAATAACTTATTAAATATATTTCAGTGGCACATTCTTATATCTCATGCAATGAGTAATTAAACATCAGACCTTGTCATCTTCTTTAATTATTTAAAAGTCATGGCAGAATAAAGTAACATTGTATCTTTTTTAAGCTTCAACATTATGCCTGGTATAAAATATGTGTTAAAGTTCTATTTATCAGTTAAATAAATGAATTATTGATTAAATGAATGTAAATGAAAATAATAGTTCCCAGAAGAGAAAAATTACTTCTGATTCCATACATAGCTACACACACACACAAAAGTATGTGCATATATTCACATCTCTCAAAATAGATTCATAAATCAGTACATTGTTAACATTTGGTTTTGTTTATTACTGATTTAAAAATCTGTAGACACATTAGGAATAAAACTTTGAACACATGAAGTCATTTTATAATCCTGAAACTTTGACGATCATCAAAATCATTTTAGTGCATACCTTCCCAAAGCCTGGGTTTATATAATTACTTAATATAAAATTATGTTTATCTCTTATATAAGTTAAAGATACCATGGCACAGAATCTAGTCATTAAACATTCATCCCCTCCGTGTTGAACATGATCCAACTCTTTATGCCTGGCTGAGCAATGAGTTCAAGACTTATCTAGCCAGAATACCACTAATTCAAGAGGCAACACTAATTTTTTACAGCATGTATATTTGTGGCAAGTACTTAAGTAGTATTTGCATTTATTAATCCTTCCAGAATAAAAGCCTTCAATAATATAATATTATAATTATCTTTCCCCTTCTCCCATGTCTATGTCTAACTCATTTATTATAAAGAGTCCTCACTGACAAGAACAAATTACTATTTTAGGGAGAGAAACAATTTTGATATTTCATTTCTAAAAAGACCTTAACGATAATCTGTTAAGAGAAAACTGAAATAATGTTTTAAAATTATGCACAGAGGGCAGATCCAATTTACTTAGGAAAATATATTAAAATTATTAAGTTTTTTAATAAGCCTGCCAACACTTTGACAAAATTAGGATGATAAAAATGTTTTCACCTATTTTAGATATAGTTATTTTTAAGAGTTTGGCTTTTTGGCATTTAATGTAATCTCTCCACCTGCAAACTGTGAATAGCTTATGTTAAGGCAGTTGCAATTGTCTTGACAAAGTCTAAGTCCAAAATACATCTGTTGGAGCATAAAAACCTAAAGTGCCATGATTTTTTATTGGAACTGAAAAAAATTGCTTTCATGTAGGAGTGACATGACAGAACTTTTGACATCTAAGTTTAACCAGACTTTAGCTCTCATTCTCTCTTAAACAATCTACTGTGTTGAGTCATCTTTCTGAAACATCAATCTCATTATTAAAAAACTGTTTTAAACATGCCAAATTTTCCTGATGTTTCACATAATAAAATAAAATCCCATTCATATTGCATGCAAGTTACTTATGATATGGCCTCAGAGTTACCTTTTATGATCTACATGATCTAGCATCATGTTCCCTCCAAATATCCACCATTTATGCCACACAGTTATTTGCTGTTTACACAGTATAATGTGATCATTATCAGTTTCATGCTTGTTCCTTCACATATACTGCTCAACTTGCATGAAATACCCACCTTTATTTTCTTTATTTGGGGAACTCTTTCATCCTTAAATGCTCCTGTCATATGTCAGTCATTGTCCCTTTGAAACATTTCCTTATTTTCACGGTAGAAACCTACTGTTCTCATATTTGTGTAAGTTTTTTATATCCTTTATTTCATTGTATTTTGATTATTGTCTCCATTTTCCTCTACTATGAACTCCAAAAAAACCAATGTTCTTTCCTTATCCTTTCTCTCATTGAGCTGGCAATAAAGATTTTTTGAATAATGAACTAAAGAAATTTAGAAGAATGGGTAGTTTGGTGTTTATTTTTATATTTATGTAAAATTGATTAAAAAATTGATTAAAAAAGATAGTATAAATGGTCTCTACATCCATGTCCCTCACTCAGCTCCCTTTATTTTTAACATTTTACATTAGTATGTATGTTTATTACAATTAATGAGTCAATATAGATGCAATATTATCAACTAAAATCTGTCTATTTATTTAAAATTTCTCCTTTCCATACTGTGTTTCTTTGGAAGGAAGTCACCATGTGTAGCCTAGAACTGCAAACGGAAAAAAAATAAAACCTTCATTATAACTGAAGAATTCAACATCTCATTTTCAGCAATTAATAAACCTAACTTGCTGAAAATCAGTAATGATATAGTTGATCTGAACAATATTATCAGTCGACTTGATCATATGACATTTGTAGAATGCTTCATGTAGTAATAACCTAATACCATAACTTACTAATAACCTTCTGAGAGTGGTCCTTGGGACATTTTTGTAGAAAGGTTATTAGTAAGTTATTTTTTCATAAACAACAGGCCTAGTCAGATTAACTATTTTTCATGAGTTCGGGTATTATTTTATTTACAAATATGTTGTTTCATCTCCATATATATTAGAATGTTTTAAAGTCATCTTTCCATTATTGATTTCTAATTGTATTATATTGTGGTCTGAAAACATACTTTATATGATTTGTATCCTTTTTAATTTATTTTAAATATGTTTTATTTGTTTAAATGTGCTTTTGAATCCAGGCGATAGTTTACTTTTCTGAATGTTTCATGTGAGCTTGGAAAGAATGTGTATTATGTTATAAACATAAAGAATGTGTATGTTATGTTCTTCAGTTCTAATAAAGGTTATTTTCAGTTTGCAGTTCTATCAGATTTTGCCTCATGCACTTTGATGCCATGTTGTTAGGTACATACGTGTTAAGAACTGTGGTATCTTCATGGGGAATTGACTCCCTTATCATTATGTAATACCCGTTTCTTATTTCATATCTTTCTACCAGAGGCCCAGACAAAAGCACCAGCAGGGGATCCACCTTGCATGGGTACCTTTGGTGGTTCAATCTTGAGAGGTTTTATTTTTCCAAGAATTTATCCATTTCATCTAGGTTTTCTAGTTTGTGTGCGTAGAGGTGTTCATAATAGTCTGAAAGGTTTTTTTTTCTTCTTCTTTGTTTATTTTGTTTTATTTATTTATTTATTTTTTGAGACAGAGTCTTACTCTGTCACCCAGGCTGGAGTGAAATGGTGTGGTCTCCGCTCTCTGCAACCTCTGCCTCCCGGGTTCAAGTGATTCTCCCACCTCAGCCTCCCGAGTAGCTGGGGCTACAAGCGTGTGCCACAATACCTGGGTAATTTTGGCATTTTTAGTAGAGATGGGGTTTCACTATGTTGGCCACGCTGGTCTTGAACCCCTGACCTCGTGATCCACCTGCCACATCCTCCCAAAGTGCTCGGATTACAGGCACTAGCCACCGTGCCTGGCCTTTTTATTTTATTATTATTTCTGTGAGGTTGGTGATAATGTCCCTTTTGTCTTTCTAATTGTGTTTATTTGAATCTTCTCTCTTTTTTTTCTCTATTAGTCTAGCTAGTGGTCTATCAATCTTATTTATTCTTTCAGAGAACCAACTTTTGATTTTGTTGATCTTTTGAATTTTTTTTGTGTCTTAATTTTATTCAGTCCAGCTCTGATTTTGGCTATTTCTTTTCTTCTGCTAGCTTTAGGGTTGGTTTGTTCCTGTTTCTCTAGTTCCTGTAGGTGTGATGTTAGGTTCCAAATTTGAGATCTTTCTAACTTATTGATGTAGGTGTTTAGTGCAAAAGAAAACTCTCCTCTTAGCACTACCTTAGCTGAGTTCCAAAGATTCAGGTACATTGTGTCTCTGTTTTCATTACTTTAAAAGATTTTTCTAAAAATTTCTGCCTTAATTTCATTCTTTACCCAAAAGCCCTCCAGGAGCAGGTTGTTTAACTCTTATGTAATTTTACGATTTTGATAGATCTTGGTGTTGTTTCTACTTTTATTGCACTGTGCTTTGAGACTGTGGTTAGTATGATTTCATTTTTTTTTTTAATTTGTTAAGGTGTGCTTTATGGACGACTGTGTGTTCAGTCTTAGAGTATGTGTCATGTGTTGATGAGAAGTGTGTATATTCTGTTGTCGTTGGGTGGAGTTTTCCATAGATGTCTCTTACATCCAATTAGTCAAATGTCTAGTTTATGTCCATAATTTCTTTGTTAGTTTTCTGCCTCAATAATCTGTCTAATGCTGTCAGTGGGGTGTTGAAGTCTTGCAGTATTATTGTGCAGTTGTTTAAATCTCTCCGTAGATGTCTAATAATTTGTTTTATGAATCTAGATGCTTCGATGTTGCGTGTATATATTTAGGACAATTAAGTCTTGCTGGATTGAGCCCTTCATCATTATGTGATGCATTTATTTGTCCATTTTGATTATCATGAATTTAAAGACTGTTTTTATCTCATATAAGGATAGCTATCCCTGCTCTTCTTTGTTTTCCTTTGGCTTGATATATATTTATCCATCCCTTTAGTTTGAGCCTATGGGTATTCTTACATATGAGCATACAATTAATGGGTTTCTTACAGACAGGATACAGTTGGGTCTTGCATCTTTATCCAACTTGCTCATCTGTGCTTTTTAAGTGGACCATTTAGCCTGTTTACATTCAGGGTCAATACTGATATGTAAAGATTTGTTCCTGTCATCATGATGTTAGAGAGTTATGTATATTTGATTGTATAGTTGCTCTATAGTGTCAGTGAGGTATGTCTTAAGTGTGTTTTTGTGGTGACATGTACTGTCTTTCCATTTCCATGTTTTGCATTCCCTTTAGAAGCTCTCATAAGGTAGATCTAGTGGTAACAAATTCCCTTAGCTTTTTAATTGACCTGCCCCTTCTCTCTAGCTGCCTTTAATTTTTTTTCCCTCAGATTGACCTTGTTGAATATGATGACTCTGTGTCTTGCCGATGGTCATTGTGCACAGTATCTCACAAGGGTTCTCTAAATTTCTTGAATTTACATGTCAACCTCTGTAGTGAGATTGGATAATTTTTCATGAACTGTATCTTCAAATATATATTTTATGTTGCTTGGTCTCTCTCCTCTTTCTGAAATGCCAATGAGTGGTAGCTTTGGGCTCTTTATATAATTCTGTATTTCTCAGCAGTTTTGTTAATTTATTAAAATTATTTTTTCTTTATTTTTTTCTGCCTGTATTGCTTTCAAGGAGTGGTCTTCAGACTCTGAGGTTCTTTCCGCATCTCCGTCTATTCTGTTGTTATGCTTCAAATTTTACTTTGAAACTCCTGTAGTAAATGTATTTCCAAAGTTCAGCTTGGTTCTTTCTTAAAATGATTATGTCATTTTTCAACTCCTGGATCATTTTCATATTTTCCTTGTATTGGGTTTCAACCTTCTTTTGTATCTCAATGACCTTCCTTGCCATCCAGATTCTGAATTCTATGTCTGACGTTTCAGCCATTTCAATCTGGTTAGATTCCATTGCGGGGGCACTAATGTGATTGTTTGGAGGTAAGAAGACACTCTGGCTTTCAGTGTGGCCAGAGTTCTTGCACTGGGTCTTTCTCATCTTCAAGGGGTGATGATCCTTTATCTATTTGGAATTGCTATCTTTTAAATGGAGATTTTAGTTTGTATTGTCATTATTGCCCTTGAGGATTTGGCTGTGGCACAACATGGGTATAGCTGAAAGACTATATTTCTGGATGCTTTTACTGGGCAAGGTTCAGTTTCACACTCCTGGACTGTGTTCTCTAACCCTGGAGTACTGGTTCTGGGTCAGTGGTTTCATCCCCTTCTTCCTCGAGGTCAAGCCCCAGCTGGGCTAGAGAGTCCAAGGTTCTCAAAGACCACTGGCAATAGCACTGAATAGGAGACAGCAGGGTGCCACTGGCTGGAGAAGCTCTGGTGGGAACAATGGGGGAATCGGGCAGGAGGCACTCCAGCAGGGGGTGGGATGGTGCTGTGGGTGAGGGTGCTCTGGCATGAGGTGCCACAGGGGTATTAGGCCCTCTGGTGGGGGGGGGCACAGGCACAGTGAGCAGGAAGTGTTTCAGTGGGGGTGCCACGGGAGGAAAGCAATTTGGTGAGGGTGATACCGGCAGGAAGTGCTCCGAAAGGGCTGCTGCAGGGTCTCAAGCTAACATGTTCTGGTGGGAGGTTATTAGCAAAGGCACTCCATTGGCGGGGGGGGTGGGGGCTCACTATCTGCAGACATGGTCAGGCAGGGACTGAAGGAAAGACTGGAATCAGCAAAGCAGGCAGATCAGCCTTTCCCTTGTCCCAGGGGAAGGACAGTTCTGCTCTTTCCATTCTCTCCAGGGCCACAGCTTACACAGGGCAGAGACACTTTGTTTTAAGAGCCATTCAGGGCTTGGAAAGGGCATCAACACTGGGCCACCTCACGTGGGGTTCCCAGCTTTCTCTCCCTTCAGTCCCAGAATCTAGATCATCCCTTCAACTATTCTCAGAGCCTTCTCTCAGATGGTCTGTTTGGAGTACGCTGGTTTACTTGATGTTCTGGTCTGTCTCGGTCGGAGAAGTTCTTCCTGGCTGCATCTAGTTGGCAATCTTGGAATTTCTCTCAGCATTCTCATTTTTAATGTAGATCAGAATAGAGGACTATGTTGTTTGCCTTCTTCCTGAATAATTTATTTGAATACATTTTGTAGGAAATATCTGCTAGATATGAATTCTGTCAGCATTTTTTATTTGTTTCCTGAGAAAGCCTTAATTTTTCCTTCACTTTGTAAGAATATTTTTTCTGAATATAAAAACCTACGTTGGTGTTTTCTTTCTTTTATACTTTGGACATTTCACTCCATTGTCTGCTTCCTTGCATGGTTTCTAAGAAGATGTTTACTGTAATCTATTCTTTTCCTTCTATAGGAAAAAAAAAGTTTGTTTTGTTCTTTCCTACATCTTTTTTCAAGATTTTGTACTTTTCTTTGACTTTCTACAGTTTTAATATAATAAGTCTAATGGTAATTTTTGTTTCCAGGTTTTGTGGTCCATTGTCTGTCATTATATTCTTTTAACTTCATAGTCATTATTTCTTCAAATATTCCTTTCAAATCTCTTCTCTCATTTTTTTCTTTATGACACTTCAATTACATTCGTGTTGCACCTTTTGGAATTACCACACAGTTCTTGTAAATCCTGTCCTCTTTTCCATCTTTCTTCTCTCTTTTTGTATTTCATTTCAGGAAGTTTTTAATAACCTGTGTTTAAGGTTACTAATTCTCTTATATCTGTGTCCAACCAATTAATAGGCCTTTAAAAGCATTCATTTCTGTTACAGTATTTTTGATTTCTAACATTTTTAAGAGTTTCCATCTCCCTGCTTATATTACACACCTTTTCTTTCATGTTGTCTACTTTTTTCATTAAAGCACATAGTGTATTAATTATATTTATTTTAAATTCATTTTCTGATATTTCCAAAATCTATGCTATGTTTGAGTCTGGTTCTCATCCTTGCTTGTCTCTTCAGACTTTTCTTCCAACTTGGCTTTACTAATGCTTTGTAATTTTTGTTGAAAGCTGGGCATGATGTATCATGTAATAGGGTCAGAGATAAATAAAACTTTAGTCGGAGATTTTACGTTGATTTGCCTCTGAATTGGGCTATGTTTAATGTTCTTTGCAATAGTTGGTATCGGAGGCTTCAAATTTCTTTAGTGTATTTCCTTTACTATCCTCTTTTTTCTTTGTGTTTTCCTAAGAATTCCTTCTTAAAATTTAGTATGTTTCTTCCTACTATTTCAGCTGTAATCCCTGTTTGTATGGTAGTAAGAAGTGGGAGAGAGAAAACAGTAATCACATGATGAGATCTGTCTTTCGAAGGGACTGTATTCATGGGCTGTGACTTTCAAAGTGTTTACAGTCTTTTTTACTGTCCCTTTATTTAGACAACAGACATGCCAGAAGGAGCTACTTTTGATAATTTTCCTTAAGTCTGTGTCAGAGAGGCTTCTGGCAAAGACTTTTTTGCTACAAGCACAGGTCTTCATTAGGAGAACACACAGAGTATATTTCAGATGGTTACTCATTCACTCCCTATATAAGTCTGTTTTCATGCAACTGATAAAGACATATCTGAGACTGGGCAATTTACGAAACAAAGAGGTTTATTGGACTTACAGTTCTACATGGTTGGGGAGGCCTCACAACCATGGCAGAAGGCAAGGAGGAGCAAATCACATCTTATATGGATGGCAGCAGGCAAAGAGAAGGCTTGTGCAGAGAAACTCCCATTTTTAAAACCATCAGATCTTGTGAGACTTACTCACTATCACAAGAACAGCAAGGGAAAGACCCGCCCCCATGATTCAATTACCTCCCACTGGGTTCCTCCCATGAAATGTGGGAATTGTGGGAGTTACAATTCAAGATGAGATTTGGGTGGGCACACAGCAAAACCACATCATTCCCCCTGCCAAAGACATGGGTTGATTTTTCTTGCCCTTTACTTAAAAAACCTGATAAAGTCCTGGAATTAAAAACTATACAGTACAAGGATTTCCTAAGGTTGCAGGTCCCATGATTCGCACTCTCAAGTTAGCCCATAAATTGCCATTTAAATGCTCCTGTCAGTTTCTGGTTCCAGTGGTTTCTCTTCTGGTTAACCTGATCTTGGCTGGACTTTTCTGTATTTTCCTGTCTCTCCAGTTTTCAGAGTGGCAGTTTGCACTGTGACCTGAATTTTCTGTTGGATCCAGGAAAAGTCATTGATTTTGAGTTCATTCAGCTCTTCTCTGTATGAAAGGATGGAAATAATGACCTCTGAGCTCTTCACATGTCGAAGCTGGATTGTACAGTTTTTTACTTGTCATTAATAAAATTTTCCTAGTCTGTTCCAGCCATAATGATCATGAGGTAGTAGAAGTTATTTTATTTTATTTTTTAATATCAATTTACTCAATTCTTTAAGATTACTTCTGCTGAAACCCTAGGGGAATGCCTTGATTGGATGCATGTCATGGGAGATTTAAAACCAGGCTCAATATTATTCCCATTATGGTTAGCTTCAGGAGTTTCAGAAAAAAAATCATTAATAAGCAGGGAGAGAAACAGCATCAGTGTACTAATCAAGTGACACTATGAACGTATTATTTAGTCACAGTGAGTAGTGTCAAAGCCCTGATGTGTCCTTTCTGAAGCTGGTTATTTACACACACACACACACACACACACACACACACACACACACGACAGAGAGAGAGTTTTTTCTCTGGAATATAACTGTTAAAATAATGACACTTAAAATCTATCAAGAAAAATTGATCTGTGCAGACTATCATAAAACCACTACTATTTATCTTCTATCTGTTTTTATGCCTTGTCTACATATTTTAGTTAGATGGCTTGCCCATTAAGTAAAGCTATGAGTCATCTGTCACTTGGAGATATTTAATAATTGGGAACAAAACAAAACAAAAATATGCCTACAACTCAGTGAAATTGTAAGAAAAATTTCACATAGTATAGTCGCTTTTATCTAAAATATTTTATCTTCTTTATTTTTAAAGGTGTGTGTATATAGACATATATATGTGTGTGTGTGTGTGTGTGTGTGTGTGTGTGTCTAAATACATAGCCATTTAATAAGATTAATCAGGCAATCCTTTGTTGCCTTGGATTAAGTCAGTAATTCACAACCAGAGGTCGTTACCCTCCACTGAGAGGACATTTGATAATATCTAGGTACAATTTTGGTTGCCACAAGTGAAAGGTTGCTCCTGCAATTAGTGGATAGAGGTTGAGAATGCTGCAAATCTTCACACAACGCACAGTACAGCCAAATCGAACAAAGAATCCTCTGTGCTAATACGTCCATAGAACTTCACATTAGAATCTTTGACCTAAGTTATTATGTCTGCCAAAATGTTCTTTACTGCTTCTTTCTTTACTGCCTCCATTCTCCTTAATTAAATAACTTCCCATTGAGTCACTAAGTGCATATACACCTCAGTGTATATTAGTTTAGCACATAATCCTTTCTAAGATGATGTTCACTGCCAAACAGATCTTCAAAGGGAGAGATCCAAAAACATAAATCTGAGTAGAAGTCAGGCATCCTGAGCCTGGCTCATGGTAGAGGACATCTTCTTTGTCTACAAGTGGTGTTGCATGATTAGGAAAGAGATATTTGTGGTAGTTCATAAAATGTCTCAAATTACACTTTCCAGGCTTGCATTTTAGCTTATATGAACATAAATTCAGCCCTTTATGTTGAATTATGTAAACTCTCATAAAAAACATTCAGTCACTTGTGCACTAGTGAACATTGCAAATTCCAGTTTCCTCAAATCTCTATACTTTCACCACATATCGTCATGTACTGATGGGATTGATTTGTTTGAATGAGGATAAAAACATGGCTTCAGTACTTTCATTTATACATGCTATAGGTGTTTTTTGTTGTTGTTGTTGCATAGCATGTCAGTTTGAAGAAATACAAATTTTGTTTCTTAAATAAGTAAAGCCTGCTTATTGAGATTGATGAGAAATACATTATCTTTTGAGGATTTTTTTTTTTTACCAACAGTGAACTGTACAGATATAGAGTCATTTTGTGTAAATTGAAATAAAAACAAAACTGGATCTTTTAGTAAATAGACTATCATATATTATTTATTTCCAAAGTCTAACAAAATAGTTAAAATGCTCTGGGTAAACTATAAATATTTCGGGATGGGTGAATAAATAAATGCATGTGTTAGTCATGAAAAAACATGTAGAAATAGCATAGAAATATTTTCTTCTCTGCCAGCTCATTACTCTGACATTTTTCCAGTATTTCCTTGAGAATATGAATAATCTTTCTATTATATTTAAAGACTGTTCAAGAAGGGGCTTCAGAGAATACTACTTCCACAAGGAATAAGAAAAGCCGCAAATAATTTTGCTCTGTTGATAACAATGAGAATATTCTAAGTAATCTACAAAATTATACCTTTTTTGAGCCTATCAAAGAACTAATCGTTGCAAAATAACTTGATGAACTGAATTCAAAATGGTAACTAATTCCTCAGTGGGCCACATAAACTGTTTCACCTTTGGTAAAGTTTATGAAACAAGGTAACAACCAGAAAAGCAGAAAAGAAGAAAACAACTGAATTTTTTATGAGTTCTTAAGGATCCCATGTAGGGGAACGTGACAGTTTAGTCTACCCGAATGTCCCAGACACTCCTCTAAGGGCTTGATTGCAGAAGCTGTCTTTGGATGCTCAGGAGAAACATGGAGCAGGCCATAGATCTGAGGGGGTTCTGCGGTGACACAGGCAGGCATATCATGATAAGCTGTTCCTACAGAACAGGTACAAAACCCAAACTCGTGTCTCACATGAAAGAAAGCTGTCTGCTGCTAAGGACAAGCTAGAAATCTCCCACCACCAGGCCCAGAGAGTGGTTAGCCACTGTTAGTAAAGGCGAAGAAGCCAAACCATCTTTTTTAGAGAACTGTAAGAACACCGCCTCACCAAGTATCATGCACTGGAATAAAGCAGACAAAGTGCTGAAAAATCACTCTCCTCCCATTCCCCCTCAATGTTATGAGGTAGCGTTTGGCTGCTATAAGGTAGGTAAAGAAAAGGGGAAAAACACTATCTTGGAAACACGTATATACATGGGCTACCTAAAACTGAGACCGAAGAAGGAGAACCAAGGATGAATAGAGACAGTAAGTCACTTTGTGTCTCTGGTGTGCAAGGCCCCTTAAAAGCTGACAGCAGAGCAGTGATGTGGAGAAAAAACTCCAGTGCTACAGTCCATAAAATAAGCAAAAGGTAGGAGTCCACCATTGATGAAGAAATTTGAAGTCTGTGGTTCACTGAAGGGCAATTCAGCAACAATTAACGCTAAGCCATCAACTCATGATTAGAGTAATTCAACCCCCTACAATGACAGCCTGACAAAAGAGCTTTGATTACTTCTGAGACAAAGTGATCGGAAAGAGCTTTAAAGAGAAAAAGCAGTCAACAAAACCATACTCAGAAATGGCCTTGATACTGAAAATTTCGGGAAAGGAATTTTAAACTATGAATAATCAGTTAAAGAACATAGTGGAAAAGGTAACAACGTGCTTGAACAAATGGATAGCTACAAAGTGATAACCATAAAGTGTCCAGTGGAAATGGGAGAAATGCAAAACATGGTATCAGACATGTAGATGTCCTGTAACAGGCTGAATAAATCGACTGGGCACTGTAAAAGACATAATAAGTTAATTTGAAGACATTCTAATAAAAATTATCTAAAAGAAATATAAAGATATTTTTAATTTAGAATAGAGGTTCTAAGAGTTATTAAACTATTATCAGAATGTTTAACATAAATGTAATTGGTGTCCTAAAAGAAAAACAAATGGAAAAGAAAGGTTAGAAGAATAGTTGAAAAGAGAGTGGCAAGGATTACATTAAATTAATCAAAACCTATACCAGTAGAATCAAAAGACTGTACTGCTAACCATAGGCAGGATAAATACTAAGAAAATTTCCAAGGGCACATTATAGTTAAATTGTGAAATACAAAAAAAAAGAGTATATATTGAATGCAGCAGTGGGGGATAGGAAAGTAGAATATAGGAAAATATATGATAATAACAGCAGACTTTTTATCCAAAACTAGGCATTGATGGGAGGCAAACAAATGTTGGAGCATTTGTTGAAAGCAGACTTGCCTTACAGGTAATATTAAAGGTTTTTTTTTTTCAGGTAAAGTCTACATGACACCAAATAAAAATTTCAATGTACAAAAAAAATATAGAAATGGTGAAAATGATATTAAATACACAAAATATTTTCCTTATACTTAATATTGTACATGATAAAAGTGTACTGTGAGATTTATACCAAGTGGCAAAGGAAAAGATCAAATAATAAAGGATGAGAGTGAGCAAAATGGAAAATTATTATGCTAAGATTCTTATATGTTGCATGAGGTGGTATTATGCAAAAGCAACTTCCAATAAATTAATGTACATTTTATAATCTGAGAACAGCTATTAAGAAATAAAACATAGAAATATGCCTACAAAATTAATGGTGAGAATAAATTGAAATAAAATAATTTCAATTTTTCCAAATATAGCAGAAAGAGGAAAAGCAGAGTAAAATAGAAAAGAAATAGCTAGAGTATGTTTAAAAACTAAAAGTATCAATAATTACATTAAACATACATCTTCCGAATACTCTAGTTAAATGTAGATTAACTAGATTGGATAAAATAGCAAGATCCACGTATATGCTACATATAAGAAATCCACTCCAAATACCGGAAGAAAAGCTAGATTAATAATAAAATAATAAAATGTTACATCATGAAAACACAAATCGACAAATCCTGAGTGGCTACATGAATACAAGGCAAAGCGGACTTAAAAAATACTAGGGATGAAAAATAATTTGCATATGTTACAGAAGTCAATTCATCAATACATAACAATCTTTTTTTTTTTTTTTTTTGAGATGGAGTCTCTCTGTCCCCCAGGCTGGAGTGCAGTGGTGCCATGTCGGCTCAATGCAAGCTCCGCCTCCCGGGTTCATGCCATTCTCCTGCCTCAGCCTCCGGAGTAGCTGGGACTACAGGCGCCCGCCACCAAGCCCGGCTAATTTTTTTGTGTTTTTAGTAGAGACGGAGTTTCACCGTGTTAGCCAGGCTGGTCTCTATCTCCTGACCTCGTGATCCGCCCACCTCAGCCTCCCAAAGTGCTGGGATTACAGGCGTGAGCCACTGTGCCCGGCCTTAAATAAGTAAAAACACATTCAAAAAAGAGCTTCAAAGTATATACTGATATAACTGGAGATAAAATATTTATAATAGCATGAAAAACATGAAATACAGATAAATTTCACAAAACACATTAAGAACTACACAAAAATTCTTGAAAAAAATTGAAGGCCTAAATAAATATAGACATATATGATATCCATGAATCAGAACACTCAATGATAAGATTTCAATATTCCCCAAACATCATACACACGCACACAACACACACACATACACACACACACCCCTACACATACAGAGAAAAATATTCTACGCAGTAAAAATTCCAAAAAGGTTTTGCTATAAATGGTCACACTGATTATAAAAGTGTTATTGAATAATAAGATACTTAAAAAAATTAAAAAGTTAAAAAAAAAAAAGAGGGCTGATACCAGCTGGCTTCAAGGCTTATTATAAAGCTAAAATTATCAAGGCAGTGTGATATTGGCATAGAGACAGACATTTATTTCAAAGAAGTGTCAAGAAATTGATGCACTTTATGTAGCCATTTTATATTTTACAATGATGCTAGGATACAAATGTTATTTAATAGAGAAAAAATTGTATTTTCAACAAATGATACCAGAAATGTTGTAAATATACATGCATACATATGTGAACGTGAACCTTTCTTGTACCCTACACCAACATTTAGTGAAACTTTATTACAGGACTAAATACAAAAGTTAAAAGTATGAAATGCGTGATAGGAAACATCAAAGAAAATCTGTCTGACCTTCAATTATGCAAATGTTTTTGGTTGTTATAACTCAAAAAGGCAAATAATATAAAAGAATAAATGATAAATTTTACTTCTTTGAAGTGAAAAATGTTTTGCTTTTTCTAAAAGCTTTTAAGAAAATGAAAGGACAGGCTTCCAACTGGCAGAAAATATTTTATAAACATATATTCGGTAAAAGGACTTACATATTGAATGTATAATACTTTAATTCAATAATTAGGACAAAAATGATTCAACATGATAAAAGATTTGAGTATACACTTCACCAAAGAAGATGTTTGAGTGACAATAAGATAAGAAATGATGCTCAAATAGCTTACTTTTTCATATTTAAGGAAACATAATTAAAAATTCAATGAATACCTCTCCAAAGCAATTATGTTGGCAAAATATCAATGAATAAAAATAACAAGTGCTAGTGAGGCTAACTGAAACTGTTATACATTGCTAGTGTGAATACAGCATGTTATAGCCACTTTGGAAAGTGTTTGGCAGTTTGTCATAAATCTAAAAATACATGTGTCATACAACTCAGAAATTTCACTCCTATTGACTGACAATGAAAATATAAGTCCACACAAGGACTTTCAGGTGAATTCTCAGCGTATTTTTTTTAATCATTAGCACCCCAAACTGAAAACAACACTATTGTCTTTCAGATGGTAAATGGACAAATTGCGACACATTTGTTCAATGGCCTACTATACAATAAAAACAAATACTGATATATGCAACAACATGGATGAATACTAAAATTACTATGTGAAGTGTGAGAAATAGACATAAAAGCCTTTATATTATCTAATTCCATTTATAGGATACTGGAAATGCAAAACTATAGTGATAACTCTACACTTTTTGAACAGAGCAATAGTTTCTTCTGTGAAAAAGTTATATTTTGGTCAATATTAGCAAACACATCACAAAGAATATCTATTGTTAGAGATTTCTGACATGGTAAAAATTAAATGTAAGACTTCAACTGCATACTGTTTTTGATGGGGACCATTGATATCACTTTTGAGTCCAAGAAATCAAGTAGGTTATTTTTCCTCAAACCATTGCTTCATTAAATTTAAAATGTGTCCGTATTTGATTAACTTGTGAAATTCCTTTACTAATGGAGGCGCTCAATGAGATAAAACTAAAAAATTCTTGCAGCAAAATTTCAAAAGTGCATTATCATAGCATCATAAATATATGATTGATACATATATGATTGGTTGGATAATTGGATAATAGTACAATTTCTTATAATGTTCAAAACTATACATTATTTTAAACTAGAAAAGGACATTCTGTAAGTATAACTTTTACTTGTAAAAGAAAAAGAAAAGCTGTGTTTTTTTCCATTTCAATTTAACTTAAAAGTTATATTGTGGGTCTATAAATAACTCTTACTGAGCCATTTTCAAAGCCTAACAGTAATTTTACTGGACGCACAGATCATTTATTTCAATTTTATGACAGATATTCAGGAATATTAATGCCAAAAATGCAAGACTAATTTAGAAATATATACATTTTTTATCTGGCATAATGTAAGATGCTAGCTGCTGCCCTTCTAAGTTCTAACATGAGTATGTTTATACCTCAATCACACTGTATTTCTGTTCTTTTATTTTATTAATTCATATATTTATTTACTATTTTAACATTCTCTCTATAAATATTATACAAATTTATTAAATAAAGTACAGAAAATATGTTGTATCTAGACTTCTTCAAACCTGAGACAAAACAGGTAAACATATTGAGGATTTATTTTCAGTTACCAATGAAAATGTAAAAATAATCCAGAAAAGTCTTAAACTATGAAGAGCTTTAATAAGTCATCATGGTGTGATTGGAGAAAAATAAGCACTTCCTGCTTTTGTAAAACGGGTAACTCAGTAGTTCTAATTTTCAATTTGTTTCTTTAAAATTTTAACAATTATGCTTACCTCACCACTTTGGTGCAAGATGAAATAAAATAAGTTATGAAAAATACCTATCAAAATGCCTAAAATCTCTTTTATTCAAAGTTGTAGGAACTGATTTATACCCCCATGAGAAATTGAGCAGAGTGGACTTGGATTTTCTTGTAGTATTGTAAATCAATTTGTATTATATAAGCCCTCCTGCCTCTGTGGTCTGTTTTCATGGTTCTATTAATTAGATCTGAAAAACAGAGCATCACACTGCTGAATTCCAGACCCCAACTTTTCTGACATAATTACATTCAGAAATATACTGTAGGTTAAAAATAACCTACACTATAAAGTCTAAAGTCTAAAAACTTTGTAAAAACTATAAAACGTATTAGGAAAATTATCTCACAAACCTAGTTTTTGCTCAGCTGCAGATATTAACATCTTGACATACATTACATGGAGCACTAATGCTGTCCTCCAGATCCTTACCATGTGGACTGTGGAGTCTGTTCTATCTCTGCTCTTTTCATTATTGACTTCATTTCTGTGTTGGTGTAATTATTCTCATTTATTTGTTTCCTTAGTCCCAACAGCCTATTTTTCATTTCTACCTATTTCTTCATCATCTCTTTTGAACTCTTGCATGCCAGATTAAAGCTCTTGTATGAAAACGGTAATGATTTCCTCATTTAAAAATATTTGGTGATGTGTTTTGCTGTTATTTTCTTGTTTCATGACAATATATCTCTAGTGATTTGCATTATTTCATTGGTTTTACATTACTGTTTCCTTCTCCAGTATGTTACATTGAATCACACTCTTGATTTTGTGACTCCTAGGCTGGGTCCTATCAGTCCACAGAATATAACAGAAATCATGGAATGCAAATATTTTCTATATCATAACCCAGGTCACCTTTGCAAGGACTCTTCGTAGAGTCCAAAAGTGAGTAATCAAATTCGCTTTCTAGTATTAGCCAAGTACAAGTACTGGTTCTAAAAGGATGGCCTGGGTCTTAATCGGGTGCTAATCCCAAACGTAGTTTGAAAATGAAGTTCAGGGAGAGTTCCAAGTTGCCAGAGGGGGCCCTCCAACAACCTTGGGATATGATTCTAACCCTTACTGTCCTGCCCGGCAGCAACGTCCCAAGGTGCTGCTCCTTACTTAGCAGAAACAGTCTTCAGTATCTGCAGCTGAGTATGTCAGCCCTGAGATGAGTACACAAGCCAAGTAATTGGGCAGTAGGCCTGGACTGCTCTCTACTTCTCATTAGGCAATGCCCCTTGTTGATTGAGATGGCCTTAGGGCTAGGCAAGCATAACTCAGTCTGGCTCTGTTGAGGCTCTGTCCACTCTAGCCCTCCCTCACTGGGGCATATATGTGGCAGGACCTGAGTTGTAGGATATTGCATGTGCTATGGTAGTAATCCTGTATGAGACTGCAATCAGGCAGTTTGTCAAATCCAGATGCTGGTTATGGAGTATCCTGAGCTACGGCAACATGCGTACTGAGTGCTGGACATCCAAGCTTCTTATTGTCTTCCTTCCAAAGCGGTGATAGGGTATACAGTCTAGCTTGTATGTCCTACTGCCAGGCCTTGTAGGAGAGCTAAAGCCTTTCCAGAGCTAGTTAAAACAGCATGTGATAACAGAAGCTCTTGTCCTCTTTGGCTGTCATCACTTTGTAAGCCAGGATCTGTAAATTTTGTTATTGGGCTACTTGACATAAATGAGGTGTACTGTCTCAGTTTGGGTAGACAACATTAGAAAAATGAAATAACTATTAACTATGTGTGGAGTGTATTAGAAATATTTGCTACATAAGTTTGAATGAAACAGATATTTTAAAGCCTATATATTTGAAGCCTAAAGTAAATAATACTTAATAACATCTCTGAAAATCCAGATATGTACCCATATCAGGTTTTCTTTCCTTCTTTCTTCTCCCTTCCCTTCCCTTCCCTTCCCCTCCCTTCCCCCGTCCCTTCCCCTCGCTTCCCCTACCGTCCCCTCCCCTCCCTTTCTTCTTTTTTTTGACAGACTCTCACTCTGTTACCCAGGCTGGAGTGCAGTGCTGTGATCTCAGCTCACTGCAACCTCCGACTCCTAGGTTGAAGCGATTCTCCTGCCTCGGCCTTTCAAGAGCTGGGATTACAGATGTGCCCCACCACGCTTGGCTAATTTTTGTACTTTTAGTAGAAATGTAGAGACAGGGTTTCACCATGTTGGCCAGGCTGGTCTCAAACTCCTGACCTCAGGTGGTCCACCTGTCTTGGCCTCCCAAAGTGCTGGGAGTACAGGTGTGAGCTACTGCACCCCGCCAGGCTCTTTATTTTTATAAGGGAAGACTGATATCATCTATTCACCCTCTTGAAGAGTCCAGTGAGTTAAGCAATGATAAAAATAGCAAGCATAGCATTTAACAGATGGTGTTGTCTCCCTTGGGATAAACCCAGTATTAGGTTTAGAAACCTCAGCAGACATGACCGGAATCACATAGTTTTCTGTATATGCCTGTACATTTGCTAAGTAATTTTAAAACAATCATTGTCATATTTATTTTGGACAATTTTTTTCTTGGTGTTATAGGCAAGTTGATTACAGACTCATTTAATTTTTATGACTGAAATGAATGATGAAAATTACCAGGTCCAATTTCATGCTCAAGGCTGCAAAAGCTTATATTTTAATGAAAACACATAGATACCCTGCCCGTGTGGAAACTTTCCAGTGTCCACTTTTCATCTGCCCCCACACAGCAGTGTCCCTTCCATTTGGGGGCATTTCTAGTTAGTTAATAATTTTCCATTATCTCTCTAAAGTGCATTCATACAGACTTATATAGGAGAAAGAATTTCCTGATTAAAAAATTATCTGTCCCAGAAAATGTCCCAGAGGTTTATGTTAGCAATAGATCCACCTAACATTAATCGCTAAAGGCAAATTAGCATGTACTTTTTGAAAGAAATTGTAAGTTACTATTGAGTAAATTTGTAACAATTATGTGATATTTTGGTGATAAAAGGTGTTAAATGAAAGAAATTTGGGCACAGTTTTCCAGGGTTATTACAACTAAGAATAAGTTTCCATTTATTAGGAAAAGCATGTAGTTTAAAATATACAGTTAGACATTGCTTAATGACAGGGATATATTCTGAGAAATGCATAGTTAGGTAATTTCATTGTGCAAACATTATAATGTACTTATACAAACCTAGAGGGTCTAGCCTACTACACACCTAGGCTATATGGTAGAGCTTATTGCTCCTAGGCTACAAACCTCTAAAGCATGTTATTGTACTAAAGACTGTAGGTAATTGTAACACAATGGCATTTGTATATCCAAACACATCTAAACACAGAAAAGGTACAGTAAAAATACACTATTATAATTTTATGGGATCACTGTCATATGTGATCCGTTGCTGATTAAAAAATCTATATGGTGCATGACTAGAATCATTTATTCTGGGAGTATGTGAAATTTGTTAACATTATTCTAGTCTTTAGGTTAGTAAAGGATCTGACAATCAATAACCCTTCTGACAAGTAATCACTTGTCAGATTCTTAACAAAAGTAATTATTAAAAGTTTTCTCTAATATAACAAATGACTAAATATCTCCACCGAGTTGAATATTACACTCAAGCCAACATTTATTAAACAGTTATGAAGGTCAATATTCAGTAATAAAATATTTACAGCCCAAGTGTTCATGGATGAAAATATTTAGAAAGAGAGATTAATATTCAAACAACTAATTACATTAGTATCCAAATACTCATACTATCCAAATAGTCATAAAATAATTGGTTTAGAGGGAAGTGTGAATTATTTTGAGGAGGTTAAACAATTACTTCAAAGGATAAAGGAGCTGAATATTAAAGGATAAATATAATTTTTTATCAAATATAGGAATCTGGCTCAAACCCTCCTTTGAAATTGTCAAACGTATTTTGTAAAATAATAAATATTTAAAATCTTGCCAAAATAGGAGTAAATTGAAAATACGTTTGCTTTACTAGAAAGAAGTACATACTTATTTCTACAACATTTAGGTATATTTTAAAGATAAGTAATAAATCATTCTGACTGTATTTCCTGTGGTTATTTTCATCTAATTTGCCCAAGCATTTTTCTGAGGGTCCCGGTAATATCTTATAACTCAAAAAAATCAATAAATAACCAGAGCTAATTTCTGGACTAATTCCAGGAAGATGATGACTCAAAATCATCTTTCATGCCTTTCAACTCAACTCTAAATCAGCCGGCTGTCTTGAGGCAAGCAGTTCCTGAGTCTTGTGAGCAACTGATTAGGAAGGAGAAGTTCAGCTCTAGAGAAATCCAATAAAACAGAAGTGGTACAAGGCTCTTGTGGCCAGTGTCTAGTGTGACTACTAGAGGCCATTCTAAAAGGACCCAGTGTAAAGAAAAGAATGTAATATGTATATGTGTATCTATATCTATATCATCTATAACTATCATCTCCTAGAAAGAGCCTGGCCTACAGAATTGCAAAAACCACATCGGTCCTATGTGAGTTTGCCTGACCTGCCTCATCTCCAAGGAGCCAAAACTGTCTAACTCCTACTCCTGAGGCTAGGAAAGCCAAGAGCATTGATACCTCCATGGGGATTTGCATCCTGCTTGTTGACAGAGGGCCAGCTATCTCTAGGTTGTACCACTTGCAGAAATGCCATGACTCAAGGTGTTTCAACTAAAGACTTGGGCTCCAGTGAGCAAATAAAGATAAGTGACACCATATAGGAGAATTCTTGCAGCCAAATATAATTAACTCAAGCATAAGGAAAAAATCACAAACTTTAAGATGGGGAAAACATTTTCTTACAAAGAAAAAAATTAGAGTAGTACCGTATGTATTTTTTCATTTACAACATCAGAAGCTAAAAGTGGTAGAATGACATCAAAAGAAATTCACAGTGATACAAAATGTCATACCCAACAAAACTATCAGTATCTAGGAAAAAAGAAGGATGTTGTGGATATTCAAGAGTTTATTATCCATGAATTTGAGTTCAAAGAAATATTCAAATACTTGAGCAAGGACTCTACAAAATATTTTTAACCCTCTACAATGAGAAAAAAATTTTTTAAGAGAAATGATCAGTAATAAAAATGTAAAATATGTAGCAGTACATTATAGCTAAATATATATATACACATAAAAAATAAATGTACAATTGTCAACTATTATATAGTGTAATTGTCAATATAATATAATTTAATGTAAATATATTTATATAGATGAGAGATTATAAGGGAAATTTTAACAATAGACTAAGTAAAAATCTATGTAGACACTGACAGAAAAATAGTAAGATAGAGAAAACAAGCATTTTAAAGGTATCATATAGGGTGAGTAATGGGAAATGATGGCATCAGAGCATATTTGTGTGGAAAAATACTTAGTATTATGTTAAACAAGAAAAATATGAGTTTTATTATCAGAATTATGCACCCTCCTCAGAGAGAGTTTTCAAAAACATATTGACTAATTGGGCAACCTTATCAATTTCCAACCCATTAACTGATTTACTGTTATTTTCCATAGCACTTATTTCTTGACATTTTATCATATATTTATGTGCATCTTTGTTAGTGTTGGTTTTTGTATTAGAATAATTAGAATATAAACTGTATTGTGTTAAGGACTTTGTCTATTTCAGTCTTTGTCTTAGTCCCATGCCAGGCAGAAACGTGAACAGTAAATAAATATTTATAAAGCAAATTTATCATTTCCAGGTTTAAAAAGTTAATGGGTTAATGTAATGGAGAAGCATTCTACATTTACAAAGTTGTCAATGCGAAATATAGAATCAATAGAAATTTGACAAAACCAGAAAAAAAATCATCAAAATGCAAAAAAAGAAAATAATATAAATTCAAATATAGAGTAAGTAAAGAAAAACAACAACAACAACAAAAACTCCTTAGAACAACAGCAACAACAACAAAAAGCTGGACAAACTAAAAATCGATGTTTTTTTTTAGGATACGTCATGGAACAGAGGGCAACCTGCCTCCTGGAAATGTGGAGTGTCTAGGGAGTCACAGCTGAGATCTTCCTTGGATTAAAGGCTGCGGGTGTCACAAACAGGTAGGAATATTCAAGTGGTAATCTTGAAGAATTACTGGAAGCTGAGGGTAGTCTAGGATGTGAATGAAAACCTCCTGTGGGCCTCAGTCTCAGGGAGGGGCCACTCTTTTCTGGGCTTTACCTCCAGGAACCTTATCTTGTTCTCACGGTGAAGAACCTATAGCTTCCATTGTGGCTCTGGGGAATGGGAGGGGACAGAGGAAGGCACACTGTTAAGAGAATAAAAATATAAACCACAGACTTGAATATCATATTTGCAGAACATATATGTTATAAAGAACTTGTATCCAAAACATAGAAGGAACACTTTAAACTCAACAGTAAGAAAGGAAACAACCTACATTAAAAATGAAAGAGATATCAGCAAACACAAAGAAGACATACAAATAACAAATAATCACATGCACAGTCCTTAAACAAATGTAAATTAAAACAAGATACTACAATATACCTATTAAAATGGCAAAAAAACTCACAAACCTAGTTTCTGCTCAGCTGCAGATATTAATATCTTGACATTAATATCTATATACATTATATATAATACATTACAATATAATATATATTATATCATGTATATTATATACAATATAGTATATCATATATAGTATATATTATATAGTAATGTATTATATATAATGTATAATGTATAAATATATAATATATACTACATACTATACTATTATATATACTATATATTATATATGATACATATACTATATAATATGCTATATATTATACTATATAATATGCTATATATTATACTATATAATATGCTATATATTATACTATATAATATGCTATATATTATACTATATAATATGCTATATATTATACTATATAATATACTATATAATATGCTATATATTATACTATATAATATACTATATATTATACTATATAATATACTATATAACATACTATATATTATATATGATACATATACTATATTACATATATAATATATATATATATATATATATATATATATATATATATATATATATAAAATACCAAATGCTGGCCGAGATGCAGAGCAACAGTAACTTTCACAATTTCTGGTGTGATTGTAAAATAGTATAGCCACTTTGGAATATCCTTTGGCAGTTTCTTACAAACTTAAAGATAGTTTTAACATATAATTTAGCAGTCAGTCTTCTAAGTGCTCTAATAATTTTAAAATATCATGTCCATAGAAAAATATTGTATCCATTTGTTTTTCGCAGTTTTATTCATAATAGTCAAAACTGGAAGGAACCAAGATGTCCTTCAGTAGGTGATTTGAGACATGGTGGAATATCCATATAAAAGAACACTCTTCAGAATAAAAATGAATGGGTTATCAAGCTATGAACCCAAAGGATTATAAATCATGCTACTATAAAGGCACATGCACACATATGTTTATTGTGGCACTATTCACAATAGCAAAGACTTGGAACCCACCCAAATGTCCATCAATGATAGACTGGATTAAGAAAATATGGCACATATACACCATGGAATACTATGCAGCCATAAAAAAGGATGAGTTCATGTCCTTTGCAGGGACATTGATGAAGCTGGAAACCATCATTATCAGAAAACTATTACAAGGACAGAAATCCAAACGCCGCATGTTCTCACTCATTGGTGGGAATTGAGCAATGAGAACACATGGACACAGGGTGGGGAATATCACACACCAGGGCCTGTCAGGGGGTGGAGGTCTGGGGGAGGGATAGCATTAGGAGAAACACCTAATGTAAATGACGAGTTGATGGGTGCAGCAAACCAACAGGGCACGTGTATACCTATGTAACAAATCTGCACGTTATGCACATGTACCTTAGAACTTAAAGTATAATAATTTAAAAAAAGAAAATATATGGATAAGTCTTTAATACATATTGCTAAGTAAAAGAAGAAAGCCTGGAAAGATTATAAGCTATATGATTCCAAATATATGTATAACATTCTGGAAAGGTAAAACCATAGAGACAATAAATAGATTAGTGATTGCCAGGTGGCAGGGAAGAAAGTTGTGGTGGGAGGATTGAATAGATAAAGCACAAAGAATTTTTTTTTAGGGCAATAAACCATGCTGTGTGATACTGTAGTAGGTGATACATGATACTGCATTTATCAAACCCCATAGAACTTCATAGCTCAGCAAATGAAATAATGTATGCAGATTTAAACAAAAATCATTTAGGAGATTGGAAGATTCCACAATGGAATGCAGAATGTGATGAAAGAATCTGTTTACCAAATGTATTAAATGGTGTTATTGAAAAAGGTGGGGGAAATGGTACTGACTTAAATAACTTTGGAAATGAGTGGTCTGCAAGACTATAAACAAAAGGTACTGCACAAATGCACTATATGTCATTTGACAAGTTTGTGTCCCGAAGAGGTATAGGTTTACAATTCTGAAATTAGTATATATGCTTAATTGAATTTAACAATTGTATTTGCGTCGCAGATCAAGAGACATAAGTTTCTTGCTGTTGGAGTGGGACGTTACAGATAAAAATTGGAAGAGAAGAGAATGATCTATACGGTGATAGATTAGGATTGAGCATGATTATGAACTACTGTTTAGCTTAATATATGTATAGATGGTAGCATATAGAAATATTTATAGATATGTGCATTTATGTATTCATGTCCTGACAGAGGGCAGAGAGATCCCATTCTACAGGGAGGGAAAAATAAATCTTAGCTATGTCAAATTTTTTACCTCATAAATCCATTATTGCCTAGAGCAAAACACTAGTTTTTTGTATGTTGTGTACCAGGAAGGGGTGATGCAATGAAAGAGTTTTTGGGGCAGGTGTTAAAGGCAGGGAGCCCTGGAGAGAGTTTGAAAGTAAAAGATCATCAAGCTAAAGGAAACTAAAGGAAAAGGGCCATGCTGGGCAGAATTCAGAAAATGAATGTTTGATGCATCCCAGCAGAGAGCTTCTCTAGGCTCTTCCTCTTCACAGTGGTTAGCACATGCTGTGCTCCACGGGGCCACAGAGCACTTGACAGTCACTCTGCATTAAGTTTTCCTACCAGGTAAGTCATATGAAGCAACAGGGAGCAATGAGGGTTAATCCTTCCCTGGCCTCTATGAGCAAGAAAATCATCAACATCCCAAATTCTAAGAAAAGAGGCTAGTATCAAACAAACAAGCACATAAACAAACAAAAATACTTCCTCATTAGCATGGCTATGCTTTGCACAATTCTCTGATTACCTCTGCATCAGATTATTTTTGAACACAATGGAATATTAATACCTAACTGAAGCAGGGCACAGTGGTTCATGCCTATCTCAGGGGGAGGTTGCAGTGAACCGAGATCGTGTCACTGCACTCCAGCCTAGATGACAGAGTGTGACCCTGTCTCAAAGTAATCATTAGTAATAATAATACCCATCTGAAAGTTTCTCTTCATTTAAACTTTTTTAGCAATATAATAAGTAAACAAATTTAATCAGCAGTTGTTTAAGAGAAACGGAACTCTAAATGAGCAATAATTAACATGGTAACATACCCAGATTCTCTTGTAGTCAAGTAAATACAAATTAAAAGCACAACAAAAAAATCTTTTAGGATTCATAATGTTGGTACTTTTATCATTTGACAATATCAAGAGTTAGATAGGATGCAGGAAAACAGGAATTCTCATATACTGCCAGTAAGAGTATAAAATTATGGCAATAACTTTAGAAAACAATGTGGCAATTATGTTACAATTTTGGGATATGCCTGATCTGTGGCTCAGCAATACTAGTCCTTGATAATGCACCTAAGAAAAGCTCTCACAGGTACAAAGTAGTCATGCAACAGTCATTCTCTGATCTAACAAAGGTTGGAAACAATCTGAATCTATGCTGTCTAGTTAAGTAGCTTCTGATCACTTGAGGTATATATTGTTGCATGGAAACATAAAAAGTAATAGGTATGTAAAGGAATACATGGAAATAAAGTATTTAAATTTCTGGAGAGTGGTTATCTTCTAAGAAAGAGTGAAAGGAATAAGGACATTCAGTGTGTTTGTAAAACTTTTATACTTTAAGCTGGGAGGTGGGTAGAAGGAATCTTATACTTTTCTCTACAAACTTTTTAATTTTTAATTTTTTAATGATTATGAATAAATAATAAACATATGTATAGGGTACATGTGATATTTTGACACAAACCTACAATGTGCAATGATCAAATCAGGATAATTGGGGTACAAATCACCTCAATTATTTGTCATTTCTTTGAGCTAGGAACATTCTAATTCTGCTCATTAAGTTATTTGAAATATACAATAAATTATTGTTAACTATAGTCAGCCTATTGTGCTACCAAATATTAGATCTTATTCCTTCTGTCTAATTGCATATTTCTGTACCCATTAACCATCCTTATTTTATACCCCCTCCCCACTACTCTTTTCAGCCTCTGGTAAACATTCTGCTCTCTATCATTATGGGTTCAATTCTTTTTTATCTCCCAAATATTACTTAGAACATGCAATATTTGTTTTCAGTGTCTAGTTTATTTCACTTATAATGACCTCCAGTTTCACCCATGTTGTTACAAATGACAGGATTTCATTCTTTTTTTATGGCTAAATAACATTCCATTGTGTATATGTACTATATTTTTAAATCCATTAATCTGTTGATGAACGCAAGTTGATTCCATATCTTAGCTCTTTTGAATACTACTATAGCCTGTAATCCCAGCACTTTGGGAGGCTGAGGTGGGCAGATCACGAGGTCAGGAGATCAAGACCATCCTGGCTAACACGGTGAAACCTCGTCTCTACTAAAAATACAAAAAATTAGCTGGGCGTGGTTGTGGGCACCTGTAGTCCCAGCTACTGGGGGGCTGAGGTAGGAGAATGGTGTGAACCCAGGAGGTGGAGCTTGCAGTGAGCCGAGATTGCACCACTGCACTCCAGCCTCGGCGACAGAGCGAGACTCTGTCTCAAAAATAAATAAAATGAATACTACTATAATAAACATGGGAGTGCAGATATCTCTTTGATATACTGATTTTCTTTCATTTGGATATATATGCATCAGTGGGTTTGCTAAACCATGTGGAAGTCCTATTTTTAGTTTTTTGAGGAAACTCCATAATATTCTCTATAGTGGCTGTAGTAATTTACATTTCTGCCAGCAGTGTATAAGGGGCCCCTTTCTTCACATTTTCACCAGAACTTGTTATTGCCTGTCTTTTGAATAAAAGCCACTTTTACTGGGGTGAGCTGATATCTCATTGTGGTTTTGATTTGCATTTCCCTGATGATTAGTGATGTTGTTGAGAATTTTTTTTTTTAAATAAAGCTTTTGGCCATTTGTATGTCTTCTTTTGAGAACTGTCTATTCAAACCTTTTGTTTATTTTTTGATTAGATTATTTGTCTCCCCTCCCCACTGAGTTGTTTCAACTCCTGATTTATTCTGGTTTTTCTGTTGTCAGATGGGTGGTTTGCAAATATTTTCTGTCATTTGTGTATTGTCTCTTCACTTTGTTGAGATTTGATTATTGTGTATGTTTAGAGATAAGGGTCTAGTTTCATTCTTCTGCATATAGTTATCTAGGTTTTTGAGCATCATTTGTTAAAAAGGCTGTCCTATCCCAGTGTATATTCTTGACACCTTGTCAAAAATAAGTTGAGTATAAATATGTGGATTTATTTCTAGGTTTTTTATTCTGTTCCATTTATCATTGGTCTATATGTCCGTTTTATGCCAGTACCATGCTGTTTTGGTTACTATAGCTTTGTAGTATAATTTAGAGTCAGATGATGCCTGCAGCTTTGTTCTTTTTCCTCAAGATGGCTTTCACTATTCTGGTTCTTTAGTGGGTTCATATAAATTTTAGAATTATTTTTCTTATTTCTGTCTTTGGTATTTTGATAGGGATTGCATTGAATCTATACATTGCCTTGGATAGTGTGAACATTTTAACAATATTGGCTCTTTCAACCAATAAACATGGAATATCTTTCCATTTTTTGTGTCTTATTTAGCTTCTTTCATCAATACACTAGAGTTTTCATTGTAAAGATCTTTCACTTCTTTGGTAAGCTTATTCCTAGGTATTTTATTTTATTATATTTATTGTATATTATACGTATATATTATACAATTTTAATATGCAAAAAATATATAATTGTATAATTGTATTATACATATTATATTGTAATATTGTATATTATTGTATTATACAATGAATATAATATAATTATATAATATTTATAATATACATTAATATAATAAATCATAAATTAAAAATAAGTTATAATTATATGTAATTTATTATATATGATATTAATATATTTTATTATAAATGGAATTACTTTTTCAGATTGTTTGCTGTTTGCATATAGAAATGCTACTGATTTTGGTATGTTGATTTTGTATCCTGCAACTTTACTGAATTTGCTTATCAGTTCTAATAGTTCTTTGGTACAGTATTTAGGATTTTCTAAAAGTAAGATCATATCAAACAAGGGTAGTTTGAATTCTTCCTTTCCAATTTGGATGCCCTTAATTTTTTTCTTTTGTCTGATTGCTCTAGTGAGGACCTTCAGTACTATGTTGAATAACAGTGGTTATTCAACAGGGCATCCTGTCTTGTTCCAGATCTTAGAGGAAAAAGACTTTCAGTTTTTCCATGTTCAGTATGATACTAGCTTTGGATCTGTCATTGATGGCTTTCATTGGGTTGACGTATGTTGTTTCTGTACCCAGTTTTTAAGGGTTTTTATCATGAAAGAATGTTGAATTTTATCAAATGCTTTTTCAGCATCAATTGAAATGATCATATGGTTTTTGTCCTTTATTCTCTTATTATGATGTATCACATTGATTGATTCGCATATGTTAAACCATGCTTGAATCCCTCAGATTCAAGGATGTGACCCACTTGGTCACAATGAAGATCTTTTTAATGTTATTGAATTCAGTTTTTAAGAGATGGGGACTTTCAAAGTGAGGAGTTCCTCTGCCCGGCCGCCCCACCATCTGGGAAGGGAGGAGCGCCTCTGCCCGCCGCCACCAGGTCGGGGTAGTGAGGAGGGCCTCTGCCTTGCTGCCGCCCCCTCTGGGAAGTGAGGGGCGCCTCTGCCCGGCTGCCCCACCATCTGGGAAGTGAGGGCGCCTCGGCCCGGCTGCCCCACAATCTGGGAAGTGAGGGGCGCCTCTGCCTGGCGGCTGTGCAACCCTCCAAGTGTGAAGTGACAGCCTTGTGTGTGATCTTCCTGCCCTCCCCAAGTTTGCATTTTCGACATTAAAGCTTACTTTTTAATTAAAAGTTTTAAATTGGAGAATTAAAAAAAAAGAGAGAGAGAGAGATGGGGCCTTTCAGAGTTGATTAAGCCTTCAGGACTTCTCTTGGGGATGGGATTAAGCCCCTTTTAGAAATTGCTTCACTTAATGTTCAGCCCTCTTGCCTTCTGCCTTGTGAGGACACAGCACTCCTTCCTTCCGAAGGATGCAGCAACAAGGCACCATCTGGGAAGTAGAGAGCAGCCTTTGCCAGATAACAGAACCTGCCAGCACCTTAATCTTTGACTTCCCAGCGCCAAAACTGTGTGATATAATTTCTGTTCTTTATAAATTACTCAGTAGTATGGTTTGGCTCTGTGTCCCCCACCCAAATCTCACTTTGAATTGTAATCCCCATATGTCAAGGGCAGGAGCAGGTGGAGGTAATTGGATCATGAGGGCTGTTTCCCTCAAGCTGTTCTGGTGGTAGTGAGGGAGTTCTCATGAGACCAGATGGTTTTACAAGCATCTGGCATTTCCTCTGCTTGCACTCTCTCTGTCCCGCCGCCCTGTGAAGAAGGTGCCGGCTTCTCCTTTGCCTTCCACTGTGACTATAACTTTCTGGAAGCCTCCCCAGCAATGTGGAACTGTGGGTCACTTAAACCTCTTTCCTTTAGAAATTACCCAATCTCAGGCAGTTCTTTATAGCAGCGTGAGAATGAACTAATACACCCAGACGCAAGTATTTTGTTATGGCAGCACAGACTAAGCCAATACTATTCCACAGAATACCTGATCAGTACTCAAAATGCTTGGGACCATCAAAAACAAACCAAGAAAAGGCTGAGAAATTATCACCAAGAGGAGCTTAAGGAGACATGGCAGTGAAATGTCATGTGGTATCCTGAATGGAATCATAAAACAGAAAGAGGCAGTACATAAAAATAAAAATATTTGAATAAAGTACAGATCTTAGTTAATAATGTATTAATATTGGTTCATTGATTATAACTACTGTACCACACTAATGCAAGATGTCAAAAATGGAAAAAATGGCTATAGGTGTATGGGAACTCTGTACTACCTTCACAATTTTTATGGATCTGAAAATAGTTTATTTTTAAAGACAATTAGTAAAGAGTTTAAAATATATTGTGTTAGTAATTAATATTGGATGTAAGAGAATTTAGAGTGTAGCAAGGTATTTACGTAAAATTTATTATAAGATGGAACTCTTGAGATGAGTCCTCAAGGGCTTAAAAATAAGTTTAGTATGACTGGGGTTTCCAATCAAGAGGAAAAGCATATGGTGTATACCCACTACCTGAGATTCAATAAATACCCCACAATCTCCATTTGTGACAGAATGAAGATACCAGAGGGAATGACATATTTGAGGCTGGTGAGCTTGTAAGGAGATGAACAGGCAATAAGAGCAAGGATGATCATAGAGGGTGTTATGTGGCATTTATAGGAGTCCAGGAGTAATTAACTTTTGGTGTATTTGGATTGTTGTAGGAAATCTGGAGACCAGAAGTATACAGTGTAGTTGATGTGCGGCTAATCTAAGGCAACTGCTGTGGGATAAATAACTCAGAAATACAAGGGAGTATAAAATAATCTTTGTAACTATTCAAGCATGATAGGAGAATAGCATGTTGAAACAAAATGATGTTTCTCACTGGCAGATGCAAGCAAGGTTAATAACATATTAATGTTTTCATGTTTTTATACATCTCTAGAGACTTGTTAAAGGTCAAAGCAAGAAATTCATAACTGAATTCAGAACAACAGGCATAGTTGCTTTAGCTTGAAATACCTATGAACCCCAACCTTAAGAAGTAGATATCAGTAGATTTATTCAGATACTAGATTTAATTCCTCTATGAAGTTTAACATTTTGATATTTCAAAATTTACTGACACTTATTTTATGGCACAACATAAAGGCTAAAGAGGAAGTTGAGATTTTTACACCTGCTGTGCAGTAATGAGTGACCTCTTTCTCCACTGTGTTAGGAGAGAGTACATGAGATCTTGGACTTCCATTCCCACATGGAGGTAATGAGACATTCCTCCGTCTTCTAGCTGGAGTGGTGTGAGAGGAGGCTTAATGCAGCATCAGGAATTTCAACAGTGTCCAATAGTAACAAAGCCAGACACCCTCAGTGTCAATATAGGACACATGGGAGATGGTAAAAAGGCATTCCTCTCCCTCCCAGCCAGGTGAGTATAGTAGAGGCTTAGTAGACAACTGTAACTCCTACACATTTGAGGAGAAATAGGGAATTTGTACTGCTTGGGTATTAATGGATGTTGACTATGGTTTGTGGTCTTCTACCCTACATAGCAATAAGGATGCAGTACCCCACTTTTTTCTGATGGAGTAGTGACAGAGAAGTCAAGGTAAACCTAGGTTTTAAATAAGATTGAGAAAAATTATAGCATACTATGAAAACAAGATTTCCATCAAAAATTACCCATCATACCAAGAAGCAGAAAAGTCTGTACTTAAAAGAGGATGATAATAGATGCCAATACCAAGATGATGGTGATGATAGAATTATCTGACAAAGATTTGAAAGCAATTACTATAAAGTGCTTCAATGAACAATTTTAAACATGTTTGATAAAAATATTCAAAAATAGAAGATCTTAACCAAAATATAGAAAGTTTCAGCAAAAAAAAAATAGAAGATGTAAAAACAAACTAAATGGAAATTGTAGAACTTAAAAATAAAATTAAAAAATCATGCTGCTGTAAAGACACATGCACACTTATGTTTATTGTGGCACTACTCACAATAGCAAAGACTTGGAACCCACCCAAATGTCTATCAATGATAGACTGGGTTAAGAAAATGTGACACATATACACCATGGAATACTATGCAGCCATGAAAAAGGATGAGTTCATGTCCTTTGTAGGGACATGGATGAAGCTAGAAACCATTATTCTCAGCAAACTATCGCAAGGACAAAAAACCAAACACCACATGTTCTCACTCATAGGTGGGAATTGAACAATGAGAACATTTGGACACAGGAAGGGGAACATCACACACTGAGGCCTGTCCTGGGGTGGGGGAAGGGGGGAGGGATATCATTAGGAGATATGCCTAATGTAAATGACAAGTTAATGGATGCAGCACACCAACATGGCACATGTGTACATATGTAACAAACCTGCAGGTTGTGCACATGTTCCCCAGAACTTCAAGTATAATAAAAAAAGAAAAAAAAAGAAACTCAGTAAAATGAATAAAGCAGAGAAAATAATCAGTGAAATTGAAATGAAACAGTAGAAATTACCTAAACTGAAATGGAAAGAGAAAATAAACTAAACATTAAAATGAACAGAGCCTTAGAGAAAAGTGGAAGCTATAACAAAAGATCTAACGTTTGTATTATTGAAGTTCTGAAAAAAAAAATAGGTAGGAGGGGCTGAAGAAAGAGTTGAATGTCATAATGACTGAAAAAAATTCCAATTTGGTGAAATATATAAACCTATAGTATGAAGAGCTGAATTAACCCCAATCAGGAAAATCTGAAAGAAGTGGACACTAAGACACATAATAATCAAATTTCTAAAAACTAAAAACACTGAAAGAAAACCTTGAAAACAGCAAGAGAGAATGAGAACTTAAATATAGAAGAAAATAATTCAAAACACAGCTGATTTATAAGCCAAAACAATGGAGGCCAATAGGAAGTGAGATATTTTTCAAGTCTGAAGCTAAAGATAACCATAATTCTATAACTAGCAGAATTATCTTTCAGGAATAAAGGGAGAGTCCAGACATCCTCAGATTAAGAAAAACTAAGTGAATTTGTTGTCATTAGAACAATCTTTTTTTTTTCTCTTTCTCTTTTTTTTTTTTTTTTTTTTTTTTTTTTTTTTTTGTGAGACGGAGTCTTGCTCTGTCACCCAGGCTGGAGTGCAGTGGCGCGATCTTGACCACTGCAAGCTCTGCCTCTCGGGTTCAGGCCATTCTCCTGCCTCAGCCTCCTGAGTAGCTGGGACTACAGGTGCCCACCACCATGCCCAGCTAATTTTGTGTGTGTGTGTGTGTGTGTGTGTGTGTGTGTGTGTGTGTAATTTTGGTAGAGACGGGGTTTCACCATGTTAGCCAGGATGATCTCGATCTCCTGACCTCGTGATCCTCCCACCTCGGTCTCCCAAAGTGCTGGGATTACAGGCATGAGCCACCATGCCCGGCCAGAACAATCTTAAATAAATAGCTACAGACAGATTTCTAAACAAAAAGGAATGAATAAAAGAGGAACATTGGAAAATCAGGAAGAAATAAAAAGTGGAAAAAGGAAAAATACAATCAAATACATACATTTTATTATCCTTTTGATTTTTCTAAATAATGTTAGGTACTTAAAAAAAGTGTGATACTATATGATTTGACTCAAATATATTTAGAAGCAGTATTTGAAACAATTATAAATGGTGGAGGATAAAAGATGGTACCAGGATATAAAATTTCCAAATTTTACTCAAATTGGTAGAATGCTAGCTCTAGTAGACATGACAAATTATGTATATATAATGTTTTACCAAGAACAACCATAAAAAATCTATATAAATTCACTCAAAAGCACTATGGATAAATAAAACAGAAATTTAAAATATTTTCGAGAATCTCTTTTTGTTACCAACAACAGGCCATTTTGGTTACTGTGGCTTTATAGTATAGTTAAAGTTGGGTAGTGTGATGCCTCCATCTTTGTTCTGTTTGCTTAGGACTGCTTTGCTATTTGGGCTTCATTTTGGTTCCATATGAATTTTAGAATAGTTTTTTTCTAATCCTGTGAAGAATGACATTGATATTTTGATGGGAATAACATTGAATCTATAAGTTGCTTTCACAAGTATGGCCATTTACACAATATTGATTTTTCCAATCTATGAGCATAGAATGTTTTTCCATTTATTTGTGTCATCTCTGATTTCTTTCAACTGTGTTTTGTAGTTCTCTAACTGGCTAGCCATATGCAGAAGATAGAAGCTGGACCCTTACTTTTTACCATATACAAAAATTAACCCAGGATACATTAAAGATTTAAATGTAAAACCTCAAGCTATAAAAATTCTGGATGACAACCTAGGAAATACACTTTTCTACATTGGCCTTGGCAAATAATTTTTGGCTAAGTCCCCAAAAGCAATTACAACCAAAACAAAAATAGACATGTGGGACCTAAGTAAACTAAAGAGCTTCTGCACAGCAAAAGAACTATCAGCAGAGCAAACAGACAAACTACAGAATGGGAGAAGGGAGAAGACATTTGCAAACCATGGATCCAACAAAGGTCTAATATCCAAAATCTATAGGGAATGTAAGGAAATCGATAATAATAATAATAATAACCCCCATTAAAAATGGACAAAAGACATGAACAGGCTCTTTTCAAAAGAAGATAGACGGCCGGGCACGGTTGCTCATGCCTGTAATGCCAGCACTTTGGGAGGCCGAGGTGCGTGGATCACGAGGTCAGGAGATGGAGACCATCCTGGCTAACACAGTGAAATCCCATCTCTACTAAATACAAAAAAATTAGCCAGGCTTGGTGGCGGGCGCTTGTAATCCCAGCTACTCGGGAGGCGGAGGCAGGAGAATTGTGTGAACCCAGGAGGTGGAGCTTGCAGTGAGCCGAGATCCCGCCACTGCACTCCAGCCTGGGCGACAAAGCGAAGCGAGACTCCGTCTCAAAAAAAAAAAAAAAAAAAACAAAAACGAAAAAAGAAGATATATAAGCAGCCAACAAATGTATGAACAAATGCCCAGCAATAATCACCACAGAAATGCAAATCAAAACCACAATGAGATATCATCTCTCACCAGACAGAATAGCTGTTATTAAAAAGTCAAAAAACAATAGATCTTGATGAGGTTCCAGAGAAAAAAGAACACTTATACACTGTCGGTGGGAATGTATATTAGTCCAGCCACTATGGAAAGCAGTCTGAAGGTTTCTCATTGAACATAAAACAGAGCTACCATTCGACCCAGCAGTCTCATTACTGGGTATATACCCAAAGGAATATAGGTCATTAAACCAAAAGACACATGCACTCATATGTTCACCACTGCTCTTTTCACAATAGCAAAGACATGGAATCAACCTACATGCTCACCAAGGATAGATTGGATGAAGAAAAATTGATGCATATATACCATGAAATACGACACAAGCCATAAAAATGAATAAAATCATGTCCCTTGCAGCAACGTGGATGGAGCTGGAAGCCATAATTCTATACAAATTAAAGCAGGAACAGAAAATCAAATACCACATGTTCTCAATTACTAATGAGAGCTAAACATTGAGCACACATGGACATAGATGTGAGAACAGTAGATACTGTGGACTGCCAGTGAGTGGAGTGGGAAGGTGGGTTAAAAAACCACCAATCAAATGCTATGCTCATTACCAAGGTAATGGAATCCATACTCCAAACCTCAGCATCGTGCAACATTCCCATGTAACATATCTGCACATGTACTCCATATATCTAAAATAAAAGTTGAAATTTAAAAATAAAATACTAATAATTATACTTCACAGAAAGTATATAAATTAATTTTAAAATCTCAAATAACATAGAAGAAAGCAGAAAAAAAGAGATACAAAATAGACGAGAAAAAAATTAAAATGATACATAAGCTCTACAGTATAAATAATTTAAATTTAAATGGTCTAAATGCACAATTAAATTAAAGAAATTGATGGTGTAGATTTAAAAAACAGGACCCGAGGGTATGCTTTTTATAAGAAACAGCCTTCAAATATAATGAGGAAAGTTAAAAGTAAAAAAATGGGGAAAAACATATCATATAAATATTAATGAAATTAATCAAGAGTGATTACAATAATATTACCAGGATAGAGTGAAACATTATTTAATGATAAAAAGTACAATTCACCAAGAAAAGTAGCACTTCTAATTATGTATGAATCAAACAATAGAGCTGTAAAATACATGAAGCAAAAACTGACAAAGCTGAAAAGAAAAATAGGAAATTACACTATTACAGTGGAAAACTTTAACATTTCTCTCTCAGCAAATGATATAGAAATTAGGCATAAATCTGCAATGATAAAAAACTCAACACATGATTAACCAAAAGGATCTAATCAACAGTAGACAATGAATAATACACAGTATTTTCAACTGCCTATATAAATTATACTAAATTAGACTACATCCTGGACCAGAAAAGAAACCTCAGCACATTTCAAAGAATTAAAATCATACACAGTATAGTCTCCCTCTACAATGGAATCAAACTAGAATTCACAAACAGAAGAGCTAGTTATAGTGGCATGTGCCTGTAGTCCTAGCTACCAGATCAGCTGAGAGAATAAATCAATGAAATTGAAGAGAGAAAGAATAATAGATAAATTAAAATGAATGAAAATATGGCTCTTTAATTATCAATAAAATTGACAAAGATCTACCAAAATGAGAAAACAAAGAGAGAAGACACAAATCATCAACATTAAGAATGAAACAGAGGAGATCACTGTGGACTCCACAGATATTCAAAGATCAATTAGAAAATACTGCTGATAAACTTACACACATGAAATTTGAAAACTTAGGTGAAATTTACCAATTTCTTGAAAAGCAAAATGTATCCTGACTCATCTAATATGGAATAGGTAATTTGAATGGTCCTGAACAGGTAATTAACAAAATTAAATATATGTATTTTTTCTAATTAAAAAAGATAATATCCAGGCTCAGTTTTCACTGAGGGTTTCTTACAAATATTCAGAGAAGAATTAACATAATCTACACAAATAATTTTCAAAAAATAGAAGGCTTCCCAACTCTTATTATAAAGTTAATATTACCTGATACCATGACCAAAAATAGCAATGAAAAAGAAAACTACGGATCAATATAAATGCAAAAATTCTTAACAAAATATTATAAAATAGAATTCAGCAATATATAAAAAGAATTGTATACAATCTTCAAGTGAGTTTTACTGTAGGGTTGCCAAGATGGTTCAATACTAAAAGATCAATGTAATCCACCATATGAAAAGGTCAAAAAAGATAAATCTCATGATTATATCATTTGATGCATAAAAAGTTTTCCAAGATTCAGCACTCATTTATTATAAAACTCTGAAAAATAACAGGATTAGCTTCCTCGCAAAAATCATTTATGAAAGATCTACAGCGAGTTATTACATTAAATAATAAAAGATTGAATGTTTGAGAGCAACACAAGGGTATTTACCATCACTGTTGCTATTAAACATAGCAATGGAGGTTCTAGAAAGAGTAATAAGGCATACGATGGATATCAATTGTTAACACATTTGAAAGAAACAAAGCTGTCTCTATCTGCAGATGGGAAAAGGTATGTGTAAAAACCTATGAAAAACCAACAGAAAGAAAATAAAATCTGGAATTAATAAATGAGTTTATTAAGGTTACAGGATGCAAGAAAAATGTGAAAAGTCAGTCTTATTGGTATATACTAACAGTGAGCATCTGGAAACCCAAGTGATAAACACAACATTTACAATTACAGAAAAACTGAAATGCTGATGTGTTAAACTTTATAAAACCTAAACAGCACCTCTAGCTATAAGTTTCAAAATGCACATGAAAAAAATAAAGATCCACAACCTACGTAAATAAAGAGACATACTATGTTTGTGGATTGAAAGACTCAACATTGTAAAGATATCTATTTTCCCAAAATTGATCTTCAGGTTCAGTGCAATTTTAATTAAATTCTAGGAGGGTTTATTTTATTTTATTTTTTAGAAATAGACAAGCGTTTTATAAAATGTGTATGGAAAAAAAAATATACTCAAATATCTCAATCATGAACAAGAAGAATAAAGGGAATTGTTCTACCTGATTACAATACTTATTATATACATACAGTAATCTAGACTCTGTAGCATTGGTGGAAAGATAGAACCATAGGTCAACTGAATAGAAGAATACCATGCAATGGTCCCATGCAAGGGTGACTTACTGTTTTTTGACAAACCCACAAAAACAATTCAATGGAGGAGAAATAGTCTTTTCTATAAATAGTGCTGGGACAATTGGCTATTTCTATAGATTTAATGTTTATGTCTTCACCACACTGATATATTTAAACCTAATCCACAATGTAATAGTATTTGGAGGTGGGGACTTTGGAAGGTAATTAGGTCATGAGGTCTGAACCTTCATTCACAGGATTAGTGCACTTATAAAAGGGTTTCAGAGGGCCCCCTCACCTTTTCTGCCATGTGAGGATACAGTGAGAAGGCCATCTATGAAAATGGATGGAGGCCTTCAGCCACTAATTCTACAAGTCTTAATTTTTGACTTCTCTGCCTGCACAACTCTGAGAAACAAACTTCTGTTGTTTATAAGATACTCATTCTACAGTATTCTAACAGTCTGAGAGGACTAATACATATATCCTTAGGCAAAAAGAATTAACATCAACCTAATCTTCACACATTAAACAAAAATTAATGCAAGATGGATTATAGAATTAGATGTAAAATGTAAAACTATAAAATATCTGGAAAGAAACCATGGGAGAAACTCTTGGGGAACTCATGCTTGATGAGCAAATTTAGATCTGACACAAATATTATGATCCATGCAATCTTTAAAAGATGATAAATTATGCTTTGTCAAAATTAGAAACTTCTGCTTTGTGAAAGACCATGTTAAGAGGATAAAAAGACAAGTTACAAACTCAAAGTATTTGAAAAACCACATAACTATTAAAGGACTCATATCTGGAATATATAAAGAACTCTCAAAACTCAACAGTAAAAAAAAAAAAACTGTAAAGAAAAACAAAAACTAAAAACGAGCCAGTTATAAAATCGGTAAAAGCATGAACATATATTTTACCACAGGTGATATCCAGAAGGTACATGAAAACATATTCATCGTTATTGGACCATCAGGCCAGCATAAAGAAAGACCATGGTGAGATATCACTACACACCTACTGGAACAGCTAAAAGAAAAACAAAACAAAAAACACTCATGATACCAGATGTTGGTTTGAATGCGGAGAAACTAGATTCCTTGTATGTTGCTGCTGGCTTTCTAAAACAATACTAGAAAAATAGTTTTGCTGTTTTACTTTTAATGTAAACTTACGCTTATTACATTATCCAGCAATCACACTTATGGACTTTTTTTTAAGGAATGGACACTTGTGTCTTTACAAACTCTAGTACAAAATTGTTCATAGTAGCATTATTTACACTAGAAAAAAATCTGAATAAAATTTCTCATAATAGACTAATGAATAAACAAACTGTGATAGAACCATAACATGAAAAATTACTCAATAATAAAAATTAAATAAACAAGAAACTATTGATCTATCTAATGACTTGAATGGATCACAAGGAAATTATGCTGAGTGAAAAAGAAGAATCCACCATCAAAATGTCACATATTTTGCAGTTCTATTTATGTTTGTATTTATTTATTTATTTATTTATTTATGAGTATACTTTAAGTTTTAGGGTACATGTGTACAATGTGCAGGTTAGTTACATATGTATACATGTGCCATGCTGGTGCACGCTGCACCCACTAACTCATCATCTAGCATTAGGTATATCTCCCAATGCTATCCCTCCCCCCTCCCTCCATCCCACAACAGTCCCCAGAGTGTGATGTTCCCCTTCCTGTGTCCATGTGTTCTCATTGTTCAATTCCCATCTATGAGTGAGAATATGCGGTGTTTGGTTTTTTGTTCTTGCGATAGTTTACTGAGAATGATGATTTCCAATTTCATCCATGTCCCTACAAAGGACATGAACTCATCATTTTTTATGGCTGCATAGTATTCCATGGTGTATATGTGCCACATTTTCTTAATCCAGTCTATCATTGTTGGACATTTGGGTTGGTTCCAAGTCTTTGCTATTGCAAAATGTCACATATTTTGCAGTTCTGTTTATGTAACATTCTTAAGATGTCAAAATTGTTGAGAGAGAAGGTAGACTATTGTTTGACAGGGGTTGGGGATTGTGTATGAGAAAGAGGTGGATGTGAACTTACAGAGGTTGCATGAGGGAGATCATTGTGGTAATAGAAGAGTTTCTTGTCATTATTGTGGTGGTGATTACACAAAACTACATGCAATAAAATGATATAGAACTATACACACACATTGTACCAATGTCATTCTCAATTCCTTAGTTTTAATATTGTATTATAGTAACCTAAAATGCAACTGGGTAAAGAGAACACAAAACTTCTCTATATTTTACATTTGTTTGTGACTTCCTATAAATCTATAATTATTTAAAAATTATGTATATGTAATATATTACATATTATATGTATGTTGCATTAGCTTATCAAGTTGTGGGTGTTGAGAAAATTGGTATCAGTGTCTGGAAAATTGGATAATCATTTTAAGCTGTGTCAAAATATTTTATAAAACTTTAGCCATTGAGAATTTGGAAAGCAGATTATGAGCCTTTGAGGCTGACAGTTCTAGAGGAAATAACTGGAAATATAGGATTAATATAATCCTGGGCATAATGATGGTCACCTTAAAGATGTTCACATCCTAATCCCTGGAATCAGTGAATGTGTTATCTTTCAAGGCAAAGAAGAATTAATACTGCAGAATGCAATCGGAGTACTAATCCACTCACCTAATAGGTAAAATAGGCAGATTACATTGGACAATATACAAATAAGCCCAGTAAAACCACAGTGATCCTTAAAGGTCAAAGAGGCAGGTGGAAAAGGAGAACCAAAAAGGTGCCATTGTGAGAAGAATTCAGTTGAACATTGCTGGCTTCAGAGACTGATGAAAGTATACATGAGCTGAGGTCAGTGAGCAGCCTTCTAAAAGCTGTAAAAGTCAAGAAAATGAATTCTCCCCAGAGCCTCTAGAAGGGAATACAACCCTGCCGACAACTTAATTTTAGCCCAATGAGACTCATTTTAGATTTATGGTCTACAGGCTGTTAGATAATAAATATATGCTTTTTAAGCCACTAAGTTTGTGGCAATTTGTTACAGCAGAAATAGAAAAGGAATACAGTGAATACACTGTATGAATGCACTGTATTAGCTACTACTGGCTGTGTTTGACAAGGTATTACAAGAAAGAGATGCACTCAGAGGAAACTTGGCCAGATTGTGGGTATAATGAAAGGAAATGGAAAGTCCAGCACTGTTTCCTTTTTTTTTTTTTTCCACTTCAAAGGGGAGTTAATAACACCTGTTTACTCCGAATTTGAAAAGTAGCACTGTAAAAGTCCTTGAGCTGTGGAAACACATTAAGAAGATGCTTTTGTTAAAAATCAGGTAAAGAGTGTGGCCTTAGCATTAAAGCTTGAGACCCTCAAAGTAGCCGCCATTAGATTGAGGCAGTAAGTGCAATCACGGTGGTGAAAAAGAAAAAAAATTGACGAGTAAAATATGTAGAAAATGGCTCTATATGTGGCTATTGGAATATGGAACTAAATCAAAACAAATCAGAAGTTAACTGTGTTTTTGCAGGAATTGTATTTCTAAAAAAAAAATTAAATAAAGCATAAAACCTTAAGCCCAGATTAAATTGTCTTTGACCATAAAATAAGTAAAACAATCTTAAGCCACCAACTTTCTTTGAGTAGAAAACAATTTTCAAAATTTCTATGATCTTCTGGATTCACAAATACTCCAACTTATACTTCATACATGGCAAGAGAGGATAGACAAGGAAGAATGTTGCACAAGGCAGGGACATGAATCAGAGAAGAGACAAGGGAGTTCTTTCCAGGAGCAAAATTAGGAATAATGAGGAAATGTACCCCCACATCCATAGACAATGACACCCATAACCGTCTCTCTCACAATATTGCAGCATTGTGGAAGCTCTGTTTATCCCAGCTTTGCTGCACTATATTTGTATATGGGGGATGGAGGCAGATAACTTGACTTCTTGTTTCTGTACATTGTCTAGCAATTCTAGATTTATACTCAGAAGAGGGTTTATTGAATTGGACTATGGCATGAGTCAGAAAAAAAAAACAACATTTATTATGTGAAGACGCTGGGATTTGAGGCTGCTTGTAATATCTGATAGCAATATTTATCTTTATTAATTTAGATTCATTAGCATAAAGTGATAGTTAAAGCCATGGAATTCGATTAAATAAAAAGGAGAAAAAAATTGAGAATAGACAGAAATCTCAAAATATTCAGAGCTGAAATGACTATTTTTCAATAGGATGGATGAGACTCCATATAAGCCCATGTAAGCTGAGGATTGCCAAAGTCCATGGCACCCCATTCATATGAATTATGTGTAATAGGCATCCCTGGAGTTACACAAAACAGCTGTCCTGCGAATAGGATCTAGACTAAGCTAAGGGGACATTATTATGGAAAATAGAATGAAAATAAACTTAAAAAAATGAAAACAACAGTATTATCCTGTAAAATTGCCCCCAACACAGATTTATAATCAAATTTAAGACTACTGAAAGCACAGTAAGAACTCAGAATACAAATTTCAAGCAGATAAGCTGCTTTTATACCTTCTCTGCAGCAGATTTTGCTCTGAATCATTTTCTTCGTTTTAGTTTTTTACATGTGACTTTATGTGTCTTTGTTTGTACTTCCAGTGCTCCTGATTTTTAAAAAGATACTATCTTCAACAGGATGAAGTACAGGACAATGTATATTTCCCTTCAGTGTACAATTTGCAACAACTAATTCCTTTGTATCTCTGCCACCTCTGAAATCCAAGCTACTTATAAAATTTCATCACTCAGCAGTCTGTTCTTAGTTAAAATATTTTAAAATTAGATAGTAAATAAAAAAGAACAAGAAATATATTTTATCATAGTAGAATTTGGAAAACGGAGTGTTCCAGATTTGAAATGCAATAGACAGAAAATTCCTCTCTATATATATCTTTGTTTAAGTGTTTTGTGTGTGTGTGTGTAAATATACACTGTGCTTTATTTAAGATTTTCTAATTTAGGCTTAAAGAGATAAAGAGTATGTCCCAATGGAATTGCACCATTCTTTTTATTCATTTAATTATGAATTGGAGAGTAAAATAAATTGACTGTATTATCAGTTCCTAAGCACTGTATGTATTTTTTTCCTCTACCTAATCTATGTGCTGATACTTAATGTTCTTCCTCTTTGTCCAATTATTTTCTCTATTAATATTGCGGTTAGTAGGAAAGTGGAGAATGTCCCAGCATATATTCATTCTTTGTTGTTTTTCTCAGACAGGATTCTATAATAATAATAACATAGATTCCCTTTTATTATTTGATTTATAGCAATTGAATGTAACTATCATGGATAAACATGATATTTCTTACATAGCTCTGAATTCCTTTTTTGTGTACATCATAAACCCATGATATCCAGCCTTTAACTCCCCAAAATCCCTTTCTCATTATGGTCATGGGTAAGTTTTCACTTTTATTTTTATGAAAATACCCCATGACAGTGGCAGAAGATGAGAAATTATCTTGTTGAAATGAAAATAGGGATTTAGAAAAGAAATGGTTTGGTTATGTGTAACTGCACTGGAGAAGGAAAATGAACCTTTTGCAAGAAGTTGTCTGACGGATGAGGTAAGTTTTCTCATTTACAAAATTGAGCGCAGAATGGAGAGCTATTAAATAACTCATATAAACTTCAATTCAAGAAACATGTTCTGAGTATTAATATGTACCAGGTAGTTTTATATGTGGTTGAATTTAGCCATCTTTGAAACCCTGCAAATGAGCTGATAGTAGCCTTGCTTAACAGATAAACACATTGATGCTCACTGAATCCAGGTGGTATGTCCAGAATCACTGGAGGTAAATGAGAGCTAAAACTGTGCATGCTTTTTTCCCCCGTATATATATTCCATTGTTTTCTTAGAGTGGAATATTTTTGTAGACTTGCTGTAAGACTGTGCTTTCTTGGGTGCCCATTCCTCTCTGGCATATAGTGTTAGCATACACATCTCTGGGTAGAAAAAAGCAGAACTGTATTTCAAAGACTACTTACTCCTGAATTGGGTAGGGTGCTTCCTGAACAAGGGAGGAAATGTGGACACTACACAGTTACCCCGTGGTCTCTGACCACAATGGCTCCACCATGTTACATGTTTCCTTCAAGATTATGCTGATGATGGACCATGTCTGCTGTGCAAAATACTCAGTGTCTGAAAGGTTAACATTTTACCGAAGTTTGTAGAGCGGAAAGTGCTTGAAATAATTAGTGTAATAATTATTAATGATGGGATAGAAATCAATCCTGTACAAACTTCAAGAAATAGTATTCAAAAGTATGTTTCAGACTGCAAATTGTTTCTAGAGATCGTGTTGGAAATTGTTAATGTCTGTTATTAGGAACAATTGATTACCTTTCAGAACACATATTGGTTTTTGTGTTTCATTTTGTTTGGTTTGGTTTTTGTAACATCGATGTCAGGCTATTTAAAATATTGTGAAAGTGACAGTAGTCAGTAAGTAATGAAGGATAATTCTTTTATCCCTTTCTGTTGTTCATACGATTAGTATTAAAAGAGAATGCTGCCCAAAATGGGACTGCCACCAACACAGAAAAGCCTATTGTCTTTCATTGTTACCTAATGACAAGTTTGTTTATTGGTGGAAAAAGTTTATCTGGCTACATTATATGGTATGTAAATTTGATTTTCTGAGCAACACATGCCATATATTTATAGCTGATTACTTTTGTATAATAATTATATTTCTGAAAATGTATTTTGAAAATAATTGAAAAATAATTACTCAATTTAAATCTTAGCAAGTTACTTTGTGGATATTGAAAAACTAATTCTAAAGTTTATTGAGAAAGGCAAAAGATCCAAAATCGTCAACACAGTATTAAAGAACAAAGTTGAAGGATTGCCACTACCTGACTTTAAGTCTTATTATAAAGCTGTAAGAATAAAGACAGTGTGGTAATGGTGAAAGGATAGACAAACAGAGGAAGAAAACAGAATGGAAAGTCTGTGAACAAACCTACTGAACTATAGTCAACTGATCTTTGTCAAATGAGTAAGGACATGTCTTTCCAATAAATGGTGCTGAGGCAAACTGGACATTCACATGCAAAATGACGAGTCTAGACACTGACATTATAAGCCAAAATGGATCATATACGCAAATGGAAAATCACAAACAGAAAATTTGTAGAAGAAAACAAGAAAATCTAAGCTGCTTGGAGTGTCATGGTGAGTTAGTAAATACAACACCAAAAGCAAGATCCATGAAAGAAAAAAGTTAAGTGTGACAATTAAAATTAAAAAGCTACTCCTCTGTGAAGGGCACTGCTGAGAGAATGAAATGACAAATCCCATACTGGGAGAAAATAGTTTACAAAACATCTTTTTGATAAAGGACTTGTATCCAATATGTACAAGCAACCCTTAAAACTAAACAATAAGAGATCAAACAACCCAATTTAAAAATTGGCAAAGGATCTGAATGGATACCACAGAAGATATACAAATGGCAAATAAGTGTATTAAAAGATGTTCATCATCATGCATCATTAAATAAATACAAATTTAAATAACAATGAGATACCAGCACACCACTATTAGAATGGCTAAAATCCAAAACACTGAGAATACCAATTCTGTCAAGGACGTGGGCCAACCTGAATTCTCATTCACTGATGGTGGGAATGCAAAATGATTCAGCCTCTTTGAAGGCATATGATTTATGCCTTCTTCTCTTACTATATGATTTATTAATTGCACTCCTTGGTATTTAACTCATTTACCAAAATGAGTTAAAAACTTATGTCTACACAAAAACCTGCATGTAAATATTTCTAGCAACTTTGTTCACAATTACCAAAACTTGGAAGCAACCAAGATATCTTTCTGTAGGTTCTTGAATAAATAAACTATAGTACATCTATACAATAGGATATTATTCAGTGCTAAAAATAAATGAACTATCAAAACACAAAAGACATGGAGAAACCTTTTATGCATATCGCTAAGTGAAAGAATCCAGTTCTAAGTGGCTACATGGTATACAATTCAAACTGTATAATACTCTGGAAAAGACAAACCTATAGGAAAAATGAAAAGATCAATACTTATCAAAGATACAGAGAGGGGAAGTAAGGATGCATAGGTGCATCACGGGGAATTTCAGAATAATACCGAAACTATTCTGTATAATAATATAATGGTGATATATGACATTATGCATTTGGTCAAATCCATATAACCGGACAGTACAATTTTTCTTCAAACTTAAAAGCGTTCTAAAAAATAATCTATTTAGTAAAAAATTATGGAACCTGAATTATTTATCATTAACTTATTATTGATTTAAAAATAATGTGGTTTATAGATAGCAGTTTTTTAATAGCATCTGATTTGCAAGATGTATAAATAGGTAAATTCTTAATTATATATAGTTTATATTAAAGGTAATGGACACGTCAATGAATACTTAAATATCTTAATTTTTTATTATTTAGTTTTTTTTAATTATAAGCTCCATGTTTTTTTTAATTTATTATTATTATACTTTAAGTTTTAGGGTACATGTGCACGACGTGCAGGTTTGTTACATATGTATACATGTGCCATGCTGGTGTGCTGCACACATTAACTCATCATTTAGCATTAGGTGTATCTCCTAATGCTATCCCTCCCGCCTCTCCCCAACCCACAACAGTCCCCGGTGTGTGATGTTCCCCTTCCTGTGTCCATGTGTTCTCATTGTTAAATTCCCACCTATGAGTGAGAACATGCGGTGTTTGGTTTTTTGTCCTTGCAATAGTTTGCTGAGAATGATGGTTTCCAGCTTCATCCATGTCCCTACAAAGGACATGTACTCATCATTTTTTATGGCTGCATAGTATTCCATGCTGTATATGTGCCACATTTTCTTAATCCAGTCTATCATTGATGGACATTTGGGTTGGTTCCAAGTCTTTGCCATTGTGAATAGTGCCGCTATAAACATACGTGTGCATGTGTCTTTTATAGCAGCATGATTTCTAGTCCTTTGGGTATATACCCAGTAATGGGATGGCTGGGTCAAATGGTATTTCTAGTTCTAGATCCCTGAGGAATCGCCACACTGACTTTCAAAATGGTTGAACTAGTTGACAATTCCACCAACAGTGTAAAAGTGTTCCTATTTCTCCACATCCTCTCCAGCAACTGTTGTTTCCTGACTTTTTAATGATCGCCATTCTAACTGGTGTGAGATGGTATCTCATTGTGGTTTTGATTTGCATTTCTCTGATGGCCAGTGATGATGAGCATTTTTTCTTGTGTTTTTTGGCTGCATAAATGTCTTCTTTTGAGAAGTGTCTGTTCATATCCTTCGCCCACTTTTTGATGGGGTTGTTTGTTTTCCTCCCTAACTCATTTTTTGAGGCCAGCATCATCCTGATACCAAAGCCGGGCAGAGACACAACCAAAAAAGAGAATTTTAGACCAATATCCTTGATGAACATTGATGCAAAAATCCTCAATAAAATACTGGCAAACCGAATGCAGCAGCACATCGAAAAGCTTATCCACCATGATCAAGTGGGCTTCATCCCTGGGATGCAAGGCTGGTTCAACATATGCAAATCAATAAACGTAATCCAGCATATAAACAGAACCAAAGACAAAAACCACATGATTATCTCAATAGATGCAGAAAATGCCTTTGACAAAATTCAGCAACCTTTCATGCTAAAAACTCTCAATAAATTAGGTATTGATGAGACGTATCTCAAAATAAGAAGAGCTATCTATGACAAACCCCAGCCAATATCATACTGAATGGGCAAAAACTGGAAGCATTCCCTTTGAAAACTGGCACAAGACAGGGATGCCCTCTCTCACCACTCCTATTCAACATAGTGATGGAAGTTCTGGCCAGGGCAATCAGGCAGGAGAAGGAAATAAAGGGCATTCAATTAGGAAAAGAGGAAGGCAAATTGTCCCTGTTTGCAGATGACATGATTGTATATCTAGAAAACCCCATCATCTCAGCCCAAAATCTCCTCAAGCTGATAAGCAACTTCAGCAAAATCTCAGGATACAAAATCAATGTACAAAAATCACAAGCATTCTTATACACCAATAACAGACAAACAGAGAGCCAAAGCATGAGTGAACTCCCATTCACAATTGCTTCAAAGAGAATAAAATACCTAGGAATCCAACTTACAAGGGATGTGAAGGACCTCTTCCAGGAGAACTACAAACCACTGCTCAATGAAATAAAAGAGGATACAAACAAATGGAAGAACATTCCATGTTCATGGGTAGGAAGAATCAATATCATGAAAATGGCCATACTGCCCAAGGTAATTTATAGATTCAATGCCATCCCCATCAAGCTACCAATGACTTTCTTCACAGAATTGGAAAAAACTACTTTAAAGTTCATATGGCACCAAAAAAGAGCCCACATTGCCAAGTCAATACTAAGCCAAAAGAACAAAGCTGGAGGCATCACGCTACCTGACTTCAAACTATACTACAAGGCTACAGTAACCAAAACAGCATGGTACTACTACCAAAACAGAGATACAGACCAATGGAACAGAACAGAGCCCTCAGAAATAATGCCACATATCTACAACTATCTGATCTCTGACAAACCTGACAAAAACATGCAATGGGGAAAGGATTCCCTATTTAATAAATGGTGCTGGGAAAACTGGCTGGCCATATGTAGAAAGCTGAAACTGGATCCCTTCCTTACACTTTATACAAAAATTAATTCAAGATGGATTAAAGACTTAAATGTTAGACCTAAAACCATAAAAACCCTAGAAGAAAACCTAGGCAATACCATTCAGGACATAGGCATGGGCAAGGACTTCATGTCTAAAACACCAAAAGCAATGGCAACAAAAGCCAAAATTGACAAATGGGATCTAATTAAACTAAAGAGCTTCTGCACAGCAAAAGAAACTACCATCAGAGTGAACAGGCAACCTACAGAGTGGGAGAAAATTTTTGCAACCTACTCATCTGACAAAGGGCTAATATCCAGAATCTACAATGAACTCAAACAAATTTACAAGCTCCATGTTTTTATAAAAATTTTAATTTATGATCAACATGCAAGAAATTGTTTTTTTAGTCTGATCCTTAGATTATAAATTGGCACACCACATCAAATAGTTTTAACTATGATCTTACAGATTTCAGTGATTTTAGTGGTGATAATTGATAACGTATTAGATCCATTCTTGGTGAAAGTATGGATTTATCAGTGTATTTTATCACCACCTTTAAAACAGAAACCATCAGCTTTTTGAGGAGTTCTATATGGTATTCAATAAGATAATATTGTTGCAAAGAAGATCTGATTTTCATAACAAAACTGAAATAAATGCAAAAGATACTTATTAAAAACTCAGTGTTTAAGGTAGTGTTAAGATTAATCAATCAAAGTAAATATAAACCAGAAAACGAAAGGTAGGAAAGTCCTTGATGATTAGCCTTTTAGTAAGGAGGAAGTAACAAAGGACAAAAAACAGTAAAGGGGAACAGAACACTGTAGCAAACTGTCACAGAAAAAGCCAACCAGATTACAAAATTGCAGAAGGTGTACTGAGAGAACTGAGAGGCAAAAATGAATACTTGACATTGTCATAATAGAAAATAGGAACTAAATAAATAAGAATTTAGGCCTTGTCAAATTATGCATTTTAAAATTTTTCTAGGCCGGGCACCGTGGCTCAGGCCTGTAATCCCAGCACTTTGGGAGGCCAAGGTGGGCAGATCACTTGAGGTCAGGAGTTCGAGACCAGCCTGGCCAACATGGCAAAACCCTGTCTCTACTAAAAATATAAAAATTAGCTGGGCGTGGTGGCAGGCACCTGTAATCCCAGCTACTTGGAGGCTGAGGCAGGAGAATCACTTGAACCCTGGAGGCAGAGGTTGCAGTGAACCAAGATGGAGCCACTGCACTCCAGCCTGGGCAACAGAGAGAGACTCCATCTCAAAATAAAATAAATTAAATTTTTTCATATGAAAATCCAAAGAATGATGTGCATAAGAAAGGTTTTATTTACTCTCATAGAGGAAATAGACATCTATACACATATTGTAAAATGAAATGAATGCTCACAAGTGATTCAGAAGCAGTAGTCAAGCTTTTTACTAGAATATGAGCTCCCAAAGAGAGGGTTGTATCTGTTTTGCTTTATCTAGACAAAGCTAGGAATATAGTAGGCATTCAAAAATCACTTTCTGAATAAAGTATCTTTAAGGCCAATTATCTAAGTAGATTTTAGTGTCTTCCCTATTCTAAGTCCTAGGTTCATTAGGGTAAAAAATGTTATAAGGAATAGTAATGGAAATCACATCTGAAGGGTGACATTGATACTTAAATTTAAAAAGTTAATCAGGTGCTTATAAATTTGACAAATATACAACAGGATTCTGAAATATCAAAAGCATTTTTGCTAAAGTAAAAAAAGTATTAGTAATATGTAAGAAAGTTTTTCTCAACACAATTGATGCTCAAAGGCATCCAGTCCATACAAAGTTTTAGTTAACCAGAAATTGATGAACACCCATTCCTTTAATTTACATTCTAATCTATATTTTTCATTTTTTCCTAGCACAAAAATCCACCTGCAGTGTTACAGAAATAAAATTATGGTGTCATACACCATTAAGTGGTTTTGTAACTGTCCAATGGGTTCTCCTTGTCTGCTGCCCAGATAGAGCTGATTTATCAAGACAGGGTAATTGCAATAGAGACAGAGTTTAATACACATAGAGCTGGCTAAAAGAGAGACCAGGATTTTGTTATTACTCAAGTCAGCCATTCTGAAAACTTGGAGAGTAGGTTTTTTTTAACATAGCTTGGCAGGAGAGGGTCCAGGGAACATGGAATGCCAGTTAGTTGTGCTGGAGATGAAATCATAGGGAGTCAAAGCTATTCTCGTGCACTGAGTCAATTTCTGGGTGGGGACCACAAGACCAGATGAACTAGTTTATTAGTCTGGGTGGTGCTGGCTGATTCATCGGAATACAGGCTCTGAAAAATATCTTGAAGGTAAATCCTAGGCTTTACAACAGCAATGTTAGCCACAGGAGTAATTAGGGAGATGAGGAATCTTGTGGTCTCTGGCTGCATGACTCCTGAGCCATAATTTCTAATCTTGTGGATAATTTGTTAATTTTACAGAGATGATCTTGTCCTCAAGTAAAGTGGGGTTCGTTTTGGGGAGGGGATGTTGTCATCTTTGTTTCAATGTTAAACTCTAAACTAAGTTCTTCTCAAAGTTAGTTCAACCTGCACCCAAGAATGAACAAGGGCAGCTTGGAAGTTAAAGGCAAGTTGAAGTCAGTTAGGTCAGATCACTTGCACTGTCATAATTTCTTCACTGTTATAATCTTTGCAAAGAGTGTTTCAATTAATGTTTTTGTCCTTTGGTTTTGAACATTTTAGTGTAGTAAGTTCTTAAAAGCATTTTACATCTAAAATTGTTATTAAGTAAATAGAATGTGTATGCTCTTTTTGTGCAGGTTGTTTTGAAGCATTTTTATTTATTTTTAATTGTGGGTAAATAATTGATATTTTGCAAAAATACATTTTGTTATACTGGTAAAAATCTACTTACTCTTTAAAAATAAAATTTATGTCTCTATTTCTTTTAATCAAAGCCAATGTTAATCACCATATAGGCGATCACAGTCATGTGAAAGAAATCTTAGATACTGATGAAATTTGAATGTAACAAAAGGGAGCAACTTGTCAAGAATAAATGGGGTGATGATGCCTGCAAAGAAAAAGAAGCAGGCAGATTTGTCACCATTTGTGTGCATGGTAGGTTAATTAGGTGAATTCATCATAACCTAGATTTGGTCATCAAGCAGGGCCACCCAAAAAGTAGGGTAGGTTCTCAGTTCACTCTAAAATGTTGGTTATAGCTTGAAGGAGATCTAAATAAGAAATCAAAAGATAATCTGTGTGTCAAAATAATTACATATATGGCTATAGTTGATCAGAATCAACATATCCAGAAAGCAAATGAATCATCCTAAAGGTGAATTTATAAAGACAGAATCAGAGCAAAAGGAAACAGAGTTTTAATGAAAAATAGTAATATAAAGAGTAGCTTTCAGTGATTGAGCACACACTATGTACTATTCTTTTTGAATTTATGTTCTCCAATCTTATCAGCAATTCTGTGAGATAGAAATTGTATTTCCTCACTTGAGTTTAAAGAATAGAGAAAACCAACCAACCTTTCTAATTCCAAAGCTCATACACATTAGAATAATTTTCTTAACAGCTCACACCGCTCTATTCTATGTTAATTATGTGGGACATTCTGTCTAAATATGTTAATATCTCTGAGATGGAACACTCAGAGGAGGAAGACTCAAGTATGCTAATGACTACTGTGCTACGGGTAGAGTTTCCATTTTGTAAAGTGAAGCCATTGGTATTTTTGCCTTAACTTAGTTTGGTCGCTTTGGGCAATCTTTTTTGAGATAATACTTTCTTGGCTCATTTCACTTGATCTCCCATTCAGTTGGTTGGTTAATCATTAGATTTGAATCAGCTACCAACTGGTGAGATAACTTAACCTTCTTTTGCTCATCCAGTTCTTCCAGCACATTAAAACCAGTTCCTGGTATTCAATTTCCCATTTGAAAGAAGTAGCATTGTGTGTATTTTCCTAACTGGATATTGGCTAATACAAATGCAATACAGGAAATATTATGTGACGTGAGAGCACAAATTTAAGAGGAACCAACTGGTACAACCTAGGGAGGAATAGAAAGCTTTCAGAATGAAAATGACACTGGAGCTGATTCTTGACGGCTGAAAGAATAATCTAGGGGAGAAGGTGTAGGAAAAAGAAGTCGATAAAGCTGAATAAAACAAAAACAGCTCAGCAAAGTAGGAACTGAATCAGTTCTTTCATCTCTAATCCCACAAAATACATTTATAAGATTTTTAACTGTGAACCATTTTGACTGTCAAAGATAGGAAGTTATTTCTATGTTATCAATAGCTATGTCCTCCTAGAAAGTGTTTCTTTCATCCTGCTGTTATTTTATTCATTACTTTTCTGTCAAATAATAGAAGGCTCTTTTTGATTTAAATACTAGGAAAGCATGGTGCATGAATATAACTTTCCTCAGGGCATGTCTTTACAAATTGCCTCTATTCAAAAGTATTAGGATTGGGGTTGTGAGAAAAGGAAGCTGTCAATCTAAACTAAAGGAAATGATTAAAACTAATAATATGAATGGATAATTTATAACATGCTTTTTCTAGGGAAAAATTACAGACCCTAGATATTTAATATTGTCTGGGGTTTTCCTCAAAACATCTTTGCATTTTTTTCATCATATCTTACTATTTCTCTTAGGAAATTATACACTGATTTTAATTGTAAAATCTCAAATATGAATATCACAATCTTCAAACTTTTTGACTGATTAATTTGACCAGGAACAAAATGTGTAAACTTACATATCTATAGACTCCAATCTTCATATTAAACATGATGATTTCCTAGTCCACCCATGATGGGTCATAGTGAGGACATTTTCCTATGTATATTCACAGTAGAGGGTAGCTTTTCTGTAGACAATAACATAAAAATTCATTTTACAGGGCCCCTTGCATGTGAGATACATAGAACAGACAGTATCTAATCTGCCATTGATGCAGGACTTATCTTAATCACTTTCACCAGCTGGAAACACCCAGCTGACAATACCCTTGCCCCACCTTGGCCTGCTGCTTTGGGGCTGGCTCAGCCCTGCCAACATTTCTGTCACATGGGGTGGCTACCATCTGCCAGGGGAGGGCAGAGGGCATGATGTTACAGCCTTCTCTGTACACAAGTTCAGTAGGTCCTGAGCTCTTGTCTCACATCCAAGAAGAATGAGGATATGCTGATGATCAAAGAGTGAGGAGGGTGGAGAATAATTTTATTTTATTTTATTTTAATTTTATTATTATTATACTTTAAGTTTTAGGGTACATGTGCACAATGTGCAGGTTAGTTACATATGTATACATGTGCCATGCTGGTGTGCTGCACCCATGAACTCGTCATTTAGCATTAGGTATATCTCCTAATGCTATCCGTCCCCCCTCCTGCCACCCCACACCAGTCCCCGGAGGGTGATGTTCCCCTTCCTGTGTCCATGTGTTCTCATTGTTCAGTTCCCACCTATGAGTGAGAACATGTGGTGTTTGGTTTTTTGTCCTTGCGATAATTTACTGAGAATGATGATTTCCAATTTCATCCATGTCCCTACAAAGGACATGAACTCATCATTTCTTATGGCTGCATAGTATTCCATGGTGTATATGGGCCACATTTTCTTAATCCAGTCTATCATTGTTGGACATTTGGGTGGGTTCCAAGTCTTTGCTATTGTGAATAGTGCCACAATAAACATATGTGTCCATGTGTCTTTATAGCAGCATGATTTCTAGTCCTTTGGGTATATACCCAGTAATGGGATGGCTGGGTCAAATGGTATTTCTAGCTCCAGATTCCCTGAGGAATCGCCACACTGACTTCCACAATGGTTGAACTAGTTTACAGTCCCACCAACAGTGTAAAAGTGTTCCTATTTCTCCACATCCTCTCCAGCACCTGTTGTTTCCTGACTTTTTAATGATTGCCATTCTAACTGGTGTGAGATGGTATCTCATTGTGTTTTGATTTGCATTTCTCTGATGGCCAGTGATGATGAGCATTTTTTCATGTGTTTTTTGGCTGCATAAATGTCTTCTTTTGAGAAGTGTCTGTTCATGTCCTTGGCCCACTTTTTGATGGGGTTCTTTGTTTTTTTTCTTGTAAATTTGTTTGAGTTCATTGTAGATTCTGGATATTTTTGCAAAAATGTTCTCCCATTTTGTAGGTTGCCTGTTCACTCTGATGGTAGTTTCTTTTGCTGTGCAGAAGCTCTTTAGTTTAATTAGATCCCATTTGTCAATTTTATCTTTTGTTGCCATTGCTTTTGGTGTTTTAGACATGAAGTCCTTGCCCATGCCTATGTCCTGAATGGTAATGCCTAGGTTTTCTTCTAGGGTTTTTATGGTTTTAGGTCTAATGTTTAAGTCTTTAATCCATCTTGAATTAATTTTTGTATGAGGTGTAAGGAAGGGATCCAGTTTCAGCTTTCTACATATGGCTAGCCAGTTTTCCCAGCACCATTTATTAAATAGGGAATCCTTTCCCCATTGCTTGTTTTTCTCAGGTTTGTCAAAGATCAGATAGTTGTAGATATGCGGCGTTATTTCTGAGGGCTCAGTTCTGTTCCATTGATCTGTATGTCTATTTTGGTACCAGTACCATGCTATAATAATTTTATTGAGCAACGGAACAGCTCTCGGGGAGAGGGCACACAGGAGTGGTCCCCCACTCCTGCAATCAGGTCGTTTCTCCCCCAGGATGGCTGAGTCTGGAGTTTTTGTAGGCACAGGATGGGGGTGGGGCAGGCCATAGGTAGTCTTGGAAAAAGCAACATTCAATTGATTAAAAAGTATAATTCAGAAATAACCAAATGGAAAAGGGCAGGAAAACAGAAACAGAATTTCTCACTCCAGGTTGTGTTTTTCATCAGGAACCAGCAGTCTGGTTTTTCAGTCTTCAGGCTGTTTTTGGCTTGAAGGTAGGGTTTTACCAGGGAAGTGCCCCTATCTGCCTAGGCATTTGTCTGTCTCCTGCCACTATTAATTTTCCCCTATCAAGAGGTACACTGCCCTTAGGAAAAGGATGGTGATCACTCTTATCTGCTTTCTGCTGACAGGTAAGCTGTTTTGGAAAGAGAGCAGTCAGATCTCTCTCATATGCCTATCTAAGGGTCTCTGGTAAATGGCAGCCATAATATGAGGCTCCAGTTGCATGAACATTTGGAGTTTGATGGCCTGAAGGCAAGAAGAGACAAACCAGATTATTAGAAGACATGTATCAAAATGAAACAAGGGGGTAAAGACAGCTCAAAATTCCCAAGGCTGCTGACATGCCCAGATAACTGGTGGATATAGTTATGCCTGCTAAAAGGTGGTTTCAGGTGAAGATAAGACACTTGTTGGGAACTGGAATAAAGGTGATACGCAAAGAGACTGGTGGCATTTTGTTCCTGCTCTACAGATCCGTGAAACTTTGAACTTGAAAGAGATGATTTAGATTATCTGGCAGAAGAAATTTCTAAGCAGCAAAGTGTTCAAGAGGAAGCAGAGCATAAAAGTTTTGAAAATTTGCAGCCTGACAAAGCAGTAGAAAAGAAAAACCAATTTTCTGGGAAGGAATTCAAGCTGGCTGCAGAAATTTGCATAAGTAACAAGGACCCAAATGTTAACCACCAAGACAAGGGGGAAAATGACTCCAGTGCACATCAGAGATCTTCATAGCAGCCACTACTATCACAGACCTGGAGGCCTAGGAAAGCAAAATGGTTTTGTGGGCTGGGCCCAGAGCCTCCTGCTCTGTGCAACCTTGAGACATGGTGCCCTCTGTCCCAGCTGCTTCAACTCCAGCTGTGGCTAAAAGGGGCCAACACACAGTTGAGGCTGTTACTTCAGAGGGTGCAAGCCCAAACCCCTGGTGGCTTCATGTGGTGTTGGGGCTATGGGTACACTGAGGTCAAGAATTGAGATCTGGAAACCTTTTCTTAGATTTCAGAGTATGTGTGGGAACCCCTAGATGTCCAGGAAGAAGTTTGCTGCAGTGACAGAGCCTTCATGCAGAGCGTCTGCTAAGGCAGTGCAGAAGGGAAATGTGGTGTTGGAGCCCCCACTCAGAGTCCCCACTGGGGCACTGCCTATTGGAGCTATGAGAAGGGGGTCACCATACTCCATACCCCACAATGGTAGATTCACTGACAACTTGCACCGTGCCCATGGATAAGCTACAGACACTCAATGCTAGTCAATGAAAGCAGCAGAGAGTGGGCTATACCCTACAAAGCCACAGGAGTGGGGCTGCCCAAGGCTGTGGAAGCCCACCTCTTGCATCATCGTGACCTGGATATGTGACATGGAGTCAAAGGGAGATCATTTTGGAGCTTTAAGATTTGGAAGCCTTACTGGATTTCTGACTTGCATGGAGCCTGTAGCCCCTTTTTTGGCAAATTTCTCCCATTTGAAACAGGTGTATTTACCCAATGCCTTCACCTCCACTGTATCTAGAAAGTAATTAACTTGCTTTTGATTTTACAGGCTCAATGGTGGAAGGGAATTGCCTTGTCTCAGACAAGATCTTGGACTTGGACTTTTGGGTTAATGCTGGAATGAGTTGAGTCTTTCGGAGACTATTGGAAGGGCATGATTGTGTTTTGAATTGGAGGACATGAGATTTGGTAGGGGCCAGGGGAAGATATGATATTGTTAGGTTCTGTGTCCCCACCTAAATCTCACCTTGGATTGTAATAATCCCTATGTGTCAAGGGTGGGGCCAGGTGGAGATAATTGAATCATGGGGGCAGTTTCTCTCATGTTATTCTCGTGATAGTGAGTGAGTTCTATGAGGTCTGATGGCTTTTATAAGGAGCTTTCCCCTTCACTCAGTGCTCATTCTCTCTTCTGCTTCCCTGTAAAGAAGTGCCTTCTGCCATGATTGTAAGTTTCCTGAGGCCTCACCAGCAATACAGAACTATGGATCAATTAAACGTCTTCCTTTATAAACTACCCAGTCTTGGGTATGGCTTTATTAACATCTTGAGAACAGACTAATCCACAGGGTTAGTCTAAAATACAGATAAAAACTTAAACTACTAATGAGACTAGAATTTAATGACTAGTCTATAAGTTTTGAAACACAAGTTGTCTCTCTCCAGTCTTTATTTTTTTAAAAAAAAAAAATTATGACAGAACTGAGTTGTTTGCAAAATAAAGTTTAGTCTTATACTTGGCCTGATTAATTGCATAAAGTGCAGCAAGAATAATTATTTTCCCATAGGCTTTTCTAGATTGGCTTTGAGGGAACTCTGTTTCACAATGAATCTCAGATAAGACCTTTTAAAGCCAAGCCCAGCAATGGGTTTGTATGCTGAAATATCTGTGAGTCAGGTAAATTCCTCTCTTCCTGAGGTCCCAAGATAGCTTGAGGTTCCTAGACCTGTTAGAATGTGACATTCTTTACTCATCGCAGGTCAAGAACCCCATACAGGGACTTTGTAGACAATGCATGAGGCCAGTTTTCCCAAGGGATTTATATTGGTTCTGTAAGTTAAGCTTAATTCCCTGAAGGAGAGCACACCATTCTAGTCAAACCCTTGATAAAACAATTTTTTTTTGTCCAATTGTGTCCTGCTGCAAAAGAAAATGGATTCTTATTGTACTTATGCAAATAACTATATTGCCATTAGTTAAGAATACTCACAAATAGTTTCCAAATTCTGGAGAAACCAGGTAAGGAGAAACAACTACCTTCAAATTTTATTCACAGGAATATACTTTACTCAATTTTTAAAAGTTGCAGATAGCTCAAATTTTCCTTGACTCTGAAAAATAAAACAAGGTTCAACAATATTTTAAACAAAAAGTTAAAAAGGATTACTTCAGTTTTCTATTTAGTTCATTCCACTTACTTTTGCTCTGCTTGATATTCATGAACATCACAGCTCTTCATGAGTCCTGTACATTTTTCCTCTATGCCATTATCACAACATCCAAAGTTATCAGAAACCTGCATTTGACAGCACCTGCTGAAGTCCTAGAGCTGATTATAAACCATCTTTTGTAAAGGATCAAGCAAGACAGCAATTGTCTGTGAGTTACAAAATGTCCAGAGGAGTTACAGTCAAAAACATGATTGACAAAGAAATTAGGTTGTATCTGCGATTTACAATAACTTAACATTATATCCTTTATTATGATTGGTAGCATATACACAGACATTAGAATTTTATAAATGCCATAAAATTTTGAAACATATATTAATACTCACTAAAATATAACTTGAAGAAGATTAAACCTTATTTTTATTTTGGCAATCCCATGTAACTCAGCATGTGAAATAGCCCTGTTCACCTCTCTTTTGGATGCTCCAGGGGCCTCTGTAGCATTCAAAAGTTTAGGGGTCAGAAAAAACACAACTTTTGAAGCTGAAGTTTAATTTGTAGAAGCCTGTTAAATATTTTAGAGATTTAAACACTTCATATTATTAAATAGAACTCCAGATTACCTTAAGTTTTTTATTTAGCCAAAATATGACTCAAATATTTTAAAACAAGGCAAAAACCTTTACTCATTAAGACAGAAGACTTAACTTTCCAAACAATTTGTTTCTTGTTATCTTCTTTTTTGGTAGTTCATTCACAAGGCAAACAAAAATCATTCATTATCCTTTAGTATTACATAAAAATCTTGTTCAAGGGAGAGAAAGCCAAATTTCACCCTTGCATTAGTCTACTAACAATCTTAACCCCAATTTTTAAATGAAACCTTATAGATAATTCTATCCAATCTTAATCAGTTTGACCATGAGGTGAGATTACTATAAACCTTTTATAATCCTTTGCAAATTTTTGTTAAAAAGGACATCAGTGCCTTAAGAAAACCTTGTGTTTTTATTTCAATGCTCAATTTACAGAAAAACCATATAATACTCTTTTGAATCTTGTCAATATGTTCACATAAAGAATTTATTTGCTAAGATTAATTTTTACAAATCTTTCATAAATTTTTTAAACATTCAGCTTTATCTTATCTAATTTAAGACAATCCTTTAACCCTCTAACTAGGCAAAAATTTACATTGTCATGTCTTTTTATAATCTTTTAGTAAAATCACATTTAACTTTCCTTACATACCTTGAATGTAAATCTATTTTCAGTAGTCTCAGTATAACAATTACATGTAATAATGGTAACTCTTAGCAATTTTTACTTTTAATGTAAAACCTGGTAAGTTATTTTAATTACGTACTAGGTGCATATAAGGTCTGACTCTTTCCAGCAAAGTTGGGGGCGTGGTTAGTTTCATATGTCTCCAGGCCTTACCAAACTGTAAAGCAGGCAAATTGAACAATTTTCAAAAGCCAAAGAAGCAGTTTGTGACTTTAAAGCATTTAGCAAACCTAATATCTGAACATAATTTAGACCACAATTTTACATTTTGAAAACATTTGTATTTTACCAATAATCTTTAATACTGTTTTTATTTTTCAAATAGTAAAGTCATGTGAACTGAAAGACATTACAGCTTGCCTTTTCTTTAAAAATATTTGAGCTAAGCACTTATTTTTCTGCATGCCAATTACTTAGAGCTCTTTTGTATATGAACATCACACACATAAACCATATATGCAGACAGGCAGAAGAAGATCCAGTAATTGTAAGATTTTTACTTGCCAATCTCTTAATTGAATTATTGGCCTCATGGTGAAGCCTTTCAAGAAATAGGACTAGGAAAACATTCAGTTTTTAGGGTTTAATAATCAGGTATAGCTGGAAGACAAAAACAGATTTTTAGAGGGATCTATCCACTTTTAATTCTTGGGGTTCCATGAGGAAAACAGATATTTTTTTCCAAAATTGGGTATGTGGTGCCTTCTTTGTTTCTCCCAAGGAGTCCCAAGCTATCAGAAGTTACCTTAGGGCCTCTCGTGTGTGCATTAAAAGTGAATAAAGATAATTCAATTGACTGAGAAGAAAAAACCCTTTTTCCAGCAAAACAAGATCCAAGAAGATTAAAAAAAAAAAGACATAAAGGCCCTGTAAATATATCTATAGCTTGGATATCCATATTTAATGAAGCTGAATTTTAAACATAGCACTCTTTTAAAAAATTATTTTAAATCCATTATTACACGACTTTAGCCACGCCAAGTGGCCAATATTTCTGGCTTTTGAACTTAACCAAAAGTAACCTCACAGATGAAACCAATAAGCGTTAACTATGGTTATGACTTAACTGCGAGTGTATGAGGTATTTTCAAAGAGGTGATAAGGAGTTTTTACAATATCTAGAATCTTCAATGGTAGCTCAGAGAAAGAAAGATTTAAGAAAGGATTCTAGAAGTCGTTCATGGAAGGGAAGCGAATCAGCAAATGTCACACAGATATTAACCAGAAAGTACTCATTTCCTAAGCCTGGGTTGAACCCAGGCTGTCATTGTAAAATGGCAGAGATCAAAAGAAAGGACTGCCACATGGTTACAAGGTCAAGCTCCCGAGGATGTAAAACAAGGTGGAGAACTCATCCAGTTTGTTTGTTTTTTCCTTCAGAGACCTGCAGAAAAGTTGTTACTAACCAGTTTGCTAGGCTGGCTTGAACAGTGAGCTTATGGGGTCCTAGGCCAGCATTCTATCCTAAGGTAACCCTCTTTCTGATAGAACCATAAAGAAAGACACACAAAGCGCACCAGATTGGCTATAGCATAAGACTAGCCTCACAAATTCTTATTTCCATTAATCAAAACTTTACAGAGGATGTACACAGTGATTTTTACCATTCCCACAACCAGTTTGCACAGAGAGAGAGAGGCCAGAAGTCTGACTGGTAAGAGCTTTTACTCTTTTGTCAGCATGTCAGGCTGCTGGGTTTCCTTCCCCTGAGCTGTGGAGCCCTTTTGACCCTGGAGTCCTGTAAAGGGGGAATAGACAAATAGGTTTTATTTGCATACTGTAAAAGTTGTCCCTCCTCAAGAGACTTGTGTAGTTAGATCTGTAATTTCTTCCTGATTCATTTTTAAACCAAACAGTTTAAGGTTTGGGGAAATTAAATTTTTCTCAGTTTGGGGAATACATCCCAGGGGAGGGTCCTGTGTTATGGACACACAATTACTCATCCACAAAGAGAGGATGGAGAAGGAAACAGGAGAAATTGGGCATTTTTTTCCACAGGAGTCCCAATGATTCAGGATGCATTCAAGAGAAATACAGACCGACGATGGTTGGTTACCCATCTGGAAATAGGGGAAAAATATATTCTGTAGTTTGTTTCTCTTCCCAGTGAATACACAGAGTGTGTGAGAGAGAGAGACAAAAAAGTGTCCCCGTTTTGTCTTCCGCACTTATATTTCTGAGTCCTGGCAACCTCGGTGGGCACCACTTGTGGGTGCCAATGTGGTTTTCACCCATATAACAGGGAGACCAACAGGGTAGGATTCATCTGCACTCACCTATGCACTGGCCTATCCTCCCCGCTGTCAGTAACGTTTGAGTTCCCTAGATCTCATCTATGCCATGTATACGAGCATGATCTCCATCCACGAAACGGGGCAGGGGGACTGGGGGGGCACTAATCAGCTGGAATTAGTCATACTCACGTGTACTGTGCCCCTTGACTTCTGTTGTCATCTGCCTCTGGATCCCTCAAATCCAGTTTTCCTTTCTAGGGCTTCAACTGGAAGCTTGGGATTGAGTTTGGGACAAAAAAAAAAAACCTCAGGAGGGTACATGGACTCATTAAGATAAGTCCCAGGTGGCCCTTGCCAGACTGCAGTCAACAGCCAGGAGGGCTGCTCTTTCACTGCTTTCTTACCATAAGCCAAAAGCTAAGGTGAAAACTGTGGAACTGAATCCTCCTCAAACAAGGGAGAGAACAGGGAGTCCCTTAGAATTTGGGACCTGACCTAGGAACATGTCTTCCAGAAAAAAAAAAAAAGAAACGTAGAAAAGTTTTCTGTATTCACAGGGCTGTGTTAACTCCTAGCATGGTGGAGAAAAGAAGTAAAAACTTCTTTTAATGCAGGGAGGGGAAGATGCCTGGGGAAAAAGTCTCTTGCTCTCATGCAAATTGGTTCCTTCAACAGGGAAAAAAAAAAACAAACAACTTGTAATCACTGACTCCTCCCTGCTTCTGAGAATAGATGAAAACTGCACTATTCTGAATTAAATTGTTGATGACTGTTCTGAATTACATATTTTGATGACTATAACTGGATAGTTATAGAAATATAACTATCCAGTTATGTCTCTAGTTTGCAACAACACCCCAACATTGTCAAAGAAAAGATAGGTGCCATGACGCCCTAAAATAAAGAAGGAAAATGCCATAAAAAAGACTAGATTATACTGAAACTGACATTCCCAACCCCTGAGAGCCAAGAGGGTGGTGGTGGCAGTGTCCTCTCCTGCATCCTGTCCTCTGTAGTAGTGCTATTCACTCTTAACTAGCTAATCAGAGATTTGGTCCTTCATATGTCTTTAGTAAAAAGTCTGAGGACAAGAAGCCTTAGAAAACAATGAAGAGTGTAGTTCCACATTTACTCACCCTTCAGGGATCCCAGATGATCCCCCAGAAAATGACACAGGATTCTTCTCCATCACTTTTGCCAGCCAGAAACACCTGGCCAGATGCTCCCTTGCTGCACCTCGGCCCAAGGCATCAAGGCAGGCAAAACCCTGCCAGTGTTTCTGTCACATGGTGTGTCTGCCCTCCTCCAGCAGAGGGCAGAGGGCCACGATGTTATAGCCTTTTCTATACACATATTCAGTGTGTCCCAAGCTCTTGTCTCATGTCCAAGAAAAATGAGGATATTCTGACTCAAAGAGTCAGGAGGGTAGAGAATAATTGTATTGATTGACAGAATAACTTTCAGCAGAGGGGAAATGGATGGTCCCCCACTCCCATGCTTGGGTGGTTTCTCCCCCAGGGTGGCTGAATCTGGGGTTTTTATAGGCACAGGATGGGGGAGGGGCGGGCTGTAGGTAATATGGGAAAAGGAAACATTTGATTCATCAAGCATTATTCAGAAAGAACCAACCAGGAAAGGGCAAGAAAACAGGAAAAGAAGTTCTCACTCTGTGTCACATTTTTCATCCAGAATGAACACTTGGGTGTTTCAGCCTTCTGGCTGTTTTTGGCTTGAAGGTGGTGGGGTTTCATTGCAGACCTGCCCATATCTGCCTAGGCATTTGTCTGCTTCCTGCCACTATGACCATTAAGACTCTCTTCTCTGTCCACTCTTTTGTCTCAAGGGAGACAGGCCTTCCTGGTGTGTAGGTGTTTATATTTCACAGGCCATCCCACACAGCTGTCAAGGGTTAATTCCTCTGTAAATCTTATTGGATTCATCACTTTTCATTTTCATCATATTATTATCACTTTTGCTTCTACAAAGCTTTTTTGTCAGCATCAAAAAAAAATTAGAAAAAGGTACATTAAGATGGGGAGATGTTAAGTGACTTGTTGGTTATTCAGCTAGTGGCAAAGCAATGGTTAGCACCCAATCCTGACTTTCTGAGACACTCATAATCCACAGAAATCCTAAACCTTTTGTCTACTACCAGGCATATAAACAGAACCTTACTGTTATCTCATAAATATGTACTATCATTTACAGTTTCATTATTAATTTTACTCTTCTCAAGTACCAAAACACCACCTCCCCCTGACAAATGAACTTATGCTTTTTATGTTCTACCTGTGAGTACTAGGATCATCAATCATATCTACAGCTTCCCCTCAGTTGATTTATGGATAGTTTGTATTTTCACTGTATCTGTCTCACACCTTTTTGAAAAGGGAACATTGTATGGCTACTTTTATGTGATTAACTCCTCCATCAATTTATGTGTCAATGATTGCCTTCCTGTAATGGATTCAATTTCTCTGTCCCCATTGTTTCTTTCTCACTAGAGAAGTTCTTTAAAATTCTATGAAAATGAAACTGTGCTAAATTAAAAATCTACTCATGATAATAGGAGACACTCAAAATTATGGGTTTCAGTTTCAGGCTTCTCACCATGTCCTCAGATTGTACTCCCTTTCTAGCCCTTCTGCAGCAAATAAACCTTTGCCATCAGTTCACCAAAAGCACTCATGAGAGGAAAAATGGCATATCACTAAATATAGAGTTCTTTGTCACTTCTTGATTTCAAATTTACAACTAATACTCAACACTTTAATTAAATCTTTCTTTTCTCTTCTTCCTAAAACATACATGCAAATTAAAAAAAAAATCTTGACCCTATTTCCTGTCTCTCTTACTCTTCTTCTGCCTTCTGTATGCACATGCAAGAAATCTATTTTCATCTGTTTTATTTCTCAGTTTTACATATGGGAATTCATCTTCTAGTCATCTAATATCAATAATTCCCAAATCTAGATCTCTAGTTTTATAGATAGTTTTATTTTGCATATTAATTTTTTCTGCTATCTGTTTAACAGCATATTCAAAAACTAACTCATTATCTCTTTATTATAAAATGCATTTTTCCTTTTACTATCATTATCTAAAAGTTCATTAATAATATGCTAGAATACTTTTTATTTTTAAAGCAAATGATCACTGAAATTGTCTTGCTCAGTATTACAATTTAAACAAATAATCAAATGATCATTGTGTGACTCATGAATAAGTCATCTCCATCAGCACATGGAATAAATAGTTGGAAACGTGGAAGAAGTGCAACATGAAGCAAAATACAAATTGAATCAATCAGGAAGCATTCAGAAAGCATTAAATAATCAGGCAGATGAGGGAGTAAATGGCAGGGGATAACTGCTTTTCTGACTTTGGCATGGCTGACCATTAGACCCTCTTATGAAGTGTAAATGGGACCCACTTATAGGTAGATAGGAATGAACCTACAGCCTGGATGGGTACATTCTCTTAATTATAGGCATAAAAAAGAAGAGTGTCTTGAATAAAAATTGTTTACAACAAATTATATAGGAAATACAGTGCTGTAGTAGATACCTCTGGTGCCTATGACATGCCCCCTCAGCCCACCTCAGATGCAGCCACAGCTGTTGTGAACTGTTATGAGGAGCTCAGACTCATTTCCTGCTGCCAATGACTCACCTAGTGTCAACTCCGCCCAACTTTCTGCATTCTGTTGCCAGGTCTTCTTCAGTGGCAATTTCATCTGGAAGGGCAGGGGCTTATCATCCTCAAGGCAACCTTTAACTAACAGTTACTGCAGACAGTGGGAAAAGGCATTAGCTTTTTAGGTGAACAATCTAAAAAGCATCCTCTATGATTGTCAGAAGTCTCATGCTGCCTACAGATGACATAACAATAATAGACCTTAAGTTAGCTTTTCCTCTTTTCCTGTCTCATGCTCTAAAATCTGTTATTCCATAGATCATCTCCCCAAAAAACATCTGTATGTATGCAAGTTCTTTTTTCTGTCCATTTTTGATAACCCTAAATTAAGACAAGCACATTTTGATATTTTTTTTTCCTAACTCGATAATAAATGTGTAATTACATTTATGCAAGAATTATTTTCTTCCAGGCTAACCCTGTTAATTTGTCTTTCAAATTCCCAAAATTTTATTTTTGTCTGTTCGTAGTCTTCAGCATGTGGATGAGAATGTGACATTTTTTCTTTAGTGCTCTTATTTAGTATATTTTGGTATTCGTTTATTCACTTGCTTCAGCAACAATCTTTAATTAACAAAAACCCTTAATTGAATTCCACAATATGCTTTAGTTTCCAACAATAGCCTCTGCAGTTGTTGATCAATCTCTTTCTCTCTGAACTGCAAGGCTTTTCACTGCACTTATGTGTCTTTTACAGATTGCATTTGTCTCTGTCATGATCAGTATATTGCTCAAGCAGTGGAAATAAGAAAAGAATTATAAATATTATCCAATGAGAGACTCACTTCTTCTGTGGCCTGAATGGAAAATGTACTCTCATTGTGTAGCACCATGCCTTTGTGTGTAAAAAATCAATAACTATTTCTTGGAAAGAGGATCATCTAGGTTCACCCCCTGGGCTCGGAAAAGGAAACTTAAGTTATTACACCTAATAAGCTCTGTGGGCTTAGATATGTAAATCTTCTCTTGCTCTCCACTTGTACATCTATACAATAACATTATCTTGGTGATTTTACGGTTGTCTCCAGCTAGAAAAATGTCTATGTACAAAAAAAATGCCTTTTTCTTTATATTATTTCCCTCTTTTATAGAAAACAAAGATTTTTGTTTAAACAACCTCTATTTTTACTGCTTTTTTTAAAAAATTATACTTTAAGTTTCAGGGTACATGTGCATAATGTGCAGGTTTGTTACATATGTATACATGTGCCATGTTGGTGTGCTGCACCCATTAACTCATCATTTAACATTAGGTATATCTCCTAATGCTATCCATCCCCCATCCACCTACCCCACAACAGGCCCCAGTGTGTGATGTTCCCCTTCCTGTGTCCATGTGTTCTCATTGTTCAATTCCCACCTATGAGGATGTTTTTGTCTTTCAACAATGGAACCTCCTCTTCATGTCCAGACACCAGGATAACTTTTTTCCAGCTAGTCCAAAGATCTGTTGTTGTTTCATAAAACCACACAGTGGCTCATAAACTAAGGCAGCTTGCTTGTAAAGATTTCAGCTAGATAAGCATCCTATTTGGCACCAACTATTCATCTCTCAAACTAGGTTTGTTTACCTAGTTTCCTATCTCAGCTATAACACCTATACTTAATTTCTAGTGAATGTTAATTTATATCTCACAGCCCAACCTGATGTATTATCTCAGCAGCTTGCCAGAATGAATTTTCAGTTTCTTTAACACATTGAATTAAATCTACTGTCACTGAGAAATTTACTTTTATTTAAACATGTATTACTATTAATATATCTCTTAGAATTTTCTGTTAGAGGTCACACTTATTGGACAGTTGCAAAAAACATAGAGGTTTAATACCAAACCAGACAAAGTTCAAATCCAAATTCCCACTTTTATTAACTCCATGAAATTTTATCTCTTTGAGTTTCTAATTATTTCCTGCAATACAGGTAAAATATTTACTCAGAAGGCTTAAAAATAAAATGATACAGTATTTATAAAACAAGTAACAAAAGACCTAGTACGTGACATGTCCTCAACAAATATTACTTCCTATAAAATAATAAATGTAGTCTAATTCCAAGGATTCCAAAAGATAAATACAATTGATTCACATCAGTTATAGGAGATCGAGAAATATGTCTTTGTCTTTGGAGCCATTGTATAGTAGGGAAAATAATGCAAGTCCTGCATTCAGAGGTAGAATCATTCCCCTGTTTGGCACATACTAGGTGCATGCCCACTGGCAAGTTGTATAGAGACAAATGCAATCTGTAAAAGACACATAAGTGCAGTGAAAAGCCTTGCAGTTCAGCAAGCCTTTATGTTTCTTGGTGAAATAGGTTCCTTATTATAGAACTGTTTTGAGGGGAACATTAGATCCAATAACAAACACAAAATGCCAAACAAAGTACCAGGCAGGGAGTTGATCCTCAAGCCACAGTAGCTAATAATAACTAAATAAGTTGTTAGCACCTTTCAATACAGATGAGTTTAAAAGTACGTCCTGTTGAAAGGCCAAGAGGTAGTTTACCTGTCAGCGTGTCTAAATATATTAGTGCAATATGGGCATTGTGCAAATGGATCCAAGATTGACTCCAGTCTTAAATACATTTCTTCCTTGTGAAAGAATTGTTTTTCAAATATACAGGCTTGTGTGTTGTTACAGAATGTTTCTCATATCTCTGAGGATATTTCTAAATTAATCAATTGGTATTGTTTGGGAAAAGATTAGATATATTTATCTTCTAGAGGACCCCTGTAATGTTTCAGTTTCCAACTTTATTAAACTAATGCCAATTCTATTTATCAACTTAAATGTCCTTTCTTCTAGGAAGTCTTCCCTTACTTAGGTGAGGTGTTCCTACTTTGGCTCTAGGGAAGTCTAGGGGAGCAAAGGTCACAGATGCCAGTGTCTATGTTCCATTAAGCACCAAAATTGGTGATTCTCAGGCATTGCTTTAGAAACTACTTAGCTCCCTGCCTGAGCCCTCTGATCATGTATATGCCTGAAAATAAATCAACAGAATTGTGGTGTCTTCTTCTCTCCAAATTTCAAATCTCACCTTAGTGACTCTCATAAGAGGAAGCAAAAAGAAACGCTTATATTGTCCCTGGCTTGTACCCTACAATACAACAGAGATCTGAGAAGAAGCTCGTGGCAATAGTGAGTTAACAATCACAGACTTTACCAGAATAAAGATAAAGAAAAAGATGTTCCCTTAATCATTCTATTTTCCTCTTTTGGGTCCATGACTACCAGATAGCTAGAATTGCTGTGTTGAATAAATCAAGAGGATGAAATAAAATACAATTATAAAGTGTTTATTTGAGTTGCACATGCATGAGCTATACAAGCAACTATCTGATTACTCTGCAGGTTGTCAGATGTAATGCAGAGATGGTGCAGACTGTGTTCAGGACTTTAGCTGCTCAGGAAGATTTCTTAGTACTAAATTGTCCAATCGGCATGCTTTTTTATATATTCATGTGACTAATAACTGAGGTCGTGGAATAATTAAATACCTATGTTGAATAAATAGCATATGAAGATAAGCCAGAAAAAGAATATTTTCAAAGCAGAAGGAGGTTTACCATGTTTATCTACTTTAGCATCAGCATTTAGATAATTAGAATTCTATAGGAAGGGATACCTGAAAGTTTTTAATTTTTCTCCTTTCTTTTCCTTTTCCTTTTTTCTTTTAAAAAAATTCTTTCTTTTTATCTCCTTTTTAAAAAGTATTCTTTTAAAATTGAATATAGTGTATGTGTAGTATACAAATCTTAAACATATAACTCAATGAAGTTTATACATGTTTGTAACCATTTAACCACTACTCACATTGAGATATAGAATGTTTTCATCAACAAAAAATGACTCCTCCTGTTCCAACTCACCCACTACATTCCAGAGGTAATTCCTGTTCTCATTTTTTATTATCAGAGATTAGTGTTTTCTGTCATTGAGATACATGGTGAATTATATAAATATTCTCTTTGTGTTTCTGTTGTTTCATTCAACGTATCTGTGAGATTCAGCAATGTTGTTGTGTGTTATCAGTAGCTTGTTTATTTTTATTTTTATATAGAACTCTATTATGTAAATCTATTACACGTCACCTAAACATTCTTTAGTTACTAGTTTTTAAAGTTGTTTCCACATTTTGGAATTATGAGAAGCTGCTATGAGCACTCTAACATATACTTTTGATTGACATACACACTCTTAACTATATAATCTAGGAGTAAAATGTTGGGTCATAGTGTTGGCTTGTGTTTACTATAAATGGATATAAGGCCGGAAGTGGTGCCTCATCCTGTAATCCTAGCAATTTGGAAGGCTGAGGCAGTCGAATCACTTGAGTCCAGAAGTTTGAAACCAGCCTGGGCAACATGGCAAAACTTCATCTCTACAAAAAATACAAAAATTAGCTAGGCGTGGTGCCTAACACCTGTAGTCCCTATTATTCAGGAGACAGATGGGAGGATCGCCTAAGCCTGGGGAGCTGAAGACTGCAGTGAGCAGTGATCATGATCGCAGCACTGCACTCCATCCTGAGTGACTAGTAAGACCCTGTCTGAAAAAAAAAAAAAAAAAAAAAAGATGTAACACTCTTTTCCAAAGTGATTTACCTCAGAAAATAGAAGAGTTCCACTTCCTGTACATTCTCTCCAGCACTTGGAGTCCACGTATTTCCAATATAGTCATTGAATTAGTGGTGTATTATTACAATAATGTCATTTCTTGTTATTACTATTAAATTTATATACAATTAAATAGATATTTTGGGTATATAGTTCTATGAATCTAAGTTATATATAGATTTTGTAACCACCATTACAATCAGGATACAGAAGCATTACACCAGCAGAAAATGTTCCCTCATGCTGCCTTTTGAAGTCAAACACTCCCTTAGGATAATGTTTGGCCTTCAGTTGCATCAATGTTACTGCAAAGGATGTGATTTCATTCTTTTTATGGCTGTGTAGTATTTCATATGTGCCACATTTTCCTTATTCAATCCACTGTTCATGGCCATTTAGGTTGATTCATGTCTTTGCTATTTTGAAGAGTGACAGGATGAACATGAGAATTTATGGGTCTTTTTGGTAAAAAAAAATTATTTTCCTTTAGGTATACATACACTAAATAATGGGGTGGCTGGGTAAATAGTTGTTCTATTTTTAATTCTTTAAAAAATTTCCAAACTGCTTTCCACAGTGACAGAGCTAATTTACACTACTACCAACAGTGTATAAGTGTTCCATTTTCTCTCCAGCCTTGCCAACATCTGTTGTTTTTAGGCTTTTTAGTAATAGCTATTCTGACGGATGTGAGATGGTGCCTCATTCTGGTTTTGATTTGCATTTCTCTGATGATTAGTGATGATGAGCATTTGTTCATATGTCTGTTGGCCACTTGTATGTCTTCTTTTGAGAAGTGTCTATTTAGGCCCTTTGCCCACTGTTTAACAGGGTTATTTGTTTTTGGCTTGTTAAGTTCCTTATAGATTCTGGATATTAGACCTTTATCAGATACATAGTTTGTGAGTATTTCTTCCATTCTGTGTTTTTTTCTATTTACTCTGTTGATAGTTTCTTTTGCTGTGCAGAATCTCTTTAGTTTAATTAGGTTCCACTTTCTTTTTTTTTTTTTTTTTTTTGCAATTGCTTTTGAGAACTTAGTCATAAATTATTTGTCAAGGCAGATGTCCATAGGAGTATTTCCTAGGTTTTATTCTAGGATTTTTATAGTTTGAGGTCTTACATTTAATTCTTTAATCCATCTTGATTTAATTTTGTTTATGATGATGGGTAGGGGTCTGCTTTCATTCTTCTGCATATGGTTAGCCAGTTATTCCAGCACCATTTATTAAATAGGAAATCCTTTCTACGTTGATTTTGTTGTCAACCTTTTTGAAGATCAGTTGGTGGTAGGTGTGTGGCTTTATTTCTGGGTTCTGTATCCTGTTACATTGATCTTTGTGTCTGTTTTTGTACTAGTACCAAGCTATTTGGTTATTACAGCGTTGTAGTATAGTTTCAAGTAAAATAACTTGATGACTTGGACTTTGTTCTTTTTACTTAGGATTGCTTTGGCTATTTGGGCCCTTTTTTGGCTTCAGATTAATTTTAGAATACTTTTTTTCTAATTCTGTCAACAATGATACTGGTAGTTTGGTAGAAATAATATTGAAAATGTAGATTGCTTTGGGCAGTATGAACATTTTAATGATATTGATTTTCACAGTCCATGAGGATGAATTTTTTTTCATTTGTGTCATCACTGATATCTTTCAGTCGTGTTTTGTAGTTCTACTTGCAGAGCTCTTTCATCTCCTTGGTTAGATACATTCCTAGGTGTTATATTTTACTGTTGTGGCTATTGTAAATGGGATTCTGTTCTTGATTTGGCTCTCAACTTGAATGTTACTGATATATAGGAAAGCTACTGATTTTTATATTTGGCTTTTGTCCTGAAACTTTACTGAAATTGTTTATCAGGTCTAAAAGCCTTTTGATGAGGTCATTGCAGGTTTTTAGGAACAGAATCATATCATCAATGAAGGGAGATAATTTGACTTATTCTTTTTCTACTTCAATGCCTTTCATTTATTTCTGGGCTTCCAGTCCTATCTTGAATAGGAGCAGTGAGAGTAGGCATTCTTGTCTTTTTCCAGTTCTTAAGGGGAATGCTTCCAGCTTTTGCCCATTCAGTATGATGTTGGCCATGGGTCTGCCATAGATGGCTTTTATTATTTTGAAGTATGTTACTACAATGCCTAGTTCGTTGAGGGTTTTTATCTTGAAGGGATACTGGATTTTACTGAGAGATTTTCCTGTGTCTATTGAGATGATCATATGGTTTTTCCTTTTATTTCTATTTTTGTGGTGAATTACATCCATTGATTTGCATATTTTGAGCCAACATTGTGTCCCAGGAAAAAGGTCTACTTGATTGTGGTCAATTAGCTTTTTTATATACTGCTGGATTCAGTTTGCTACTATGTTGTTGAGAATTTTTGAGTCTATGATTATCTGGAATATTTTTCTGTAGTTTTCTTTTGTCACTGTATCTTTGCCAGGTTTTGGTATCAGGGTGATGCTGGCTTTGTAGAATATGTTAGAGAAGAGTCTCTCTTTAATTTTTTGTAACAGTTTCAGTAGAATTGGTACCAGCTCTTCTTTGTACGTCTGGTAGAATTTGGCTGTGAATTCATCTGGTATGGAGCTTTTTTTTGGTTAGTAGGGTTTTTTATTACTGACTCAATTTTGGAACTCATTGTTGGTCTGTTCAGAGTTTCAATTTCTTCCTGATTCAATCTTGGGAGATTGTGTAATTCCAGGAATTTATCTGTTTCCTCTAGATTTTCTAGTTCGTGTTTATAAAAGTGTTCATAATAGTGTCTGAGGATATTCTGTATTTCCGTAGAATTAATTAGAATATCTTTGTCATTTCTGGTTGTATTTATTTGGATCATCTTTTTTTCTTTATTGATTTAGCTAGCAATTTGTTGCTCTTTGTTATCCTTTCAAATAACCAGCTTTGGGTTTCATTGATTCTTTGTATGGATTTGTGGGTCTTAATTTCACTCAGTTCTGCTCTGATTTTATTTGTCATTTATTGTGCTAGCTTTGGAATTATTGTGTTCTTATTTTTCTAGTTCCTCTAGGTGCAATGTTAGATTCTTTATTTGAGATCTATCTTCTTGATGTAGGTGTTTAGCACTATAAACTTTCCTCTTAACACTGCTTTTCTTGCATTCCAGGGATTTTGTTATGTTTTGCTCCTTTTTTTATTTATTTCAAAGAATGTTGTTTTGATTTCTGAGTTAATTTAGTTGTTTTTCTAAAAGTCATTCAGGACCAAGTTGTTTACTTTTCATGTAATTGTGTGGTTTTGAGACATACTCTTGTTATTGATTTCTATTTTTATTTCACTTTGGTCTATGAATATGCTTGGTATGATTTTGATATTTTTTAATTTATTGAGACTTGCTTTATGGCCATGCATTTGGTCAATCTTAGAGTGTGTTCTGTGTGCATGTGAGAACATATTTGCTGTGATTGTTGGATAGTTTATTCTGTAGATGTCTATTAGATCTAATAGGTCAAGTGACAACTTTGAGTCTAGAATTTTTGGTTAGGTTTCTGCTCTGATGATCTGTCTAACACCTTCAATAAGATTGTGAAGTCCCCCACAGCTATTGTGTGGCTTTCAAAGTCTTTTCATAGGTATAGAAATACTTATTTTATGAATCTGGTTGCTGCAATGTTGGGTGCATATATATGTAGGATTGTTAAGTCTTCTTAATGATTTGAAACTTTTATCATGTAATGCCCTTCTTTGTCCATTTTTACTCTTGTTGGTTTAAAGTGTGTTTTATCTGATACAAGAATAACTATCCTTGCTCTTTATTGTTTTCCATTTGCCTGATAGATCTTACTCCATTCTGTACCTTGAGCTTATGTGTGTCATTACATGTGACATGAGTCATTGAGGACAGCAGAATTTGGGGTCTTGTTTTTTATCCAACTTGCCATTCTATGCCTGTTAAGTGGGGTGTTTAGACTGTTTACCTTCAAGGTTAATACTGATATATGAAGTTTTGAGTCTTTTGTGGGATTGTTAGCTAGTTGCTTTGTAGTCTTAAATGTGTAGTTGCTTTATATGGCCTGGGCCTATGTACTTATGTGTGTTTTTATAATAGAAGTTATTGTTCTTTGGTTTTCATGTTCAGAACTCCCTTAATCATATCTTGTAAGGTTAGTCTATTGTCAAAAAAAACTTAGCAATTGTGTGCCCAGAAAATAGTTTATTGCTGTTTCCCTTATGAAGCTTAGTTTAGTGGGATATGAAATTCTTGGTTAGAATTTATTTTCTTTTAGAGTGCTAAAAATAGGTCCCAAGCTATTCTGACTTGTAAAATTTCTGCTGATAAGTTCACTGTTTGCCTGATATAAATCCATGTGTAAGTGATATGACCCTTATGTCCAGCTGACTTTAAGATATTTTCTTTTTCATCGACCTTAGAAAGTCTGATGACTGTGTATTTTGGTAACAGTCATCTTGCATAGTATCACACAGCAGTTCTCTGAATTTCTTGAATTTCTGCATCAACTGCTCTAGAGAGATTAGGAAATATTTTGTGGATTATATCTTCACATATGTTTTTCAATTTGCTTACTCTTCTCTCAAAAATGTCAATGATTCATAGATTTTTATATGATTCATAGAGTATTGATTTTTTTTCAATTTTTTTTTTTTTGTCTAACTGGGTTGATTCAAAACACCAGTCTTTAAGCTCTGAAATTCTTTCCTCAGCTTGATCTAGTCTATTGCTGTTAAGACTTTCAATTGTATTTTGAAATTTCTATAGTGAATTTTTTAATCCTGTAAGTTCAGTTTGTTTTTTCTTTTAATATGACAGTGTCATCTTTCATGTCTTGGAGCATCTTTCTGTCTCCCTTGGATTGGATTTCTATTTTCTCTTGAATTTCATTGTTTCCTGCCACCCAGATTCTGAATTGTATGTCTGTCATTTCAGACTTTTCAATCTGGTTAGAATCCATAGCTGTGAGATTAGTGCAATCATTTGAAGATAAAGAAGCACTCTGACTTTTTGAATTGCTGAAGTTCTTGCAGTGATTCTGTTTCATCGGAGGGCACTGGTGTTTCTTTTCTTTTCTGTAAATTGCTTTTGTTTAAATTGGCTTCTTGTTTTGTTTGTTTGTTTGTTTGTTTGTTTTCCCCTTGAGAATTTAACCATGGTGTATGGTGTGTATAGTAGATTGTCTGTTTCTGTGTGCTTTCAGAGGGCCAAGACTCCGTATGGGTTCCTTAGTTGTAGATAATTTCCTGCATTGGGTTTCATGGGCTTTGTGTGTTGAAGGAATTTATTTTTGTTTGGTGGTATAATTCAGGCTGCAATCCAGTAGATGGTCTTTAAGAGTAGGGTTTGGCAGATAGACTGTTACTCAGGGCATGCCTCTTTTGTATTACAGAGCATATGCAGCAGTGCCCTGGGGAGGGGAGATGGGGGCAAGAGATGACTCCTTCACTAGTCGATTCCATGGACTGCTTCAGTTAATGGTGCCATGTCTGCATTTCCATAGCCCAAAGGAGGGCTTTGACAGGACCCCTTCCCCACCATTTTAGCAGTTCTAATAGATATGCAGTGAATTTCCATTGCAGTTTTATTTTTCATTTTTATCATTGTTGATAATATTGAACATCTTTTTATGAGAGCAATTGCCAAATCGTTTTGTACTCCTGAGTTTTGAGAGTTCTTTAAATATTTTACATTCATATTGCCTCTTCATTGGAAAGACTTGTATTCAAACCATTTGGAGTAAAAGTCATTTCTAAATTAGGGTCCAAACTGATAGTAGATATTCTCTGTAATAACGATGTTATTCTATTTACAGTTTGTTACTAAAAAAATCCCTAATTGCAGGATTTCTTCAGAAAGCCCTATGTTAAGCATCTTATACTACAGTTTTAAAACATATCATACATATCATGTTTTTTTTCAGCTGCACAATCAAATTGCTGCTCAAAAAAGCCTTTTATTTCTATCATTCTATTATTTCAATTATTAAAAATATATATAATCAATTTCTTAGTGTCTGCCTTACTACTAGATAATGAATTCATTGAGGAAAGTATATATGTCTTACTAAAATTGGGTTTCATTGAATGTCAATGTTATTTGTTCTGCACGTAAACTTTGTTTCCTTCTGAAAAAATAACATGTAAGTCATTAAGTTATCTAAAAACACAAAAAGTAATTAGTTGAAATTCTAAATTACCAGATGAAATAATGTTTTTATTGCTACATAATCAATGTAGCAATATCATTTGTGAAAAATTCACTGAAAAGTTTTTGAGCTGCAATTTAAAGCACAATTAATTAGCAGTCAAGACAATACGATAAAACTTAGCCAATGAAGGTAATCATTATGAGACTTTGGTTATGGCTTTTTTTAACTTAGGCCTTAGATTTCTCAAATATGAAATAAATGTTTTTCTTCATGATATTGAGATTATTTCCAGCTATGTCTTTCTAGCCTTCAAAATAGCCCAATGATCTCTAATTTTTTCAAAAAAAAGGAAAGAAAACACTCATTTTCAGCCTGAAATTTCTTTGATTGATGGACTTTGAAAAATAGATGTTAACCAGTGTGTTAGAACATAATGCTTCAGGATGGTTTCTTAAACATACAAAGTAAAGCCCTACAGAATTCTATTTCTTAAAAGAAAAATGTATTTTATCATCAAGATGTGTTCATTCAAAATTTCTTGTCTTTATCATGAAATTTGCACTGAGAGAAAAATAATTTGTTTTCTTAAACTGACACAAAAATATCTACCATTTCTTTCAAAACTGGGTAAAATGATACATGTTGAACAGTTTGCTTACAGAATCCAGAACTTACACTTGACACAGAAAGTTGGTTTCATTCTTGAGTCAGTATGATCATTATTGCATTAGTAGCTGAGTTGCGATTGCAACTTTCATGATGGTGCTTTTGTTCCCATCAACCCCCTTTGGCTGTCATGCTACTCCCTGGACATACACAAGCACTGTGTCTCAAACAACATACAATAATAGGACATTTGAATTTGAATGAAGTATTTATGACTCTACTCTTACACCACTCCATTCCACTGTGAGAAATAAATTTAAAATACATAAATCTACTATTCTGTTTAAATCATTTCCCCACTCCTATTCTTGGTAATAAAGTCCCAAGTAATATAGCCTAGAAGATTCATCCTGATTCATTTATTGTAACATTATCATTATAATCCCTGACACTCTCCTCAATGGTATTTATGTTTTATTGACTATTTTTAATAAAAACTTCTATTTCAAAACTTTTGTCTCAAAATTATTTATTGAATGTTAAACTAAAAGCCTTCTATAATTGCTTATTTTGTTTTTCACAAGTCTCTCACATTTAAAATTTTGAATTTCAACCACTTTTTCATTTGGAAAGTGATGGGCAGGTTACAATAAAAATTTAAAATACATGTATTCTAATTCCAACAAAATGCCAGAAAGATAGCATCAATGCCAATGGAGAAAAAATAGAGAAGATCCAAATAAACATAAGTAGAAATGACAAAGGGGATGTTACCACTGATCCCATAGAAAGACAAATACTCCCTAGAGACTACTATGAACATCTCTATGCACGCAAACTAGAAAATCTAGAAGAAATTAATAAATTCCTGGACTCCTATAACCTTCCAAGACTGAACCAGGAAGAAATTGAATCCCAGAACAGACTAATAATGAGTTCCAAAACTGAATCATCATATAAAGACTATCAACCAAAAAAAGCTCAGGACCAGATGGATTCAGAGCTGAATTCTACCAGATGTAAAAAAAAGAGATAGTACCATTCCTGCCAAAACTATTTTAAATATTGAGGAGGACAGGCTCCTCTGTAACTTATTCTATGAGGCCAGCATCATCCTGATACCAAAACCTGGCAGAGATGCAACAAAAATAGAAAACTTCAGACCAATATCCTTGATGAACATTGATGCAAAAATTCTCAACAACAATCTAGCAAACTGAATTCAGCAGCACATCAAAAAGCTATTTGACCATAATCAAGTAGGCTTTATCTCTGGGATGCAAGGTTGGTTCAAGCTATGCAAATTAATTAATGTGATTCATCACATAAACAAAACTAAAAACAAAAATGTCATGATTTTCTCGATAGATGCAGCATAATAAAATAAAACCTGCCCAAAATTTTGCATCAGAGAAAAATGAAATCAAGATCCAGATAATAAGAAAAGTAATACAAAAATAATTCTAATATTAAGAGTAATTGAAATAAAAACGTTTATTTAGTGCCTACCATGTGGCACTTGCTTTAAATAATGACTCCATTAATTGTTTAATATGACGTTTTAAATGAGAAAGTATTAACCTCAGTAGAAGGGAAAAGTACTGAAGATGAGAAAACTCAGGTGATTTGCTCAAATATAGTCCATGGAAAAATCAGGAGTTAAGCCTATTTTTGCTTCCACAAATATTCTTGTTCTCCCATGACAATACTTTGCCTCTCTCTTTGCCAAGTAAAATTACGTTATGCAGGTCAATGAATTTAATATCTTTGGAAATCATTTTTTCTTCTAAAATATGGGAATAATATTACTTACATTAAATATTTTTTGAGTACAAACTGTGAAAACATACTTATGTTTTCAACTGTATGTTATTAAATATTCATTCATTCAATAACATTTATTGAGAAGCAGACTTCGTGGCAGACACCCCTCTAAGTGTTCTAAGAACTATAGTAGTAAATAAAAGAGACACAAACCCCTGCTTTCAAAGCATTTTTATTCCAGTGGGGTGAAACAAACAATAAGAAAAATAAAGAATCAAGTACGAGATTTGTCTTTTGCTTTGAATTGCAACATAGACTTAAAATGACTGAGAGTTCTATATGTGATTAGGATGTAGAAAGATGCAAAAGAATGTTGCTTTCATGCTAAGAATGAGAAAAGCCAGATAATCTACAAAATCAAAAATTTCTTTGACCCTATTCAAGAGCTGAGGTCACAAGACAAAGGGGGCTGAATTTCAAAGAGTAACACGTGCCTCCATGGAGAGCAGACATATGAACTGTTTCACCTTTATCAAGCATGGGAGGAAGAAGCAGCCCCCATAGAAGAGGGTAACAATAAATCAGCTGAATTTATTACAAATTTCTAAAGGCCAAGTGTGGAATAGCACACCAATTTAACATAATGACAAGTCCAGAAATCAGAGCACACACTTCCTCAGAAGTTTCCCTTTGGGTACTCACAAGAAAGCATAGGGGTTAGACCAAGGCCCAAAGGAGCTGTTCTCAATGGCACAGTTTTATGAGACGTGTCAGCTGCTGATGCAAGAGATACCCAAACACCACCCACTTCCTAAAACTCTTCTCTCACACATTAAAAAGACTTTCAACCACAAAAGAAAGGGCATCGAAACTTTTGATATCTAAGGTCACTTGTGGAGAAGTAAAAGCAGAAATTCTGCCTTCCCAAGGTTAGAAAAATCTCTCTTTATCTCAAGGAACCAAGTGAAGAACAGGGTTATTGTTGTTGTTAGTGATCATTATATTTTTTGGAAGAAGGGTAAAAGTGAAAGCCACCTGTAACTGGGAGATGAGTGGGAAAATTTCTCATGCTCAAGATCTCCCACAGACATGAGATTGTATTGGCCATAATGAGAAAATGGATGAAGGAGTTGAAAAGGCTCAATCTTGAACCCAGCAAGCTCAGGTCTTACCTCAAACAGAGGGTATACCAAGAAGATTGAGAAATCTTTCTTGCCTGCACCATAAGCCTAGCACTGAATAACAAGCAGCAAAAGTCTACCACTTTAGAAGTGTGAAATGTGTGGGAAAATAAATTGCAATAGCAAAAACAAAAAACCCAGACCCAACTCAACGGGTGACTAGAATGACCCAATACTATACATACACTAATGACTGGATGACAAAGAAAAGTGCCCATTTGCAGTTGGATATGTCTCTGTATCTACTGTTCTTTTTTATACAAAACCTTTTACCTAACTAAAAATGACAATGTATGTAAACAAGCACAAAAATGATGTATTTTCAAGACATAAACTCAAAGATGACACAGTTGGAATTACTCTACAAAGACTTTGAAATAACTATGATTCCTAGGTTAAAGTTTGTAGTGTGTTATGGGTTGAAATGTGTCCTCCCAAAGTATACATTGGAGTTCTGACCCCAGGTACTTGTGACTACATCCTTATTCAGAAATAGGGTTTTTCAAACATATTTAGTTAAGGTAAAATGATATCATACTGGATTAGGGTTGGCACTAAATCCAATATGGCTGGCATTCTTAAAAGAAAACCAGAAGACAGAAACACGCAGATACAGATGGACAATGGAGAAGGTTATGTGAAAATGGAGGCAGAAATTGGAGGGATGCATCTCTATGCCAGAAGATACCTAGGATTATTGGCAACTACCAGAAGTTAGAAGACACAAGAAAGGATTTTCCCTAGAGCCTTTGGAGGAAGTGTGTCCTTGCTGGCACCTTGATCTCAGACTTCCAGTCTCCCGAACGGTAAGAGACTAAATTTCTATTGTTTTAAGCTACCTAGTTTGTGTTGATTTGTTACAGCAACCTTAGGAAACGAACACATACTATCAATGGTGGAAAACATGGAAGGCTAGAAGGAAGACTGGGGAATTTCAGCAGAGACATGAAAAAATACGTTTAAAAAGTCATTTAGAACTCCTGGAAAAAATACAATATCTTATATAAAACATTTCTTCAATGGGTTTATCAGCAAAATGGACATGACTGAGGGAAGAATCAATCAACCAGAGGGGGATTTTAGAAATTATTTAAATTAAGTCACACAAAAAAGAATAAAAATCCAGAACAAAGATTTAAGAGATATAGGCCAATATCAAAACATCTATCTACCTATCTATCTATCTATCTATCTATCTATCTATCTATCTAAGTCTATATGTGATTGGTATCTCAGAAAGTGAAAATAGTAAAAAAATTTCAAAATTTAATAGTTAAATTTTTTTTGAGAATAAAGAAAACTTAACCAAACATAGATTCAAAAAGCTAGAAAAATATTTTTAATTAGAACAGATAGGAACTATAGTCTAATTTCACAAAAGCAAATATTAAGAACACTTTGAAGGCAAATCAAAGGGAAGATGGAAACATTATACACAGAAGAGTAAAAATAAGACTTACAGTGGGGCACCTTTAAAATACTAAAAGGACTTACAGATGTAGAATTCTGTACGTAGTGAAAAATATCTTTGAAAAATGAAAGTGAAATAAAGATTTTCTCAAAAGCTGAGAAAATTTGTTGCTAATAGTCCTAATTATGGCAAATGTTAAAGAATGTCTTTTTCTTTTAACTTTTATTTTAGATTCAGGAAATATACGTGCAGATTTGTTACAAAGGTATATGGTGTGATGCTGAGCTTTGGAGTACAGTTGATCTTGTCCTGGTAGTAAGCATAGTACCCAATAGGTAGTTTTTCAACCCATTCCTCCCACTTCTTGTAGTCCCTAGAGTTTATTGTCCCCATCTGTATGTCCATGTGTACCCAGTGTTCAGCTTCCAGTGATAAGTGAGTATATGTTATACTTGGTATTCTGTTTCTTTGTTAATTTACTTAGGATAATGGCCTACATCTGCAACCACGTTGCCACAAAAGACAGGATTTCATTCTTTCTTATTGCTCCACAGTATTCCATGATGTCTATGTACCACTTTTTTTACTCCAATTGACTGTTGCCTAGGTTGATTCCATTTCTTTGCTATTGTGAATAGTGCTGTCATGAACATGTAAGTGTGTGTGTATTTTTGGTAAAATTATTTATTTTCCTATGGGTATATAGCCAATGGGATTCTGCATTGAGTGGTAGTTCTGTTTTAAGTTCTTTGATAAATCTTCAAACTGCTTTCCACAGTGACTGAACAGATTTATTAATATTTTAGCATCAACAATGTATAAGCTTTCACCTTTCTCCATAGCCTTAGTAGCATCTGTTGTTTGTGACTTTTTGATAATAGCCACTCTGACTGGTGTGAGATGATAACTCATTGTGGTTTTTGTTTGCATTTCTCTGATGATTAGTGATGATGAGTAATTTTTCATATATTTGTTGGCCACGTGACTGTCTTCTTTTAAGAAGTGTCTGTTCACATCCCTTGCCCACTTTGCAATGGCGTTATTTGTTTTTTTCTTGTTGAGTTGTTTATGTTTCTTCTAAATTCTGGGTATTAGACCTTTGTCAGATGCATAGTTCACAAACGTTTTTTCCCACTTCATAGGTTGCCTGCTTAGTCTGTTGATAGCTTCTTTTGCTGTGCAGAAGCTCTTTAGTTTAATTAGGTTCTCCTTGTCAATTTTTTTTCATTGCAAATTGCTTTTGAGGTCTTAGTAATAAATTCTTTGCCAAGATCAGTGTCCAGAAGGGTATTTCCCAGACTTTTATAGAATTTTTATTGTTTGAGATCTTTCATTTAAGTCTTTAATTCATCTTGAGTTAATTTTTGTGTATGGTGATGAATAGGGGTCTAGTTTCATCCTTCTGCATAGGGTTAGTTAGTTATTCCAGCATCATTTATTGAATAGAGTGTACTTTTCCCATTGTTTACTTTTGTTGACCTTGACTTTTTTGACTTTGATTTTTGTATATTGTGAAAGGTAGGAGTCCAGTTTCAATCTTCTGCATATGACTACACAATTATCCCAGCATCATTCATTTGTTGAATAGGGAGCCATTTCCCAGTTGCTTGTTTTTGTCAACTTTGTTGAAGATGAGATGGTTGTACGTGTGTGGCTTTATTTCTAGGTTCTCTGTTCTGTTCCATTGGCCTACATGTCTGTTTTTGTATCAGTACCAAGCTGTTTGGTTACTGTCGCCTTGTAGTATAGTTTGAAGTTAGGTAGTGGGATGCCTCTAGCTTTGTACATTTTGCCTAGGATTGATTTAGCTATTCAGGCTCCTTTCTGGTTTCACATAAATTTAAAATAATTGTTCTAATTCTGTGAAAATGACATTGGTGGTTTGTTAGGAATAGCATTGAATCTGTTGATTGCTTTGGGCAGTATGGTTATTTTAATGATATTGATTCTTGTTCATAAGCATGAAATATTTTCCCATTTATTTGTGTCATCTCTGATTTCTCTCAACTGTGTTTTGCTTCTCTTCCTGTGGAGATCTGTCACCTCCTTGGTTAGATGTATTCCGTGTGTGTGTGCGTGTGTGTGTATGTCTCTTGTAAATGGGATTGCAGTCTTGATTTGGCTCTCAGTTTGAACATTATTGGTTTATAGGAATGCTACTGATATTTGTACATTCAATTTAAAATTTCACTGACATCATTTATCAGTTGGATCCTTTTGGCGAGTCTTTAGGGTTTTCTAGGTAAATAATCATATGATCAGCGAAGTGAGAATTTATTTTGGCAGAAGGAATATGATACCAGTTGTGAATTTGAACCTACAAAAGCAATAAAGAGACGTGGATAGGGTAAAGATGAAGGCACATATTAAACACATATTCTCCTTATTTTTAATTGATTTCAAGAATAATGAGCTGTCTAAAGCGAAGAGAGTAACTATGTACTGAGTTTTGTATTACACATACAGCATTAAATTGTATTAGAAATAGCTTACAGGATAGAAAGAAAATTACTATATTACAAGATTCATACAATCTGCAAGAAGTGGTATAATATCATTTGATAGTTCTTTATAGTAAGTTAAATACATTTATCTTTAAATATATAAAAATATATTAATAAAAACTAATAATAACTTAACATTGGAGATAGAATGAATTCATTAAAAAACCACAATCCAAAATGGCAAAGAGTGCAGATTAAAAGAGGCAAGAAAGACAAATAGAAATCAACTAGCAATGGTAGATAAAAATACAACCATATCAATATTAAAATATTAATAGTCAATACAAATATAATGTAAAGTATGTATATGTCACACAACAAAACTTTAAAATTCATGAATTAAAAAATCATAAAATAAAAGAATTATTAGAAAAATTCACAATTACTTTTTGAGAATTCACTACACTTTTTTCAGTGTTTAATAGAAAAAGTAAACAGATAAATGAGTAAGAATATATAGGACATATAGGATTTCATATGCTAATAGATAACTTTACCCATTTGACATTTTTAAGACACTTTATCCTGAAAAAAGTAAGATAGAAAAACAGTAAAAAAGAAAGATACTTTCTTTTCACATGTACATTGAATATTCACTAATATTGTAGCGGATTAAAAACACTCAACAAGTTTTTGTTTTTGGATTTTTTTAAGACATGGCTTTACTGTCACCCAGGATGGAGTGCAGTGGTGCAATTAGGGCCCACTACAGCTTTCACCTCCTGGGCTTAAGCAATTCCCCTCTTTCAGCTTCTTGAGTTGCTGGAACTACAGGTATGCACTACCATGCCTGGCCAATTTTTATATTTTTTGTAGAGATGGGGTTCCACTATGTTACCCAACCTGGTCTTGAACTACTGGGCTCAAGCAATCCTCCTGCCTCAGCTTCCAAAAGTGCTGGGATTACAGGCTTGAGCCACTGTATTAGTCCATTTTCACACTGCTGATAAAGACATACTTGATACTGGGCAATTTATAAAAGAAAGAGGTTTAATGGACTTAACAGTTCCACATAGCCGGAGAAGCCTCACAATCATGGTGGAAGGCAAGAAGAAGCAAGTCACGTCTTCATGGATGGCAGCTGGCAAAGAGAGAGCTTGTGTAGGGAAACTCCCATTTTTAAAACCATCAGATCTCATGAAATTTGTTCACTATCATGAGAACAGCATGAGAAAGACCTGCCTCCATGATTCAATTACCTCCCACCAGGTTCTTCCCACAATGTACGAGAATTGTGGGAGTTACAATTCAAGATGAGATTTGGGTTAGAACCCAGCCAAACCATATAATTTCATCCCCGGCCCCTCCCAAATCTCATGTCCTCACGTTTCAAAACGAATCATGCCCTCCCAATAGTCCCCAAAGTCTCAACACATTTCAGCATTAACTCAAAAGTCCACAGTCCAAAGACTCATCTGAGACAAGGCAAGTCCCTTCCACCAATGAGCCTGTAAAATCAAAAGCAAGTTAGTTACTTCCTAGATACAATGGGGGTACAGGCATCAGGTAAATATAGCCATTCCAAATGAAAGAAATTGGCCAAAACAAAGGGGCTACAGGTCCCATGCAAGTCCAATATCCAAATGAAGCAGTCAAATTTAAAGCTCAAAAATGATCTCCTTTGACTCCATGTCTCACACCCAGGTCATGCTGATACAAGAGGTGGGTTAACATGGGTTTTCTAGGGTATAGCCTCTCTCCTGGCTGCCTTCATGTGCTGGCATTGAGTTTCTGTGGCTTTTCCAGGTACATGGTGCAAGTTGTCATCCACACTGCCCTGGCAGATGTTTTCCATGAGAGCCCTGCCCCTGCAGCAAACTTCTGCCTGCACATCCACGTGCTTCCATTCATCCTGTGAGATCTAGGTAGAGGTTCCCAAACCCCAATTCTTGGCTTCTATGCTCTGGCAGGCTCAAAACCACATGGAAGCTGCCAAGGCTTGATGCTTGCACCCTCTGAAGCCACGGCCAAGGTCTACTTTGGCCTGTTTCAGCCACGGTTGGAGTGGCTGGGAAACAGGGCACCATATCCGTAGGCTGCACATAGCACTGGGACTCTGGGCCCAGCTCACAAAAAACACTTTTTTTCTCCTAGACCTCCAGGCCTTTGATGGGAGGGGCTGCTGTGAAGACCTCTGACATGCCCTGTAGAAATTTTCCCCATTGTCTTGGGGAATAACAGTTGGGTCCTCATTACTTATGCAGATTTCTTCAGTGGGCTTGGATTCCTTCTCAGAAAATGGAATTTTCTTTTCCAGTGCATTGTCAGGCTGCAAAGTTTTCAAACTTTTATGCTCTGTTTTCCTTATGCCTTTAACAGGACCCAAGTCACATCTTGAATGGTTTGCTGCTTAGAAATTTCTTCCACCAGATAATCATCTCTTGGAAGTTCAAAGTTCCACAAATCTCTAGGGCAGGGGAAAAATGCTGCCAGTCTCTTTGCTAAAACGCAGCAAGAGTCACTTTACTCCAATTCCCAACAAGTTCCTCATCTCCATCTAAGACCACCTCAGCCTGGATTTCCTTGTGCATATTACTATCAGCATTTTGTTCAAAGCCATTCAACAAGTCTCTAGGAAGTTCCAAATGTTCTGCATTTTCCTGTCTTCTCCTGGGCCTTCCAAACTATTCCAACCTCTGCCTGTTACCCAATTCCAAAGCTGCTTTCACATTCCAAAGCTGCTTTTCAGCAGCACCCCACTCTACTGGTGCCAATTTACTGTATTAGTCCATTTTCATCCTGCTGATAAAGATATACCCAGGCAATTTACCAAAAAAAAAAAAAAAAAAAGGTTTAATGGACTTAACAGTTCCATGTGGCTGGGGAAGCCTCACAATCATGGCAGAAGGTGAGGAGGAGCAAGTCATGTCTTTCATGAATGGCAGCAGGCAAAGAGAGAGCCTGTTCAGGGAAACTCCCATTTTTAAAACCATCAGATCTTGTGAGACTTATTCACTATCATGAGAACAGCACAGGAAAGACCCACCCCCAAGATTTAATTACCACCCACCAGGTTCTTTCCATCACAGCTGGGAATTGTGGGAGTTACAATTCAAGATGAGATTTCCATGGGGTCACAATCAAACCATGTCAGCCACCACGCCTGATGCAACAAGTTTTTAATAATTGAATTTATACTGTGTTCACATGGAGTTAAATTAGAAACCATAATGAAGAGCTATCTGGAAATTTCCTGAGTACTTGTAAATTAAGCAATATACTTCTAAAAACTAGATCAAGGATGAAATTGCCCAGGAAATTCATTTTATTTTGTACTTAGTGGAAAAGAAAAAACACAACACAGCCACATGTATGGGATGCAACTAAAGTAGTGATTAGTGAGATTTTTATAAAATTAAATGCCTACATTATGAAACATGAAAGATCTCAATTCACTACATAAAGCTTCCAACATGAAAAATAATAAGAAAAAGGCAGGGATCCACCATCTCATCTCATCACTGACCAAAATACACATCGCTTCATAAGTCTCTATTAAATGTTCCTTACTAAGAAACTGGATTTATCACCCTCTTTCTTTGCCCTCTCAGCTTCCTTGGGCCCTGAAGCTCAATTCCATAGACCCACCAACTGTGAAACATGTGGCAAGCACTAGCCAGGAACTGAGAGACCAAGAAATGCACAACAACCTGAGGCATTTTTAGGCAAAATCTCAGGTGGCAGCCACTTCGATGTTGAGTGGCATGGCTCACCTTTCGAATGCTTGTAGGTGAGTATGGAGATGCCCTGAAAATGTGAAGTGTTTAGAGTCATCTGTACTCCTGTTCTCAGTGATTGTTAGCTGAGAGACAGCACATGCAGTAAGAAGGGCAGCCAGCGGCTACTGCAGTGGATGGTTGCTTCTGTGGGCTGCTTGGTTGGTGCTGGAGCCCAGGTAGCAGCAGAAGCAGAATAAAATTGCTTCAGTAGGAATTACAACTAGAAAAACGTTATTCTTAAAAAACTCTATAGACAAAAGTCGACTTTGTTAAAACTGACATTTGGGCTATTCATGTATACATAGGTATTCTTTTAATACCCTTTTTCTTTCTCTGTAAAACATCTCAGTCAACTGAATCTTATCTGCTTCTCCATTTGCTTCTATCTGCCTCTCCTTCCTCTTACAACCCTTTGTTAGGGATGGAAGGTCACCAAGTTACTGGTGGTGAATCCATATGTGTCTGCAGCAACCTCAATTCTTGCTTGCTCAGAAAAAAGAATTTGAGTGAGGGGCATGAGGCAGAAAAACACAGAGACTGAGGCAAGTTTCAGAGTAGGAGTAAACATTTATTAAAAAGCTTTAGAACATGAAAGAAAGGAAGGTGCACTTGGAAGGCACCCAAGCGAGCATTGTGAACATCAAGTGCAGCATTTAACCTTCATCCTATGACTTTATATGCTGACCCTCTCCTGGCATCTTGCACCGCTTTCCCATGATTCTTTGCTTGGGTGGGCTGCCGGCATGCACAGTGCCCTTCTTAGGCTTTGGGCGTGAGCATGGGCAGTGTGTTTTGGAAATTGTATGCATGCCCATGTGAGACTTTCTTCCCTTTCCAGTGGTATACCCCCCGAAGGTCCTACTCTTGCCATTTTGTCTCTTAATGCACATGCCCAGGAAGTTGCCTCTCTCTGGTGCCTACATTTAATTAACACTTTAATGTGGCAGCTGTGGACCATCAGGAGATTGTCTCTCCCTGGCGCCAGCTGCCAAATTATCATTTTTAGGGAGGCAGTGTGATAACTGTCGAACCATACCCAATGATCGTTTGACATTCCTAGTGGGTGGGGGAAGAGCCCTCTCCTGCCCTGCTCATGTGTGTCTAACTACCTGTAACACCTTGATGCCAAAGGACAGACGAACCTTAAAAAATGAAATTTCTGACAGCCTGGGATCCCTTAGGAAAAACAGAAAGGTGCCAAAGACTCTGTTGTTTGGAGGAACGTGTTTTTCCTCAGGGAATCCCAAGCACTGTAAGCAGACAAATTCCCCTTAGGTCTAAGGCTCTGCGGTCTTTTGGTCTTTGTTATTATGTTACTTGATTGCTTTGGCTTTTCAGAGCTATGAGAAAATGCTTGGTATTGTGGGAGGACTGGACTCTGGTGTATAGTGGCTTTTAGTCATGTGAGCTACAGTGTTAGTCATAGCAGACAGCAGTGTTGTTTGTAAGTGGTTATTACTATAGGGAACTACTTGGCTCTTTGCATGTTTTGGCCCTAAAACTTTCCTGATGTTGTTCCTTAAAGGGCTCTACCCTAAAGCTAGTAATCTAATTAAGGAACAAGCCAAGTTAAAAGACTACCTATCAAACTAAATCACTCTTTTAAATTGTTTGTAAAAGAAATTTACATCTTTAAAGAAAATCTCCCATTTGTAAGGGCATTTCTGTCTCTGCACTGAAACCACTAGGAACTCTACGGGGAAGACAATGGCTTAAAGTTTATGTAACAAACCATGCTTTTGTTTAGATCTAAGTTCTGTAACTTTGAGATGTAAATTTTCCCCTTCATAGGTGGCCTTTAAAAGGGAGGTTTGGCCTTTAAAAATCAAACTGCCATGGAGGCTGCTTTACCTGTAATTTTGGTTCACAGCCTCATTGGATTATCTATTGGCACAAACAAGGTAAAATCTGCAAGCTTGTGTTGCTATCCCATGGCTAAGGTTCCAAGCTATTGGGTCTTTGTTTATGAGTGTATATACATGTCTAAATGTGTTTGTTTGTATGTACACTTATTGTTATGTGTTGTGAGCACAAACTGGTTTATAAGTAAAAGAGTGCAAAAAAAAATAAGTCTAAGCAATTTGCAAGTTCACCTGACTTAAGTATAACTTTACTAAACAAGCTGGCTTTACGGTTATTGGTAGAATAAAAATAGAAATGCCTTCAGAATTGTCAGCACACATTTTGTCTGAATTTTATGTTTGTCTTTGCTAGATATTTTAACATTTCAGTGTTTGGCAGAGAAGGTTGTAAAACTATACATCCAGCGAAAACAAAATGATCTTTGTTTGTGTGTTTTGTTTGGATGAATGAGAGTAATTTATGAAAGAAAAATATTTTGGGCCTCTAAAATCACGAAGCTGAAGGGAAAATTCAAGCTGGGAATGCTTAGACAAACCTGCTGTTAGAAATAGATAATCGGTGCCATGAAGAAAAGTCAGCATGGAGACAAAGGATTTCTCCACAAGGCCCTTTTTATTTTCTGCCGAAAGGGTGCTCCCCGCAGATGGAACAATTTTGACAATTTTGGTGTCAATCCGTATGGGGACCCGTTCTCCTCTGGCAGTGGTCTCTAGTCCTCTCTCATGAGGAGGTGTCCCGTCACCTTGTTTCGGTGGCCTCAGGGGTGAGGAATCAAGACCCACCCAGTGTGACAAATAAACCCAGACTCTCAGCAATGTGGAAAGAAACCGGCCAGCAACCTGGGGTAAAGGATTCTCACATACCGCGGCAACAACTCTGTGTACAGAGCAAGGAAGCAAAAGCCACAGGAGCCAGTAAAGTACTTCCCTGGCGGTCAGATTCTGGAGGGCTGAATGTGTGTGTGCATGAATAATCACAGACAACCCTGCTTGTGGTGTTGTTTGTGTGGATGGTGACAAGTCCTACTGCTGGACAGAGTGAGTAGGTCCTCTCTGCAGTTTCTTAGCTACCTCATATGGCTTAGGGTGGATCCTGCTGTGGGATTTATACCAGCGTGCCAATGCTAAGAGGGGCCTAATTCTCCCTCTGGGGAGTGGCCAGAGAGGATAACATGACTGAGAAGTGTGCGAGGGACCTTCAGAGGGGGAAAGTGAGGAAACAGTTCAACCTCCCAGGGCAGGCAAAGCAAGACATCCCTGGTTTAAGGGGTTGAGTCTTCTGGGGCAGGCAAGGCAAGACATCCCTGGTTTGAGGGGTTGAGCCTTCCAGTAATTTCAGGAGATTGAACCTGACAAGTACCCAACATGGGAAATGTTTCTAGTAAAACAAGGACAGGGAGTAAAGATGACTCAGGGAAAGGTGAAGGTGATCAGATTTCTTCTAGTAGTCCTTCAGGGTGTATGTTAATATATTAGAAGGATAATGAAAGGACCAAAATCAAGAAAAAGCAGCTGCTGTCCCAGACCCTTCTCCTATCCCTGTTGTCCTCCTCTTTATAACCCTGCCTCTTGGGAATCATCCCAAAAGCTCACTCACTACCAGCCTAAGTACCGAGGGGGCCAAAACCTATAAAGAACACAGAACCCAACTCTCCAGGCAATATAAAGGGTGAAAGAGTAAAGCCAGGAGACCCATAGGAAGAAAAAAAAAATCTTAGAAGAGAGAAAAAGAGACAGAGAGACAAAGAGGGAGTCAAAGAGACAGAGACAGAGAGTCAAAGAGAGAGAGAGAAAAAGAGACAGACAGAAGTAGTAAAGAGAAAGCAATGTACCCTATTCCTTTAAAAGCCAGGGTAAATTTAAAACCTATAATTGATAATTGAAAGTCTTCTCTGTGACCCTATAACACTCCAATACTGCCTGTAAAGAAGCCAGACGGGTCACACCGGTGAGTGCAAGACCTTCGAGCTATTAATCAGATAGTCCAAACTACCCGCCCTGTCATTATAGTAATAGACTTAAAAGATGCCTTCTGGGCTTGTCCGTTAGCAGAGAACAACTGGGACCTATTTGCCTTTGAGTGTGAAGACCCTCACTCCAGTCAAAAATAGCAATACTGATAGACATTCTGACCCCAAGGGTTTATGGAGTCTTCAAATTTATTTAGTCAAATATTAGAACAAGTCATTTAATTAGCAAAGGTAAATGGCTAATTGAGCTTGAACGGATTAAAGGCATCATATCCTTTCCTCTGCCGTGGACTAAACAAGAACTTAGGAAATTTTAAGATTAGTCAGATACTGTCATCTATGGATAGATTCTTATGCCCTAAAAACAAAACCCTTATACAAGAAGCTCATGCAAGACTGGAAAAACCCCCTCCTCATTTGGTGATTACCAGAAATCCAACAGGTGGAAAGGTTAAAACATCTATTAGTTTGAACTGCCCCTGTCCTAGTTTTACCCTCCTTAAGCAGCCATTCCACCTTGTTGTCAGTATAAACAAGGGTGTAGCCTGAAAGCATGGAGGCCACAGACAATCAAAAATTCTGTGATAACCTTCCTATCAAAAATTCTTAACCCAGTAACCCACGGATGGCCCAAATGCATTCAGTCTGTAGTGGCAACTGCTTTGCCAACAGAAGAAAGTAGAAAAATAACTTTTAAAGGAAACCCCATTATGAGCACACCTCACCAGGTCAGAACTATCCTAAGTCAACAAAAGCGAAAAAGTAGCTTACTGACTCAAGAACCTTAAAGTATGAGGCTATTCTGTTAGAAAAAGATGATTTAACATTAACCACTGATAATTCCCTTAACTCAGCAGGTCTTCTAACAGGAGATCTAAACCTTAATTAATGACCATACAGAGGTCTGACCAGACCTAGGAGGAACTCCCTTCAGGGCAGGATGATAGACGGTTTCTCCTGGGTGACTGAGGGAAGAAGACACTATGGGTATCCAGTAACTGATAGGGAAACAAACTCTTGTAGAAATGAAGTTAGGAAAATTGCCTAATAATTGGTCTGCTCAAATGTGTGAGCTGTTTGTACTCAGCCAAGCCTTAAAGTACTTACAGAACCAGGAAGGAACCATCTATACCAATTCTAAGTTAATTTGGACTAAATGATGTCTTATTAATTGCGAAGGATAATTAAAATCCCAAACACAAAGTTTTCAACAAAAGTAAAATTTGCTAAAAGTTAACAGTGTAATATGTATTCATCCTAACTTCTAATTTTATGGCCTTAGGCAGTCTAGTCCACAAACATGAAGGAAGTTCGCTTTGGAAAAGGATGGCTATCATCTTAAAAAAAAAAGGGTGGGGGGAGAATTTATGTAAAAAGAATGTCATATGGTAAATTCTTGTCTTAAAATAAATTAACTGGTTGTCTAAAGAAAGGGATGTTTACAAGTCAGAAAGTTGAGACATGTCAAAGATTGTCTGTGAAAGTCATGAAAAGTTATAAAAGGGAATTTATGCAAGAAATGTTGTACAATTTAAAAGAAATTAGGCCTCCTGAATGTAAAACTATTGAAAAAACAGTTTATATGCAAGGTGTGTAAGGAAAGTAAAATATACTTTTGGTAAAAGGATTTTAAGGAGGCATAAGAATGTGGATTTTTACCTACATTAAAAGGTTGAAAAATGTTATCCAAACCCCTTATAAAGGAAATCTTGTTCCAGCTACATCAAGGAGCCCCAAAGGGTCCCTCAGAGACGACATAAGTAAAACTAAGGAAAAGGAAATGTCTCAGCAAGAAGGCACTGGGGAGTATAAAGTCCACTGCTAATGTCCCCGTATTTAAAACAAAGGATCAATTTACTAAAAATTGTATACTTGGTCTCTCTTCCACTTTCCCTTCCCTCAAAACCAAAAGTCTTTTAGCACAGGTACCACCCCTAGAATTTCCAGTAAACCAGCACCAGCCTAAGAACCACATCATCATGAAAAGGGTGGAAACTGGGGAAACTCAAGCCAGCCTGGGAAGAACCCTACCTTGTGCTGCTAACCACCAAGACTGCCGTTCGCACAGCAGAAAAGGATGGACACATCATACCCGAGTCAATAAAGTGTCATCACCATCAGAGTCATGGGCCATTGTTCCAGGGTCAAGCTCTACCAAGTTAAAGCTAAGAAAACATAATCTAGCTATCTTTTCTTCCTTTTAACTACTTCCCATCTTATTATTATTAATATAACTAGATCTAACTCATCTCAAGTTATTACTTTTAATGCCTATTTCCTTATACCTTACGGAGATTGACAAGACCAAAGTCTCTATAGCAAAAGTAAAATACCTAAAGCAAACAATAACAATTAAGACAGGGTATCAGGATGTAAATGCCTGGCTAAAATGGATTAAATATTCCATCTGCACTCCAAATAAAAGCAACTGTTACACTTGTGCACACAGTAGACCAGAGGCCCAGATTGTCCCTTTTCCACTGGGATGGTCCTCAAACCAAGCAGACATGGATTGCACGGTAGCTCTTTTTCAAGATTCCACTGCCTGGAATAACAAATTGTGCCAAGCTCTTTCTCTGCTATTTCCTGAAGTTCAACACCCTGCGGGTCAGCCCCCGAGGGCCATCCAGCCTCCATCTTCCAAGACCAATTTTACCTCGTGTCTCCAATGACAAGGGGAAAATTTTGGCATTCCTTGGAGACTTAACAGGATGCAGTGAAGTTAGGCACTTCCAAGAGCTGACCTATCAGTCCGTTCTTATTCATCCCCAAAAGGATGTATGGTGGTATTATGGAGGATCTTTACTAGACACTCTGCCAAATAATTAGAGCAGTACTTATGCCCTAGTTCAATTGGCTATCCCTTCTACCCTGGCATTTCATCAACCAGAAAAAGAAAAAAAAAAAAAAGCATAGCCTCAATTCTTACCTCTATAACAACTATAAGTATACTCCTTCTTCTTAGGTGTTATGTTGTACTGTACATCCAGGAGTTAATCAAAACAACTAAGCCAAGACATGTTAAACAAGTTTGAAGAGGAACTATGAAGTAAAATAAGAGGAAATTGTAGAAAGTAGAAAAGTTCCTCTTCAAAGCTTGTCTTTGTTTAAAAATAAAATAACAGACACTAGAAATAATAGCTTCTTACTCTAAAGCCTCCTATCAACTATTAGTTCTTACACTTTGGCCCAGTTAGTTGCTTTGTCTTAGTCAGGCATGTCTTGGCAGGCCCAGGCAAGTCTTAGCTCATAGCTTATGCCCCTTCCTTATTTGGAAATGTTATTGCTTCCTTAAGCCTTTCATAAGCAACTTCCTCTCCTGCTTTATTCTCCCTTGCACTTACCTGTTTAGGAAAATTTTAGGTTATTAGCAAATCAGCTATCAGTTTAAGACTGTGAGGTCCAGCACCAGCCAATGGATGTAGGACACAGCAGTAAGGACAACCCAAATGTGTAAGGGATAAATATGTCTGCTTTTCCTTTGTTCAAGCGGGCTCTCACCATTGTTCCATCTGCCATGAGCACCCTTTTTGCAGAAAGTAAAAATGGCCTTGCTGAGAGAAATAAATTTATGTTTGAGTGCTATTTCTCTGTGGCACCAGGAAACAAGCATTTCTAACACCTGCTTTCCATTCTATTCAAAGTCAATCCTCTGCTCACTGAAATAAATGCATATCTGATTGCCTCCTTTGGAAAGGTTAATCAGAAACTCAAAAGAATGCAACCATTTTTCTTCCACCTGCCTATGACCTGGAAGCCCCCAAGCTCCCTCCCCTCTTCGAGTTGTTTCCCCTTTTCAGACAGAACCAGTGTTCATTTTACATATGTTGATTGATGTCTGGTGTCTCCCTCATTAAAAGTGGAAGAATTTAGTACAATGAATGGGATAAATTCTGGCTGTCAGTTTGGGACTGAACAAAGGAGGACAAAGGTAGAAATGAAGACAAAGACAAAAGGATCTGTTTTAAAGAAGGAGTCAGGGGCTCCTTGCTTCTAGGGAACAGGGGCCCTGAGCTTCTACAGCCCTTCATATTTATTAGGTAGAATCAACAGAGAGGAAGAGGTAATGGTTGGTCAGCTGCTTGATTTATCAAAGGCTTTCATAATTGTTTTATTTATACAACAGGCCCCAGATGTTCCTATAGATAACCACAAGGAACACTGCCCCTGGGGCGTGAATGCCTTCAGCATTCCTTCTGGCAGCAGACGCAGTTGTCAGCTTGCCAACATCCTGCATTCATGGGAACAGTTTGCTGTTTGCTCATATAGCCTCCAGTGGTATACTGAGTTGGCCACGACCCTCATTCTTTCAGCCTCCAACAATAAATGTTTTAGGTAAACTTTTGTATAAATTAAAATGTTAAAGTTATTTTTGACATTCATTTAATATCTGGGTCATTTCTGATTAGGAAAGGTTTGGAATATGGGGAAATATGCTTCTAAAATTGTGAAAATGTTATCTCAAGACTTCTTGCTTTTTCAGGTTTAACTAAAGTTTTAGGATAAGAATTCTAGTTAACATGTAATTCTGTATACAAAATGTGCCAAAAAGGGTTATATTATTACAGAGAAAAATTAATTTTGTCTAATTTGGAAGTTATCCAATAGTTAGTTCAAATTACAGATTTTAAAATGTTATTTATGGAACAGTGTAGTAAGGAACTATTAAAGGAGAAAGATGAGGAAAATTTTGGATGATAAAACATTCTTTAAAATCTAATAGGGAATTGGAGACATTTGGCTAATTAACTTTTTCATACTTAAATCCCTTAGTGAAGTCATTATTTCTTCCATTTATCTGGAATTCCTAAGCTACATTTGTTGGGGCCAGAGGAATTAATGGAGCACACTAGCCTTTTAACCTTAAACTAACTATTTGGATTTAGGCTTCCTGATACTTTAAATGTGTTCAGTATACTCTCATAAATAGAATTTAAAAATAGAATTTAAGTCATATTTCTCTCTCTTTGCCTAATTTCTCCAAAATTTGTAAACTGTTTGTAAATATTTTTAATTCATGGCAATGTGTTTGTTTGCATACAGTCCAGCAGGGTCACTAGGGCCACTTAGGGAGAGAACCCAGAAACCTGACATGCTGGCAAAAGGGTGAAAAATTCTTACCAGTCTCTGGCCTCTTTCTCTCTGTGCAGACTGGTTAAATGAAAAGTAAAAGTCACTGTTTATCTCCTCTGTAAAGTTTTAATTAATGAAAAAGTATTTGTGAGGTTGTTCTTAAGCTATAGCCAATCTGGTGTGCTTTGTGTGTCTTTCTGTACAGTTCTGTCAAAAGAAAGGGTACCTCAGGATAGAATGCAGGCCTAGGACCCCATATGTTTGCTGTTCAAGCCAATCCAACAAAGTGGTCAGTAACAAATTTGGCCACAGGCCTCCATCTGGTATCATGTCCTTGGGAACATGACCTGTAATCACATGGAAATACTTTTAGTCTCAACCATTTTACAATGGCGGCTGTCTTCTGGTGCTTAGTCAGTTCCTGGGAGGGGGCTACAAAATCAGATAAGCCAGTTTATCAATCTGGGTGGTCCCAGCTGATCCATTAAGTATAAGGTTTACAAGATATCTTAAGCACAGATCTTGAGAGTAGTTTAGGGAGGGTCAAAATCTTATAGCCTTCATCTGTGTGACTCCTAAGCCATGGTCTCTAATCTTGTGACTAGTTTCATTATCTGTTCCCCAGGCAAGAGGGAAGTATATTTTAGGAAGGGGCTATTATCATCTTTGTTTTGGACTGTAAACTGTAAACCAGGCTCCTCCCAGAGTTAGTTCAGCCTACGCCCAGGGATAGGCAAGGACATCTTGAGGGCAGGAAGCATGATGGAGTTTGTTGGGTTGGATCTCTTTCACTGTCTCAGTCACAATTTTGCAATGATGTTTTCAAAACCTGCTTACCCTCTCCTTTGAAAATACCTTGTACACTCGCAAGTAAGTCATAATCTAATTAATGCTTGTTGGTTTCACCTATAAGGGTACTTTTTGTAAAGTTCAAAAGCCAAAAATCTTAACTGGTTGGTGTGGCTTAAGTCAAGTAACAAGGGATTTTAAATGATTTTTTTAAAGAGTGCTCAGCATAATTAAAAGTGGATATCTGTTATAGGTATATTTAAAAGGACTTTTTATGTTTTTCTCTTCTTGAATCTTGTTTTTCTGGAAAAAAAGTTTTTTTTTTTTCTTCTCAGTCGACTGAGTTATTTCTTGCCATTCTTAATGCAAATGAAAGGCCCCAAGGTAACTTCTGGTAGCCAGGGACTCCTTGGGAAAAACAGAGGAGGTGCCACAGATCCCAATTTGGGAAAAAAAAAACTCTGTCTTCCTCATGAAACCTCAAGAATTAAAAGTGAATAGATCCCTCTCAATATCAAAGGCTCTGTTCTGTTTTGTATTGTGTTATCTGATGGTTTTAAGGTTTTGGGGCATCAGAAATTACTTTGCATTATGAGAGAACTTTGGTGTGTAATAACTAGGTAGAAAATATACTTTAAGTGTTGGCTAATAGTAACTATGAAGGGATACTTAACTCTTTGCACATTTGAATTGAAGAAGCATGGTTTTGGCCACCTGAAATATATGGAAACATCCCCACCACCTATTAAGAGATGAGACTTCCATGACAGATGGGCTAATTACAAAATTGATTGATTGGCTTTGGGTTGCCTTGCAATGAAATGAATGGTAGAAGCAATGCACTGTCTTCTCCCTTACTATCTCCCTCCTTTTGGGAACCCAAGATCCAATATAAAATAGCACACTTAATTTTGGCGATCTGCCTTTGCTTCACTGTGCCTGCTTATTAAGCCCTAAAGATGCATGCTTTCCTGGCCCTGTTCCTCCAAAGGCTCCACCCTGAAGCCAGTAATCCAATTAAGAAACTAGAAATAAAAAATCTTACAAACACTAAATCTTCAGACTGTCTGTCTGTCTCTCTCTCTGTCTCTCTCTCTCTCTCTATATATATATAGTGTGTAATGTCTATAAAAACGAAGCTATAATTAATTGGCTTAAAAAATAAGCACTTAGGTGGCTCACACCTGTAATCCTAGCACTTTGGGAGGCCGAGGCGGGTGAATTGCCTGAGCTCAGTAGTTTGAGACCAGCCTGGGCAACACAGTGAAACCCTGTCTCTACTAAAATACAAAAAATTAGCCAGGTGGTGATGTGCATGTGTAATCCCAGCTACTCAGGAGGTTGAGGCAGGAGAATTGCTTGAACCTGGGAGGTGGAGGTTGGAGTGATCCAAGATCACGCCACTGCACTCCAGCCTGGGTGACTCCATCTCAAAAACAAATAAATAAATAAATAAAAATAAGTGCTTAAATCAAATATTTTTTAAAGGAAAGATAAAAGCTGTAATGCCTTTTATGTTATGTGACTTTAATCATTCAAAAAAAGTCTTAAGAGATCGTTGGTAAAACACATATATCATCAAAATGTAAATAGGTGGTCTAAGTCATATAAGTCAGACACTAGGTTTGCTAAGTGTTTCAAGGCTGTAAACTGCATGCTTTACAACTTGGTAAGGCCCAGGGACATATGAAATTAACCACATCCCTAAATAGGCTGGAAATAGACTTTCTCTATGCCTAATATGTAATCAAAATAAGTTACTAGGTTTCACACTAAAGTTAAAAATTTATAAAAGTTACCATCATAACATGTAATTTAAACTATTAAAAGTAAATTTACATGTATGATGTGTAAAAACAATAGAATGTGTTCTAGTAAAATATTATAAGCCAAGGAAATGTAAAATGTAAATTTTGCCTAGTCATGAAGGATTGTCTTAAATTAGACAAGAAAGATGAAGGTTTAAGAAAGTTATAGAAAGACTGTAAAAATTAATCTTGCAAAACTCCCATGTGTAAACATTAACTAAATTCAAAAGGGTATTATAGGATCTTTTCATAAATTGAGCATTGAAATAAACACACAGCAAGGTTGTCTTAAGACACTCTTCTGTCCTTTAGCAAAAAGGTTATAAAAGGTTTGTAAAGACTTCACATCAAAGTTAAATTGGTTAAGATTAGATGGAATCCTCTATAAGGTTTTATTTTAAAAATTGGGGTTAACATTAATAAACTAGGCCTGGTGCAGTGGCTCATGCCTGTAATCCCAGCACTTTGGGAGGCTGAGGCAGGTGGATCATCTGAGGTTGGGAGTTTGAGACCAGCCTGACCAACATGGAGAAACCCCATCTTTACTAAAAACACAAAATAAGCTGGGCATGGTGGTGCATGCCTCTAATCCCAGCTACTCAGGAGGCTGAGGTAGGAGAATTGTTTGAACCCAGGAGGTGGAAGTTGTGGTGAGCAGAGGTCATGCCATTGCACTCTAGGATGGGCAACAAGAGAGAAGCTCCATCTCAAAAAAGAAAAAAAAAGAAAAAGAAAAAGAGAGAAAGAAAACAATATTGTTAAACTAATTCAAGGGTAAAATTTGGCTTTGATCAGGATTTTCATGTAATAGTAAAAGCTAATGAAAGGTTTTTGCCTTTTGAGTCATCATTTTGGCAAAATAAGTAATTTATAGTAATCTGGAATTCTATTTCATAACATCGAGTGTTTTAAGCCTCTAACATAGTTAGCAGGTTTCCAAAAATCAAACATCGGTTTCAAAATTGTCTTTCCTAATGCCTGGCTCCTTGGATGAATCAGAAGGCCCCCAAAAAACATCTAGAAAAGAGGTAAACTGAATTATTCAACATGTTTAGCTACGTGGGATTGCCAAATGATATTCAATCTTCTTTAGGTTATATTATTGTGAATAATATTAATATATGTTCCAAAATGGTATGGGATTTCTAAAATTCTAATGTCTAATTATGTGGTGTAATTATGGTTATTATGTTATTATAAACCACAGAATAACCAAATTACCTTGTATAAAGCTGCTAACCAAGTAGAATAAAAAATTAAATACCAAAAAATAGTTTGTCAGATTTTTATGTTAAACCAGCTGATACTGAAATTGTTTAAATATACAATTTGAATAAATTCCACGGTCTAAGTCAAATTGCCTATGATAACCCATTGTTTATCAGTGCTATGCACTTAATTTGGAAAAACAACTGGTATTCAAGAGGATATAAGTCTAATGTTAATTAAGCATGGGCTCATGGAAAACCAGGATGACTACCTTGTTTTTCCTGAGTCCTGAAACTTTTATTATTAAAAGTTCTGCATTCCATGACTCATCATGGAGAAGATAAAGTAATCCAAATAGAATATATTGGTGTGGTAACTTACAAATTACTAAAATAGTTTATAACCAATGGTTGGCCCCATATTCCTGGGAAAACAGTTAAAGCTTCAGGTACATTTGGTTACCTGGTGGGACATTTAAACATTTTATAAAGGAATTTCATTCAATGGTTATTTTCAATGCATGTTTTCTGATTGTATAAAAGCTTTCCCATGCAAGAGGGTTGATGTTATAACAGATTATTATACTACAGTGTATTTTCACTAGATAAATAGCTTTTTATGATTTAGATCTTCTGAGTACATCAGAGAAAGACTGTCCTTGACATACACAATACAACAAAACTTTGAGAAATGGAACTTTGGGTTCATAATCTTGCAACTGAGAAGGGTCTTTCCACACTCTTGGGATAGACATAGATTGGATGAAGAATCCTAATTTCCCTTCCCCACCAAACCCTATCCCTTACCTTCACTTTCAGCCTCATCTAAATTTCCATTTCACATCTGCATGTGTGTGTGTGTGTGTGTGTGTGTGTGTATGTGTGTGTATGCGTGCATGTGTGCACATGTGTTCTGGTCGGGGCTGAGATGGAGGTGTTAAAATATCCAATGAGTTGATATTTTTATTGGTTGTTTTCTAAGATATTTTGGTGCCACTCACACTCGTTGTCTGGAGGTAAATTTCTTGCCATCTTTTACACATTTAAATTCATCCTTTAATATTCTTCTTATAGAGAAGTAGCCAGAACTGAATTCAATCTTTCTGAGCCCAGTTGTATGTCTCTAGCTTTCTTGGTTTAATGGTTATGTCATATGATTGTTTTCATTTAAAGTCTTCCCTTTCAGTTTGTAGAGTTAGTTTTCACCATTATTGCAAACAAAGTATAATTTTTATATGATATCATGCTACTTTATTATATGTTATGTGAGTTTTTTATGTTAAATTATTTGAAATTTTTCATTTGTATACTATAATACACCCACCTGTTCAACCTTTTTTAAAAAGAATGGAGAGAGAAATTACTAGCACTACTAAAGCATCTATTCAGTGCCAGGCACTGTGCTGTAACCTCAGTGTACATTTTCTTATTTATTCTCAAATCAACCTTTTAAAGTAAGCAATATTATTTACATTTTTAAATGGAAAACCAGGTTCAAAGAATCTAATTAAAATGCTGCAGCATATACAACTTGTTAGAGAAAAATCAGAAGGTGAGCCAATATTTGTTATTTTCAAAGCTCAATGATACACGACTTGAAATCTTCAGAGCGCAGCAATGGAATAGTTTGAATATATTTTATAGAAATATTAGCAAAAATAGATTCTGTATTGTTATGTTTTGCAATAGCATACATGTTAGAATTTTGAGTTTCTTTTTTTCATATTTCTAAGACAATATATATTACCTGTTTAATATGCTGTGAAATTTACAAGAACTAGCTAGAATTTGCATGCTCTAGTGCACTAATGGTGAAAGTAGAAGTTATTTTTACAATGATTAAATTATGAACATAACGTATACATGATTTAGCTAATAATATCTTCTTTTCAATTATTATACATTTTTGAGAAATATGTAATTAAACAGCATTTAAACCAATAAATATTACTCCTTGATTTTGTGTGTAACAACCCTGTTAGAAACCCTAGGCCAAATGATAAGTAAAGGAGCACTGCAATTTTCTCGGGTGGTGATTTGATTACCCAAGAACCATTCCCTTGTGCTAACCATGTTTTCCCAATGCTACTGCTACCAGCTTTTCAACCTTGATAAATAAGCCTAAACTTATTCGTCGCTTTGGCATGTTGAGATTTTGGTGACACTTTCTTTATTTGTTCTTCCAAAGCAACACCTGCCCTAGTTACAGCATTGTGAGATTTAGTACTGACAACATTTTTTTTAAGCATCGCAGGGGTCCCTCACTCAATGCTAGCAGTTGGAGGACCATCGTTTAGCTTCCTGCCCCTAAAATTTGTGTGAGATGCAGTTTTAGAGAACACTATTTTCCTAGTCCAGTCATCTCAATGATTTTTTTTTAAGATGGAGTCTTGCTTTCTCACCCATGCTAGAGTGCAGTGGCACAATCTTGGCTCACTGCAACCTCCACCTCCTAGGCTCAAGCAATTCTCCTGCCTCAGCATCCTGAGTAGCTGGGATTACAGGTGTGCACCACCATGCCTGGCTAATTTTTTTTTTTCGTATTTTTAGCAGAGACAGGGTTTCACCATGTTGGCTAGGCTGGTCTCAAACTCCTGATCTCAGGTGATCTGCCCACCTTGGCCTCCCAAAATGCTGGGATTATAAGCATGAGCCACCAGGCCTGGCCATCTCAATGGTTTTTAAGTAAGTAGCCTTCACTTCCTATCCATAACATTAACAGGGTTGGCTGAAACATCCTATCTCATTGGTCTATTTATTTAATTGATGTTCCTGGTCATTAGTTTGGAAACATGGCAGATGTACCCATGTAATTTTGGTGCCATCAGGAAATAGGAAAACCATTGCATTAATATGCATTCACTTATGTGCTTTACAGGCTTTGGTGAAAGAGATGGTCTTCATGTGTAATCCTTGCAGAGGAATTTTCTGGACCCGTATGCTTTCTTTCTGGCAGTTAAGAACTTCATTTGATTATTGTGACCATTCAAAGCCCACAAATCCCACTAAGTATAAGGAAATGGTAGAAACCGTGACTGCTCTTTGCAAACCACATACTGATGAGGCTCTACATAACTTTGAGGATCACTGTATGCATCTGGAAAAAAGAAATCTGACAGCTAATTTTTATGCAGATAATTTTAAGGAAAGGAAGATCAAAATTTAAATAGAAATTCTAAGTCATAGGGTAGACTTGTTGATACATGAAAGCATCTTAACTGTTATTACTTAAGAAAAGCAATGGCAATGGCTCTTTATTATACTTTTTAAGAGATATAAA